>NC_000002.12:109307799-109610830 GCF_000001405.40 Homo sapiens
CATTTTCTTAATCCAGTCTATCATTGTTGGACATTTGGGTTGGTTCCAAGTCTTTGCTATTGTGAATAATGCCGCAGTAAACATACGTGTGCATGTGTCTTTATAGCAGCATGATTTATAGTCCTTTGGGTATATACCCAGTAATGGGATGGCTGGGTCAAATGGTATTTCTAGTTCTAGATCCCTGAGGAATCGCCACACTGACTTCCACAATGGTTGAACTAGTTTACAGTCCCACCAACAGTGTAAAGTGTTCCTATTTCTCCACATCCTCTCCAGCACCTGTTGTTTCCTGACTTTTTAATGATTGCCATTCTAACTGGTGTGAGATGGTATCTCATTGTGGTTTTGATTTGCATTTCCCTGATGGCCAGTGATGATGAGCATTTTTTCATGTGTTTTTTGGCTGCATAAATGTCTTCTTTTGAGAAGTGTCTGTTCACATCGTTTGCCCACTTTTTGATGGGGTTGTTTGTTTTTTTCTTGTAAATTTGTTTGAGTTCATTGTAGATTCTGGATATTAGCCCTTTGTCAGATGAGTAGGTTGCGAAAATTTTCTCCCATTTTGTAGGTTGCCTGTTCACTCTGATGGTAGTTTCTTTTGCTGTGCAGAAGCTCTTTAGTTTAATTAGATCCCATTTGTCAATTTTGGCTTTTGTTGCCATTGCTTTTGGTGTTTTGGACATGAAGTCCTTGCCCACGCCTATGTCCTGAATGGTAATGCCTAGGTTTTCTTCTAGGGTTTTTATGGTTTTAGGTCTAACATTTAAATCTTTAATCCATCTTGAATTGATTTTTGTATAAGGTGTAAGGAAGGGATCCAGTTTCAGCTTTCTACATATGGCTAGCCAATTTTCCCAGCACCATTTATTAAATAGGGAATCCTTTCCCCATTGCTTGTTTTTCTCAGGTTTGTCAAAGATCAGATAGTTGTAGGTATGCGGCGTTATTTCTGAGGGCTCTGTTCTGTTCCATTGATCTATATCTCTGTTTTGGTACCAGTACCATGCTGTTTTGGTTACTGTAGCCTTGTAGTATAGTTTGAAGTCAGGTAGTGTGATGCCTCCAGCTTTGTTCTTTTGGCTTAGGATTGACTTGGTGATGCGGGCCCTTTTTTGGTTCCATGTGAACTTTAAAGTAGTTTTTTCCAATTCTGTGAAGAAAGTCATTGGTAGCTTGATGGGGATGGCATTGAATCTGTAAATTACCTTGGGCAGTATGGCCATTTTCACGATATTGATTCTTCCTACCCATGAGCATGGAATGTTCTTCCATTTGTTTGTATCCTCTTTTATTTCCTTGAGCAGTGGTTTGTAGTTCTCCTTGAAGAGGTCCTTCACATCCCTTGTAAGTTGGATTCCTAGGTATTTTATTCTCTTTGAAGCAACTGTGAATGGGAGTTCACTCATGATTTGGCTCTCTGTTTGTCTGTTGTTGGTGTATAAGAATGCTTGTGATTTTTGTACATTGATTTTGTATCCTGAGACTTTGCTGAAGTTGCTTATCAGCTTAAGGAGATTTTGGGCTGAGACAAAAGAGCTCCTGAAGGAAGCGCTAAACATGGAAAGGAACAACCGGTACCAGCTGCTGCAAAATCATGCCAAAATGTGAAGACCATTGAGACTAGCAAGAAACTGCATCAACTAACGAGCAAAATCACTAGCTAACATCATAATGACAGGATCAAATTCACACATAACAATATTAACTTTAAATGTAAATGGACTAAATGCTCCAATTAAAAGACACAGACTGGCAAATTGGATAAAGAGTCAAGACCCATCAGTGTGCTGTATTCAGGAAACCCATCTCACGTGCAGAGACACACATAGGCTGAAAATAAAAGGATGGAGGAAGATCTACCAAGCAAATGGAAAACAAAAAAAGGCAGGGAGTCTCTGATAAAACAGACTTTAAACCAACAAAGATCAAAAGAGACAAAGAAGGCCATTATATAATGGTAAAGGGATCAATTCAACAAGAAGAGCTAACTATCCTAAATAGATATGCACCCAATACAGGAGCACCCAGATTCATAAAGCAAGTCCTGAGTGACCTACAAAGAGACTTAGACTCCCACACATTAATAATGGGAGACTTTAACACCCCACTGTCAACATTAGACAGATCAACGAGACAGAAAGTCAACAAGGATACCCAAGAATTGAACTCAGCTCTGCACCAGGTGGACCTAATAGACATCTACAGAACTCTCCACCCCAAATCAACAGAATATACATTTTTTTCAGCACCACACCACACCTATTCCAAAATTGACCACATGGTTGGAAGTAAAGCTCTCCTCAGCAAATGTAAAAGAACAGAAATTATAACAAACTATCTCTCAGACCACAGTGCAATCAAACTAGAACTCAGGATTAAGAATCTCACTCAAAGCCGCTCAACTACATGGAAACTGAACAACCTGCTCCTGAATGACTACTGGGTACATAACGAAATGAAGGCAGAAATAAAGATGTTCTTTGAAACCAACGAGAACAAAGACACAACATACCAGAATCTCTGGGACACATTCAAAGCAGTGTGTAGAGGGAAATTTATAGCACTAAATGCCCACAAGAGAAAGCAGGAAAGATCCAAAATTGACACCCTAACATCACAATTAAAAGAACTAGAAAAGCAAGAGCAAACACATTCAAAAGCTAGCAGAAGGCAAGAAATAACTAAAATCAGAGCAGAACTGAAGGAAATAGAGACACAAAAAACCCTTCAAAAAATCAGTGAATCCAGGAGCTGGTTTTTTGAAAGGATCAACAAGATTGATAGACCACTAGCAAGACTAATAAAGAAAAAAAGAGAGAAGAATCAAATAGACACAATAAAAAATGATAAAGGGGATATCACCACCGATCCCACAGAAATACAAACTACCATCAGAGAATACTACAAACACCTCTACGCAAATAAACTAGAAAATCTAGAAGAAATGGATAAATTCCTCAACACATACACTCTCCCAAGACTAAACCAGGAAGATGTTGAATCTCTGAATAGACCAATAACAGGAGCTGAAATTGTGGCAATAATCAATAGTTTACCAACCAAAAAGAGTCCAGGACCAGATGGATTCACAGCTGAATTCTACCAGAGGTACAAGGAGGAACTGGTACCATTCCTTCTGAAACTATTCCAATCAATAGAAAAAGAGGGAATCCTCCCTAACTCATTTTATGAGGCCAGCATCATTCTGATACCAAAGCCGGGCAGAGACACAACCAAAAAAGAGAATTTTAGACCAATATCCTTGATGAACATTGATGCAAAAATCCTCAATAAAATACTGGCAAACCGAATCCAGCAGCACATCAAAAAGCTTATCCACCATGATCAAGTGGGCTTCATCCCTGGGATGCAAGGCTGGTTCAATATACGCAAATCAATAAATGTAATCCAGCATATAAACAGAGCCAAAGACAAAAACCACATGATTATCTCAATAGATGCAGAAAAAGCCTTTGACAAAATTCAACAACCCTTCATGCTAAAAACTCTCAATAAATTAGGTATTGATGGGACGTATTTCAAAATAATAAGAGCTATCTATGACAAACCCACAGCCAATATCATACTGAATGGGCAAAAACTGGAAGCATTCCCTTTGAAAACTGGCACAAGACAGGGATGCCCTCTCTCACCACTCCTATTCAACATAGTGTTGGAAGTTCTGGCCAGGGCAATTAGTCAGGAGAAGGAAATAAAGGGTATTCAATGAGGAAAAGAGGAAGTCAAATTGTCCCTGTTTGCAGACGACATGATTGTATATCAAGATGCACTTTTATTCTAGCTTCCTAAAAGCAATGGCCCTTGATGGCAAGACTGAAGGACTGCTGAGCACTTGAGAGGAGACCCAGTCTGTGGACATGCCTTTCTGACTGATGTACCCTGGTGGTGGTTTTGTTTTTCCTTGTCTGACTTCACTCTGAAAAGGGCGCTAATTTCAAGCGATGAGCAAGTCATATCAAGGCTACCCATATGGCAGAGACAGCAAACTTTACTAAAATGGTGGTTTGTCCCTTTCTTTATTGTTATTTTTTTAATTAAAGTTTGAAGTTGTTTTCTCGTTTTCTTACATCCACATTTTCTTCCATGCCCTGCCAGTGGATGAGATGGAGTCACAGATTTTGGAGCTGATGTCTTCCATGAGTCGTGGCTGTGTGGTGGTGAGGTCGGCTGCTGCTGGTGCTGTCCAGTTTTGAACTGACTTGAGCGTTGTGGCCGGTGTAGCAGTCAGCCATAGACTAGGGGAACCTTGGTGTATGTGTTTTTATGGTTTCCTTTAGCATTGTTAGTTCAAAAGTATGTCACCTATTCAGAACTGGTTATTTGGTTATTTCAGAACTCCAAATCTTACAAAGTCTAATGAAAATCTTACACAATCTTACACAGTTTAGTAAACAAAACACACAAGGCCAGAGGGACAAATGTACCTCAGAGCTGGGGCTCTGAGTCCTGCCCACTTTTCTTGTGAATGAGCTTCCCACTCGAGGTTGGCTTGCTCCTCTTTCTAATAATTCTAACAAGTTTAACGGGTTTTTTATTGTGGTATAATACTTATAACATGAAAGTCATTATAAAGTGTGCCAGTGGAATTTATGTTTTATTATATTAATGATGTTTCGACCGTCAGCACTGTCTAGTTCCAGAAGTTTCCTTTTGGGAAGTTTTCATCTCCCCAAAAGGAAACTCTCTACCCATCAGCAGCCACCCCGCTGGGCCCCTTCTTCCTGGCCCCAGGCCACCACAACCTGCTTTCTTTCTCTGTGAATTTGCCCACTCTGGAGATTTGATATAAGTGGAATCATCCGATACATGGCCCTTTGGTCTAGCTTCTTTTACTTCGTATTTTCGAAGTTCATCCAGGATCATAGAGTATATCAGAATTCCATTCCCCTCTATAGCTGAAGAATGTCCCACTGTATGGTATTTCCACATTTTGTTTATCCATTCATCTGCTGACGGACATTGGGCTGTTTCCACCTTTTGGCTCTTGTGGGTAGAGCTGCACTTAACATTTGGGTACAAACATTTGCTTGAACACCTGTCTTAGATTTTGGGTGTATACCTAGGAATGGACTTGCTGGGTCACGTGGTCATCCTAGGTGTACGTTATTGAAGAGCCGCCCTATGTTTTCCACAGCAGCCCTTGGATTTCACTTTTATCTACAGTAATGCGGAAGAAGGGGGCTGATTTGTGACAGGTGGGCAAATCTGCAGTGTTAAGAAGAGGCAGGAGACAGGGAACCCATGCAATCCACATACTTCAGAGGCAGGTGGTGCTCCTGGCTCACACTGTAGGTAATATTTGCCCTGTGCCTGTCAGCTTCATCTGTGTGCATGGGCTGAGCTGGGAAGAACCAGGGGACCTGGAAAGGGGTTAGGGAGCTTGTCTATGCCAGCATCCTTGACACCGGCATGATATCAGGATCCCTATTCCTCTTCACAAGGCCCAGGCCTTACCCCAAACCTGCTGTACATCCATCCCAAGGGGGGAGGCTGGCATCTGTGTTTCTTGCTGCATTTATTTAAATGCAGTTCAGCCTAATGCACAGCCCGGGATGAGACTGCAGGTGAAGTGTCATATTTTAAGATGTGCTCATGAGAGGCATGGATACAAGGCCAGGCCTCCCTGGCTGACATTTGGGTGCTTGCCATGGGCCAGGCCCTGCCCTCCTTGCTGGGTGAGCGCTGTACCAGTTGGTCATCGCAATGGTCTTAAGCATCACTGAGGAAGACATTGAGGCCCAGATAGGGACTGTCCTTGGCCAAGGCCTCCTAGCCTTGAGTAGGGGCCCCGGCCAGCAGTGGGGCTCACTGCCTCTCAGGCTCAACATCCCAGGGGGATGGGAAGAAAACATTCTGGGAGATGAGTGGAGAGAGACTGATTCTCTGTAGGTGATGGCATGTGCCTTGAGCTGAAAGGTGCTTCCGGTTTCTTTGTAGCGATGGGGTCAGCTGCTCCAGGCAGCTGTGGCAGCATGAGTGAAACAGAGGGGCTTATTCCAGTGCATGTGGGGGAGAGGAGGGAGGTGGGCTCAGCCAGAGCAGAGGGATTTGAAGAGTGGCAGTGGAGGAGATATTTGAAAGGTGTGTTGGGACCCGTATGCAGGGTGCCGTGTTTGGACTTTGTTTTGTAGGGCACAAGACAGTTGAAGGCTTTGGAACTGGGAGGAAAGTGACAAGAAGGAGTACCAGGCTGTGGGACACTGGACACTGAGAAAAGGAAGAGGCTATGGGGGAAGAGAGGGGCCGTGAGACCCGGGGCAAGTGTGGACTTGGGGGACACAGTAGCGGAAAGCAGCAGGCCTGGGCAGTCACCTAACTGCAGGTGCCAAGGTCGTGGTCTGTGTCCCGGGAGACCAGCGGGTGGGTGTCCAGAGATGGGGGCACCAGAACCATGTGGGTCATGTATATTTAATGCTGCCTGCTTGAGAAAGCAGGGGCTTGGCATATGTTTTAGGAGAAAGTTTTATTTCTTGAAATGGTTAAACTGATAAATCCTCAGTTATCCCAAAGGCTCAGGGTTCCAGAAAATGGCTCCGTTGAAGGGTGAATCCCATAGATCTTATAAGAGTGATTGTAACCCTGCCTTGGTATAGCCAGGGAGCAGAGATAGAGGGTAGGAACCAGATTGCCCTGGGGAAAGCAGGTCAGCCTGAAACGGCATGACCTTTGATGTCACCTCCGTGCAGGAATGAATTTCTCTACCATATGAATAGCACCATCAACTAATACATTTTTATTATTCCTGCCACTTCATAAATAGTGTCTCCATCTTAATTTGCATGTGTCTGTCACTCTCCATGGTCTTTAAAGGTTTGTATAAACTTGTAAATTAATCCTCCTTTACATGCATAAGGCAAACCAGCTCCTTGATGAAACCTTTGATGAATCTTTTTACAAGTGCATAATATCCACCAGCCAATTTCTTATTCTGTAAATTATTTTGCCATTTTGGTTTTGTTTAATTTAGGGTGTGACAGTACTGGCATCATATTTCTGTCTAGTGAATAGGAGAATCAGACCACCAAAATATTAGAGGAGACCCTCTGAGTTGGTAGAGATTGAAGCAGAGCTAAGCCCTCGCTGGTGACCAAAAGAAACTTCGTCTCCCCGTATGAATCTCATTCTTGGCAAAGCCCACAGTTTGAGAACCCCCAGCAGGCATTCCAGAGCTGCACTGTCCCATAAGGTAGCCACCGACCACACTCAGTGAACAGCGACCACATTGAAGAGCCCATACACGACACGTTTCCATCAGTGCAGAAAGTTCCACTGGACAGCACTGCTCCACAATAATGAAGAAAAAGGAAACCTGTTTTACTTTACTGAGTATAATTAGCAGAAAGTCTTATTTGATGACTTTTCTCTGGGTCCCCCTTGTCAAGTGTGAGTCCTCTGAGTGGAGAGGGCTATAGTCTCTCCATAGTAAGGCAGAAAGACGTGCCCACTGGGAAACACCCAGCAATTTAATAGGGCCCTGGGTCCAACACCAACTTGGAGTTCTTAACTAATGCCAAGCCAGGTAAAGTGCTTTGTTCATTGAGTCTTGCAACTCCATTAGTGATTCAAAACAAAGTAAACCTCTGTCCCTATCTCTGTAGGATAGTTGCAGGGAAGCAATAGCTTGTGTCTGTAGAATGCACTTGCTTTTACTAAGAGGCAGTAAGGAACTGTCTCAGTATGAAAATGTGCATATACAGAACGACCATCCGTTTTTGGTGTAAGCAAAGGGGACCATGTGTGCCTGTTGTGCACTGTCTGTGCAGAACTTTCAGAAACTGTCAGTGATGCACAAGGACGTGTGTGTCCAGAGAAGAGACGCCTGTGCAGGCTTTCCTGGCAGTCTATAAAGGGGCGAGCTCTGTCTCAGTCCAGGCTTTCCCACCCAGGGTTCCTCTGGGGCTCTTTCATCTCATTATGTCTGGCTATTGTGACATTTAGAGTATTCAGGTGAATGCCGGTTGCTGCCTTGGTGTGGAAGGGACGTCGTCGCTTTTCCACCCTAGAATGACCTTTGATCTTACCTGTCAGGACGTGATCTAGGCATCAAAGCCACCAGTTCCCAGAACGTCACCTGCGACCAGCATAGGTCTGTGTCTCTGGGTTGTTTTGGAGAATATGGAGCCTTTTGAGATGCATTAGCAGAAGTCTTTTTGGTCTGACTGTGTGAGATTATATGTGCATGCATCAGGGGCTTTTTTCACCCAAATTGCAAAGATTCCCAGTATTTAGAGATTAGATGTGGTTAGAAAAGTGCATTTCCAGTATGCAATTGTAAAGCAGGAAAAACCTAAAGCTTTCAAAAAGAGAGGGCAAGGCAGGCTGGAGGAGGTGTTCAGAGCTGGTTTTGCTGAACTTTTGGGCCTGGGGAAGGTTCCACCAGTGTCCTGGCTCTTGGGCTTCATCTCTCGCAGCAGATCTGCACAGCTCCAACTGGGCTATCAGTGCTGTGGGCCTCGGTCCAGGAGGCTGGGTGGATGCTGGGAAGGGGATGGAGGGAGGACATGTTGCCAGGTGATGGTGGCTGGCTCTACATGCCCCTGCTCCTGGAGAAGCCCTGGTGCCATGTTTCTCCCTGGCTCTGGCTTCCTGTCTATCACAGGAGGAACACAGGTGTGATGTCAGTGTGATCTTCACTACACACAGCCTTTAACAAGGTAGCCCATGACATGGAGAGAACTTATCACTCCTCTTAGAGATTTCCTCTGCTTTTCTGTTTTAAATAGACTTTCTGTTTTAGAGCAGTTTTAGGTTCACAGCAAGATTGAGCAGAAGGTACAGAGAATTCCCATAGACCTCCTGCCCCGCCCCCATGTGCAGCCTTTCCATCAGCATCAGCCACCAGAGTGGTGTCACATTAGGGTTTACTCTTGGTGTTGGACATTCCACGGGTTTGGACAAATCTATAATGCGATGTATCCACCATTAGAGTTTCACACTCAGTACTTTCCCTGCCCTTAAAAATCCATGTGCTCTATCTGGTTATCCCTCCCTGGCCTCACCCTCTGGCTGCCGTGGGTCTTTGTACTGTCGCTGTAGTTCTGCGTTCTCCAGAACATCATACAGTTGGAAGTATACAGTGCGTAGCCTTTTCAGACTGGCTTCTCTCTCTTAGTAATTCATGTTTGAGGTTCCTCCATGTCTTTTCATGGCTTCATAGTTGATTTCTTTTTATCACTGAATAACACTCCATTGTCTGGGTGGACCCCAGTTTGTTTATCCACTCACCTCCTGAGGCTATCTTGGTGGCTTCCGCATTCTGGCAGTTATGAATAAAGCTGCTCTAAACTTTCATGAGTGGGTTTCTCATGAAATGTTTTCATGAGATGTAAGTTTCATGAAATGTTTTGTGGATGTAAGTTTTCATGGTGTTGGGGTTTTCGGGACCCCAGCTTACCTCCCACCCGGATGGAATCTCCTAGTGTAGCATTTCCTGCTTGTGCACAGATAGCGTCAAGTCTTGCCCATGGTGACAGGGCGACAGCAATGCCTGTCCCTGAGGGGGCGTCTGTGGGCAGGTGGGCAGGTGCCGCCCCAGCCCCAGGGGGTGGAGGAGAGTCCAGAGGTCTGGGGCTCTTTTTCCCTGTTAGCGCTCAGAAGGGACACTGTCTACTCCATGCTGGGGAGGCCCAGCCCCCCACCCTGCTCTTCCCCTGGGTCTGGGAGGCATAGCTCTGGCAGCAGCCCCGTTCACAGCAGGGACTTGGTTCTAGGTCTCGTTCTGCCGGGCCTGCCTCATCTCTTTCCCTGCTCCTTCTGAGGTACAGAACAGTCAAAGTCCACCTTGGTTTCTGTGACTTGCTGGGCCTGGAAAAAGAGAACTGGCTGAGTTTAAATGACTTCAGGTACATAAATATTAGTTGCTGCAGTTTCTCCACCACGGAATCACAGTGAGGTCAGTGTGGAGTGCGAGGGTGCCTCCCTGTGAACAGGCTTCTGCTCGTGAGTGCCTTTGTAGTGTCCTGGTGCTAACTGGGGATGTATCCTAGGACTTTAAGAACTAGCGCATCCGTCTTGGGTCAGGTTTCTCAGGAAGGCACATAACTGGAGTCCCAGCCAAGAGGAAAGATGTATGTGGCCAGCAGCAGCTCGCTGGCTGCACCGCTGAGGGGACTCGCACAACTCTGCCGCTTGTCCTGATGGATTCTGTGGCAAAGGCCAAGGATGGCCTGCATCTGAACGGAAGGCCAGGCATTAAAAAGCAAAGGGCAGGGAGGATCATCGTGATCCTTTCTCTCCTCTGTTTTTCTAAGCCATGAGCACGCTGAATTTCAGTACGCAAAAAAAAAAAGCCCCCTTTAAGCAGAAAAACCATTCTAGGGACATTGAGAGACTAGAAATCCTTGCCTAATTTCAGATTAAGCAAAACATAAGCATTTGGCAAATGCCGAGATTGTAAAGTTGTGCAAGCAGAAGAATCACTTTGAAATTTGAGCGCAGCCCCAGATGTTCGGGAGCATTTCCATGCGACTGCTCCTCCTAGCGTGACTGGCTGGTGCCTCCCGGCCCCCAGCCCGGTCCCCAGTGCTTGTCCTCTGCCCACTCGCTGCACAGACCTGGGGTGAGGAAGAAATGCCGCCGAGCGCCAGAAGATTAGGAGGGAATTGTGTGAGGCCTCCTCTCAAAGCCAGGGTGGCTCTCGGCATACGCGTTTATCTGAGTGACTGAATCATAGCACAATCATTTTGGCGACCGTGGGATAAACGCTGTGAGAGAACTGTGGTTTGTCCTTGCGGGTGTGTTGGTTCAAAGTCATGTGAGTAGAGCCAGCTCCTGAGGGGATCGTCTCATGCTCACACTGGGGGCAGCATTTGTCTCTTGTCAGCTGTGAGATCAGAGTCCTAGGGAAGCCAGAATGGTCTCTCAGATCATGCCCTGGCCAGAATCCGGGGCTGCCCTGGCCAGCCGCCAGATACTGACCCTTCTGGTCTCATCCAATCTAAAGACAAAGCATGAAAGCCCAGCCCTGACGAGCTCTGGCCTGAGGCCACCCATCCACTCAGAGGCAGACATTGGCTTGGAGAAGAAAGAGGGATGAACTTCTGGAACCAAAGCCAGCTGGAATTCCTTGCCTCTGGTAGGTGAGCCAAGTGAATTCAATATGTAATGAAACTGTACTTCATAACTTCCCTGAGAACATTTGTATTTCAAGTGTCTGTCCCAGAACAGATCAAAGCCCTCTGCTAACTGGGATTACAGATGGGAAAGGAGTGGCTCTCCATCGATCCTGGTGTTTGTATCCTGCCTGGAACAGCTCACTTTAGGGACAGCAGCTGCTTGTAGGTGTCTGCAGAAGAGGCACTCCCATCTCTGCCTAGATGGGGGCATGGCTTAGTAACTCTCCAGTACCCTGTTCTTGGCTGTCGCCCTGTATATGCCAGATAGTGACAGTGGCATCGTTTTGCAGGACCAAGTGTTAAGCTTGCTGCATTTTTTGGAGTTGAGAAAGAGTTGGTTCCTGGCATCGTGATATGAACTCTACATTTATTTCCCCTCTTCCTAAGCCAGTGCAGGTTAGTTGACTGCAAAGAGACAATGTCCTGAGCTGTGTCTGCCTGTGGGCTCAGTGGGGTCCCGGGGATCACCCAGGCATCCTTTTCAGCCTGCTGGGCTGAAAGCTTGGATTTACAAGTGATTCGTTTTCTTACTCTTGCACTTCTGCTGGGGTAGTGACGGTGGTCAAGAGAAACACATGTTAGTACAGATGTGTATTCTGAGTGAGAGGGGGCTCACAGGGCTGAAAACAAGCCCAGTGGGGCTCGTTCCAGAACAGAAAGCCCCACACTCCCCCATCTTCTCTTATCATCCCTGTTGTTTTTAAACATTCCCCTTATCATCTCCTCCTCTCTTTTTAAAGTGTGCGATCTTGAAGAGTGCCGTGCCGGAGCCAAATGGTGTGGGCAGGTGCAGCCTGCCTGCCCCCAGCCTGTCCAGGCCGTGTGTGGCTGTTTCCCTTCACTGCCCAGTCCAATCTGGAGCTTTTTCCAGCCAAACAAAGGCACCTCTGTCCCCTTAGAGGAAAGAGAGCCAGTAGGAGTATCAGCCCATTTGCCCTGCATTTGGGACCTAGAAATCCCCCGGTGGTTACATCTGGGGTCCCTCCTTGCAGGGGCAAGGTGAACGAGCTGCTGTGAGAAGTAAGAGAAGTCAGAGTGGGTGATGGAGAGTGGGGGGTGCTATTCTGGAGGTTCCCAGCTGGAGCTGTTTCCATTCTAGGTCTTCACGGAGCTACTTCCTCGAAGCTGGGGGTGGCCTCTTATGGTCCCTTCCTTAGGCCTGGAACCAAGTCCTACTAGTGCTCCTGTAAAGCCTGTAGAAGCAACACAACTCTTCTCTCACCCCAGTTCTCATGGCCGTCACAGCCCTCGGCTTGCCTCTGCTCGGCTCATTGACTCTAATTCCATTTTTGAGGGCTGCTTTCCGGGCAGAGGAGGGCGGTGGGAATGAGAGCAGAGGTTTCCTTCCTGTTCTCTGCACAGCAGCCAGTGGCCACCTGGACTAGAGAGGGAGGTACAGGCCCTCACCCTTTCCCAAGCCCACCTGAGCAGCAGGTACAACGTTTGATCTCACCACAGTGAGTGCAAAACCATCCTTCCTGCTGGAACCACCGCAGGCGCCCATCCTCGGCAGTGAGCCACAACTTCCTCCTCACGTCTTCTTAACCAAGGCCAGTTATACCCTTTCATGCTCAAAGGGAGGCTGTCCTACCTGCTGGATACATGTTTGTTATCTGGGAGAAGTTTAGGCCTCTCCCCACCTAATCAGAATGTCTAAACCCTCTGCTTACTAGGTCACCAAAATCAGTGCTGGATTCCAGCTCTATAACACCCAATATGCACAACTGTTGTTCTTGTAAAATTACTGGCATTCCTCTTCTGTAAAGATATCAGCCCCGCAGATGAACAGACAAGTAAACAACGTCAGGCAGATGAACTTTCTGCTGGGAGAAAATAAAACTCGAGGCACATTGCTTTGCTTGCTGTACATGGACAGGCAGAGTGGTCAGATGGAATGGCCATGGATTCGGGCACCAGACCAAGATTCAAATCCCTGCCCTACGATACTCATCACCTGGGTTAACCTTCTGAACCACAAACACTTCATCTGTAAAGTGATGGTAATATTGCCATCTTGCAGGGTTTTAGGATATGGATTAGATTGTATGTAAGGCATCTACATACCTACATAGATTGTTCCATGGGAGCTCAAAAATGGCTGCTCTTACTGATAACTTATAGACATGTAAGTAATGATTACTACTGATAATGATTAGTGATAAGTAGTATTCATGGAAGAAAGACTCACGGACACACAAGACGCCATGTGCATGGATGCACCTCTCAAACGCTTCTTTGCAGCTCTTCACATTCTTTGAGGTATGCAGTCAGTAATAGAACTCAAACCTTATATCCTCGGATTCACTTTTAATTAGGCTGTTCTCATTAAAACGCCATTCCTTTATTGTCTTGCCACTTAATTTAGTAAATTGGTAGAGCAAATGTGGCATGCAGATTGCCTCTTCCATACCAGAACGTCATCATTCATTGCCAAAGCCTATGTGGATTAGGAGCATTTGAAGTGGAAATTAGTTGAGTTCAGGGCATACAGTTGTTGAATTTTGATTATCAGCTTATAGTATTTTTAAAATTAGATTATGCTTTGTTTCCATTTAACAAAGGAAGATAAATGTTGTGGTTGATGTTTTTATTAAAATAGAAATTTAACAAACATTCTCCAATAACTGGATGGATTACAGGAGATGAGACAATCAATAGAGGATTACATTTTGCAAAGCCAATTTAGGAACCTTGTCTAGATAAAACCCTCTTGTGGCAGAAGGGATCTGGCAAAAATGAATAAATTTGTAATAAGTGTCAACCCTGGCCCCCTGCCGTGCAACTCAAGTATAGACAGATTTTTGGAGGGAAGATCTACTTCCAACTACTGTTATTCTGCTAGAGAGATGTGTTCGCGAGGGATTGGTCACATTTTGACATCAGAGGCTGGCCATGACAATCCCAAGGTTCTGCCAAATTCCAGTGGATTCCCACTGCTTACTTCAAGTCCCAGTGTGGTCAGGACTTCAGGACTTCTCTGAAGGGGAGATGGGGCCCTTTTCTGGAGGATCAGAGCTCTGAAGATGATTGGTCCTCGTTATTCAGTATGAAAGCAAATACCACATTTCAAGAAGTGGATGGCTCTTTTTAAAATAAGTCACCTTGGCAACTGGAAGGCACAGCAAGGAGCGAGAAAGGGTAAGGGAGAGAAGCGGGGAGAGGGAAAGAATGAGGAAAGGGAAAAAGAAGGGTAAGGAGTAAGGGGGAGGAAGAGAGAGACAAGACACGGATACACAGGAGACTCAGCGCCCCTTCAAGCATTCTGGAATCCCCCGAATAATCACCACTCCTTCTCCCTTCTTGCTGGAACTTTGTGTATTTTGCATTTCCTGTTGAAGTCATAAATCCAGATCCTGCTCTGTAAACCCATGGAGTCTGAGGGCAGCCAGGGCCGGCAGAGGCAGAACATTTCAACATGTGCCGAAATGTTCCCACAGGCAGACTAGGCAGTTGGGGTGGCAGGAATCCAGGAGCCTGAACTAGGAGGCGGGTGAGTTGTCTTTGCCTGAGAGTTGAGCTTAAATCAGCCAATAAAATTGTCCATCTTAAGGAAGCTGAAATTTCTAAATAAGCCTATAAATAATTTCACAAATAGGGCCTGTGCTGTGTAATAGTGTGCACTGATTTTGAGAGTTACTGCAAGAATAAATTTGCTGAATGAATAAATCTGCAGTAGTCGCCAGTCAAATGTCAAAGGCTGGTCTCCAGCAGAAATAACCTTTTAAAAAGGACTCATTAGCTGAGCACACAGGGCACCCACATAAGTGATTTCTAATTCATTAAGAGGTAGATGATCAGCTCATATTTTGCTTTTCCAGCAAATAAGGATTCAAATAAGAACCCTTCTCCAACTCAGAAATCAGGCTTCTGGTGCCTGCAAATCTCCCCACATCAGGATATGGGCAGACAGCTTTATTGCTATCAATTAAAGTTCCATGCACAAACCTTGTAATGTTAAGATGAGGCCAAGAGGTGGCTTTTCCCTGGCTAGATTGGAATTTAGTGAGAGTGGGCAGGCAATATAAAGAGGCCAAATCTGACTGTGGGCAAGGCTGCTGAGCTGTGTTGCAGAGGGATTTTCTTATACCCCTAGGTGGTCTCGTTGAAATGTTTTATCAGAGACAGGAGGGAGCTTGCAGACTTTGTGGGGCTTCTGCTTTTGCCACTGTGCCCGGGCTCCCAGCATATGCTCCAGAGAGAGGCCTCGGCTTCCAGAGACAATGCAATGGGTGGGAAGGGGAGGTGTGTATTTCTAGAGTGGGAAGGAGGGCCGGGGGCCATCAGGACCCTCTGGCTCATCAGGTCTTGGGCTGGGAGTCATTGGGTGTATAGCAGGCACTGACTGGCACAGGGGCAAGTGTCTATGAAGCAGGTGACACAGAGGAAGACAAACTGAAGAAGATACCTGTATGACTCCAGCTATAGGATCCACATATTCACCACAATGGGCATTTGTGTAAATGAAGAATCACAAACACACATATGCACATACTATCCCAAAGAATATTCAGTGAGATTTAGAAAAACAACCAACCCAAGTGCATTCTCTGTTAGTGATTGGTAGCATGCTGTCCCTCTCCAGGAAGAATATTGTAGGTAGTGGTAGATGGGGCATAAGTCTGAGCCCCCAGCGAAGCTTGAACTCAGCTGAATGTGCATCTGCACTGGGGCTGGAGACTCCTGATGTGCATGGGGTTTTGGTGAGGTTGAGCTGTGTGTCCGCCAAGCTCCCTGAGCCTGTGCCTCGAGGAGATAAGGTGAAGGTGGCCTGCTCTTCCACCCTCCTGTAAGAGTGGGCATGAGGATGCTTCTCTAAGCTGTCAACATGTTTTATAGATGTTAATTATTTTTGTTATTTTAGGTCTCCAAATATTTCAGAGTGCTAATCTTTTAGCTTTTCTTATGTTTTTATCTTTTTAAAAGTAATTTGTAGTATAGTGACAGAGCTGTGCAACCACCATCACTGTCTAATTTCAGAAACTTTCCATCACTGTAAAAAGAAATGCCATACCTATCAGTAGTCACTCTCTGTTCCCCTTCCCCCAGCCCCTGGAAAACACTAATGTAATTTCTGTCCCTGTGGATCTTTCTTTCTGGACATTTCTATGAATGGAAGCAGATAATATGTGGCCTTTTGTGTCTTACTTCTTTCACTTAGCATAATATTTTCAAGGTTCGTCTTGGTTGTAGCATGTTTCACTACTTCATGTTTTTATGGCTGAATAATAATCCATTGTGTGGCTAGACCACATTTTGCTTATACCATTAATCAGTGGATGGACATCTGGGATGTTCTCACTTTTTCACCATCACAGGTAGTGCCCTGTGACTATTGATGTACAAGTTTTTTGTGGACAGGTTTCCACTGCTCTAGGAGTAGGGGTACTGGGTCGCATGGTAACTCTCTTTAACCTTCTGAGGGGCTGCCAGGCAGTTGTTCCAAGTGGCTGCACCATTTTCCATTCCCACCGGCAATGTATGACATTCCAGTTTCTCCACATCTTTGTCAACATTCATTATTGCCAGTCTTTGTGATTTTAGCCATCCTAGTGGATGTGAAGTAGTTTTGATTAATCTTTTAGATTTTAAAATAATAATGAAAGTTACAACTGTCATCTTAATAGAAGGAAAACCAGGTTGATGATCTGTTGACTAATATTTGCAAAGTGCTAATAAGCCCTTTGAAGACAGTATTTGAAGAAGGCGAAGTTGATCCTTTCTCCTGGAACTCCTTTCTCCTGGATCCCAAAGCTGTGGATCCCTGCTGGTAGTAAAGTAGATGAAATTAGAATTGCTGCATAAGCGCCAAATGACTTGAAGGAGAGCATGAATGTCCAGACGGGGATAGAGACCAACTATGAATCTGCCTGTAACTCCAAGGACAGTACTCTCCGTCCCTCTCCTTGAGGTGTGTGCAAGCACGCACGCTGGCACACTGTCTCCTGGAAGGAACGGTGGAGCTGTCGCTTCCCCAAACCCTCTCCTCTTGCCATTCCTATACAGTAATGACTAGTATAGACAAATACAATCACACAGTTTTGGCAAGGAAAAGTTTGTTCTGGGAGAGGCCTTTGGCTTGCGTAAGAGATGTTTTTAAAATGTGTGTGGTTTTTGTGTCTTGTTTTTCCTAGAGGCTAGAAGGGAGGATGCCATGGCTCTGACAAGGCCCAAGAGGTCAGGGAGGGGTCCCTTGGCCACATTTCCTCTGCAGTGCTCGGAAACAACTCACTGGTCTTTAATTTTCTGTGAAGATCAGTGTCTCACTTCATCCCTCCAGCTGGCATGGCTGGAGTCAAAGTGAGTCGGTTTACACAGAGTAAGCCAAGAAATCGTAGAATCCCAGGAGTCATTGGATTTCAGGGACTGCCATTTAATTTCTTTCTTTCTTTCTTTCTTTTTTTTTTTTTTTTTTTTTTTTTTTGGAGACCAGGTCTTGCTCTGTCACTCAGGCTGGAGTACAGTGGTGTGATCATGGCTCACTGTAATCTCAAACCCTGGGCTCTAGCAGTCCTCCCACTTCAGCCTCCTGAGTAGATGGGACTACAGGCATGTGCCACCATGTACAGCATATCATTTCCTTTCTTGGTTCCCCGCTTCCCCCAGTGACACAGCCCCTTTACAACATCCCTTAATATGGCTGCTCTGAGTCTGCTTTAATCCAAAACAGTTACAGAACTCACTCACCACTTCCCAAAGCAGCCTGTTCCATTCTCAGCACTGATCGCTAGAAGGTTCTTTTCTATATGCCCACTCATCTCCTGGTTTCCAAGCCAGGCATCACTACATGTTCCTTGGAATGTCCTGCAGACTCTACCAGCCTGGAGTAGTGTGTAGGGGTTCAGGTGCCTGCTGCACCCTCCTTATTACTGCAGGGCAAAGATGCTGGCCCGAGCAGGGACCACACCTCCCTTTGTTCCAAATCACTCCTGGGAAAAAGTTCAGAGAGGGTTGAAAGTATGCATAGTGTTTCCATTAGAAATGAATAGTCTTTCTGCTTTATTTTTAATGATATTTTCACTGTGAACCGTAACGTATATGTCATGTTTAAAGAAGAACAACAACAAACATTAGTATATCTACCATCAGCCTAAGAAATGTGGAGACCTAGAGGCCCTCCAGGGGTATCCTGGGCGTATGCCACATTTTCTCCACCATGGTAAAACATTTAAGGACACACACGTATGTGGGTCTACATTGTTTATTTGATTTTATCTATCTGTTCTTGGTGCTGAATATTACAGATTTAGCCTCAGAAGGTGTTTTTCTGTAACTTGCTTCTTCCACCCAACAAGGAATCAGCTGTGTTGATGTACATAGATGTCGCTCATTTGTTTTTTTATGTAGTGTACAGTTTTTCATGGATCTGAGTATATCATAGACTATCTACTTCACAGTTAATGGGTATTTCAGTTGTTGTTGTTCTTTTTTTTTAATGTTCATGTAGAAGTACATCCTTACCCTGGAGAATACTATGTTCTTTGGAACAGGATGGCTTGGCGATCAGGCAGCACTTTGCACTCCTACCAGCAGTGGTGAGAGACGTTTCCTTCTGCGCCCTTGCCGACACTTGCTGTTGCCAGACTTTTAAATTTTTGCCAATCTGGTGGGTGTGAAATGGCATCTCATTGTGGTTTAATTTGCAGTTCTTGGATTACCAATGCTGTTGAGTCACTTTTCAGGTCTTTGGGGACCATTTGTGTTCATAGCCTTTTCTACAATGCCTGTTTAAGTTAACTTATCTTTTTCTTGAAAGATCTATCTGTTCTTGAAGATAGATGGGTAGTTCTTACCTGGTGTTTACTGCCACTGTTCTAAGTGGTTCTGGATACAGTAACTGTTTCAGTCCTTCCCAATAAAGTAGGTTTTCTTAGGGGGACGCCTGTCTCATGGGAGAGTATCCGTAGGTGCGCACAGCCACTGGCCCAGTGTTCCCCAGCAGGTGAGGGGAGAGCAGGGGCTCACACCTGAGCACGCTGGCTCTACCATTCGGTTCCAGTTCAACTGCTGGGTTATTGACATATTTTGGATGCTAATACCTTGTTTCTGCAATGTGTTGTTAATATCTTCTGTTTATGGATTGTCTTTTTCCTTCGTATTTAATGTCTTTTGATAAATGGAAGGTTTTTAAAAACATTTAAATGTTGTTCCACTGAACATTTATGGTCAGTGTTTTGTGTCTTATTTAAAAATCATTTCCTACCCTGGAGCTTTTTATTAACTTTTAAAAGTTTTATAGTTTTGCTTTTCACATTTAAGATGTTAATTCAGCTAGAAATAATATTGTATATAGGATGAGGTGGAGGACAATTTCTTTTTCCATCTAGATAACCTAACTTGCCAACACCATTGATTAAACAGCCCAGCCTTTCCCTGCCGCTGGTAAATCACATCATCTGCACATGTTTGTGTCTGGACCCTCCCTTCAGTTCCATCGGTCTATTTGTCTATTGTTGATTAAACTATTCTTTTGTAATTACTGTAACTTATTTAAAGCTTTGATATTTTAGCAGGGCAAGGACTTTCACTCTTCCACATACATTTTAAATCAATTTGTCAAGTACTTTGTCAAGTACTTGAAAATCCCGTCGAGATTTAAATTGGAAATGCATTTGAACTATACATCAAGTTGGGAGAAAATTACAGCTTTTCTGAGTCCTCTTACTCAAGAACATCATATTTCTTGCAATTTATTTAGGCCATCTTTAATATCTTTTAGTAAAATTGCATAATATCCTCCATAAAGGAAATGTACATGTTTGGTTAAATTTCTACCTAGTACCACTTAAAATAGCAACAAAAATATAAAGTATTTTTAATTATATATTTTAGCTACTTGTGCATGGTAGATAGAAAAGCAGTTGACTTTTACATATACATACCACTTCCCAGTGTTCCTGTTTTCATGTTTGCCCTTTGCATAAATTTTCTTTTGTGTCAGTTTAGCAATTCATTTCTTTTTCTTGTTATTATGGATACCTTCAAACATACACAATCATGGAGGGTCTAGGACAATGACCCTGTGTCAGGCGATATCCAGCATCAGCAGCTGTCAACATGGTGCCAAGCTTATTCCATATGTCCCTCCACTTTTTTTGTTTTTTGGGGAATCCTTTAAAGAAAATCCCAGGCATCATATTATTTTATCCTTCAATATTTCAGTATGTATTACCAACAGATGAAGTCTTAAAACAAAAAACAGCCAAACCATTGTCACACTGTCAGAATTAACAGTAGTTGCCTGATATTAGTCCATGTGTGGATTTCCCTCATAGTCTCTAAAATGTCTTTTTATGCTTGTTTTGTTCAAACCTGGATTCAAATAAGGTCCACTCATGGCATAGGATTCCATCTCTCTTACTTCTTTCTATTTCTGGAAGTTCCTACTCTTTTCCACCTATTTCCTTCATGCCATTAATCTGTTGAAGAACATAGTCCCTTTCCCTGGAGAGCTGCCCCACCCTTGACTATGTGGGCTGCATCCTCATGGTGCTGTCTCCCCTGCTCCTCCATTCCCTGTATTTCCTGTAAACTGGTAGTTACATCTGAGGACTTGGCTAGATTCATTTGTTTACACATGTTTGTTTTTCTAAGAACACTTTCTAGGTGGGGCTGTGAGCCTCTGATTTCGACAGTGCATTCAGAATCATCTTTGTACTTTCTAATCTAGCGTTCCAGGTTATCCAGGATGCCTAGGTCATGGTACTGATATAGGAAGGGAATTCCAGAAACAGCGTGGGATGATGCCATTCACCATTGTATGCTCCTGGTCATCACTGTGTCCTGTGATCTGTCAGTATGGTCTTCCTCTCCCCCACATTTGTGTGTGTGAACCACAGTGGTTCATGACCACTTTGGTGGCAGGAACATGAAAATATTTCACCTGAACACAGTGTTATCCAGAGGTGGAATGTCTGAGTGTCAAATATATCCCTGGACTCCCAGTTGCCTTCTCCATGCTCTGAGCAGGGCTGAGAGCTGAGGCTTCCCTGGGGTTGTTAACGGGGTGGTCATGACAAGCTTGGCCACGTCCTTCCTCCCACGTCCTGGTGGCTGCTCTGTGGTCTTCTTGAGGAATTGGCCATGTGTCCACAGAGGCAGTCATCTTAGTCCAGTGGCCTGGAATCCTCTCACATTTCTTCTGGGAATATTTATCTCTTCCTTTTCTTACTCTTTCATCTCCAAATGTTCCCCTCTCTCCTACATTGGTTTCTCTCGTGTGGTTTCTCTGCGCATTTGTTTGGTGTTCCCTCTGTGCTCAGCCTTCTCCTGGTTTTCCCAATTACCAGGTCCAGTCTCTGACCAGACCCCATGAAGCCTGGTTGATTGCTTCTAAATCTCTCCATCTGAGAAACATCCTGGAGATGTGGAAAAAAACACAACTCATGAGAGGAAAAGACTTTTGCATTGAGAGCAAATCCGCATGAGGAAAAAGTCAAGCCCCAAAGAATCAAGTGGACCTGCAGGTGGGGTTATTCACCAAGACTTTTTCAATGAGATGTAAATCAGTGGCTTCAAATGGTTCCAGAGGCCATGGCTGGAGCGGTGTCTTTCCCTCTGTGCTGGCTGGAGAACAACTGAACACATCCCCCCATTCTCCCTTCCCTGCACTGGGGTGCAGCCTTCCTGCAGCAAGTTTCAGAGGTGGAAGGCTGATGATAAGTCTGGAGCTGACAGGCCTCCCTCAAGGGAGGACACTTTAGCAGAGAGATTTGCACATTTCTAGAGGCTGCAAGAGGGCAGTGCTCAGCTTGATTTAGAGCCAAGAAGTAAGAAAGCAGGAGGAAGGTGAAATGAATTGCAGGAGTGTGACACAAAGGAGGCTGGAGATGCCTTTTCTTACATAGGCCCAGCCTCACTTTCAGCCCACCTTCAACCCAGCTTCAGCCAGTTTTGTAAGGTTTGGAACTGCACAAGAGAGAAATAAAAGTTATATGAATGTGAATGGTTTCCAAAAGTCTCTCTGCAGAACCTCTTAACTTTAGGTGCAGATAAACTGCAACTTTCTTCAATGGGTTCTTGGACCCCTAGTCATGGTGACAGTTTGACTAGCATTGAGAGAATGTTGACCAGAAAAAGTCAACATCCCTGGCCCTTACAAAACATTGAATTTCATCTAAGTGGAGTAAATGGTTTAAAAGTTTAAAACATGTAATGAAATATATGTAGCACGGGCATGCATTTCCTTTGCTCCCACTCTGGGGCAGCTGTGAGATACTTAGAGGGAACATGCTGGAAGGAATGTCTTCTGCCCAGTGTCTGTCCCACTGGAATGTGTGGTAAGTCTCCCCAACTCTGTGGGTTGCAGAAAGAAGAATGTTGCCTTTTCCTCAATTTTGGTGTGCATTTCAGATGTTATTGCGAAACTAAAGAAAAGGGGCAAAATTCTTCTCTTGTGCCTATCTCTCTCCGTCTCTTCCTTCTTTTTTTTTTCTTGTCTTGGCATATCTCAGAATTATCCAAGACTTTCATCCTGTTGATTATTCCTTAGTCATGTATATTCGATACATTATGACTCTAAATAAACATTCCATCTTCCTTACGAACTTTGTAAGAATGGGGGGCAGGGGGTGTCCCCCCTTGTATTGTTAGATGTCTAGTACCTCACACAGGCCTGGCACAGACAAGATAGTCACTGTTTGCATGGGTGGATGGATGGATGCATGGTGGGTCAATGGGTGTGTGGTGGATGGATGGAGGGAGAGACGGAAGGGAGGGATGATAGATTGAGGAGTGATGGATGGATGGATGAATGATGGATGGATACATGACGGATGGATGAATAAACAAATAAATGGAGAGATGGGTGGATAAAGATAATTCAAATACATACACAGATACACAACTGGACACCATCATTCCCCACACACTCCTAAAGAGGTGTGTGTCTTCTCCCCCTGGGTTTCATCAATAAGCAGGATCCCTCTTAAGGGACCAATTCCTCTGGTAAGGGTCTGCAAGTCACTCATCTGTGTCTGGCACCTTGCACAGTGTGTGCAGTGGAAGTCCCCAGCAAGTGTGTGTTGAATAAAGGTTGTGCCATGCATTAGTTCATGGTCTAAGTCCATATAAAAAGCCAGGTGTTTGGAGTTACTGTAGTATCTGTTGACTTTCACCCAAAATCTAAAAAAGACTCCTCAGCTTTTCCTTCCAGCATAGCAGAAGCTCTTCCAAGATGGCCAGGAGATAAACTCAAAAGCGGTTTCATTCTTCCCCATCCTTTACTTTTGGATCTGTTCCCTGGAGCATGGGGAATGCCGGGTGTCTTATTTCTTGAAGCTGAAATTTCCTGATATTGTGTACAGACCCCCACCCGCCTGTCCCGCAGGGCTGGGTGCCAGAGCAAGATTCAGGAATTGGCCATCAAATGAGTTCCTCATTTGCAATCAATTAACAGCCACCTGGCCTGTTTTCCTGCCTCCCTCCTCTCCCCTTCTCTCTCTCCCCTTGTTTTGCATCATGAACTGATTGGAGTGTGAGAACTGGGGCCTTAACCAGGTTTGCAACTTCTCCCTGCCAGGAGCACTTTCTCCCAAAACCTCAGGGCTCCCGCGTCTACTCCTTCAGGCCCTTTCTCACCCTCCTGAATTTAAAATTGCAACCCCCACCGCCTTCCAATCCCCTTCTGGATATATTTTCTCTGGAGTACTTACGGTCTTCACTATACTACGTACTTTTAATAGTTTATTTTGTGTATGTCTCTGTCCCCTTATAAAGTGTATGCTCCCTTAAGGTAGAGATGTTTTTATCTATTTTGTTTCTATTTTCTTTATCTATTTTGTTAGTTCCTAGAACCATGTCTGGCACATATTAGGTGGCCAATAAGTACTTGGTGACTGATTGAATGAATATAATATTAAGATGATTTTTTAAAAGTCTCGTGTTCAGATCTTTGCCAGGGGCACCCTGTCATGCCCCTGGGGTCTCCCCTGAGGAGAGACCTCTCACCAGAGGAGCTGCAGTCCACTGCCTCTCTGGAGGGGTTTGCCTGCACCCTCAGCACCTGGCCGATCCTCCGATGGGTCTTCCTGGTGCTGTGACTGTCTGTGACTAGTCGTGGATGCCGGCTGAGCCTGGGAGCAGCGGTTACCGGAAATCTGTGGCTTTCTGCTTTAGCTAAAGAGAGAAGACTGCATGTGTTTGCCAGTCTTTTGGGTGCTTCTGTTTAGCATAGACATTGGCCAAGGCTGCTGGTAAAGAGCACCAGAGAGGCGCTTTACCCATGAGAGGGAAGCATCTGCGGCCCGGAGCCCTCTGCAAGCTGCCTCATGGGACCCCTAACAGACCTTCTTGCCTCTCTGAGTTCAGGGTAGAAACAACCTGCTGATCCGTCTGTTTCCCTCTGGCACGCCAACTCTCTCCTGAGAGAGCTCCTCCTCCTGATTCTGTGTTCTGAGAGTTGCGCCCAGGGGTGCTGCACTTGCTCCTTCCTTCTCAGCCTGTAGCTCAGCTCTGACACTCCCGCGACTCCCCCAGCACCCCGAGCAGGGTGCAGGTCTTCCTGGACGGGCTTGGGGCTGAGTGCAGCAGAAGCAGCACAAGGCTCCTTTGCTGCCTCTGCCCCTAAGGAGTCCCAGGATGTGTGAGGAACAGAGCTTTCTCCTGTCCCGAGCTCCCCGCAGTTCAGCCCTCTCTGGACTAGACAGTTCTGCATTTCTTAGCTCACTGTGCTGTGCTAAGGAAGCCAGGGCTGCCCCGTGGGTGGAACATCCTCTAATTTGCCAGGCAGGAAAGGATGGGGCGATGAGTCACCCTTCTGAGTGATTCCTGCCGAGCTTCCTACAGAACATATCCAGGAGCAGCCACCCCGCCCCCAGGGTTAGTGTGTGGAGGCACAGGTGCTAGTGTGGGTGGTGAGAAATAGGACTCGGAATCACCCTTTTTAACGTGCACAGTATGTTAATTGTGTCCTCACAAAAGTGTTGAAGTGTTTCTTGCCTTATAGAATAAATGGTCAGAAACCAGTGGATTCCTTTGAGCTGTTTTGATGGGAGGAAATTAACTGTGACAGTGAGACCTTGGTGGTCCCAACATCAGCAGGATGCAGAAGACAGCCTAGCCTGCTGGGTCATGTATTCGTCTTCGGCAGCCTGGGATTGGGAATGCGCGTGAGTGCAGAGCTGCTCACTGCCTGGTGCCCTGCAGCTCCAGTGCTGCCTCAGTGCGTTCCAGGAGAGACCTCAGTTTCCAGCCCTAGCTCAAGTCCCAGGGTTGATCTTGCTCGCGGCAGCACCAGGCCTGCACCTCGGAAAGGCATGATGGACTTACCTGTATCTATCAGGTTCAGGCATTCTCCTGCCTGTAGTTGAGAATTCAAGTTCAGGGTGATTAGTTTCGCCTTTTAAAAGAGCCCTAGCATATCCTTGCTGGATATATTCATTGCTGAAATGCACAAGAAACTGAATGTGATCAATGTAATGTATTGGTTTCAGCATCAGATGTTAAGAAAGTGAATCTGTTGAGATTCTTGCTTTTAAAAACACAAAATAAAACAAGCCTAACCTTAGTCAGTCATCCTGGACTTGAGATCACATTTCACAGTCTACAAAGTGAGGTTTCACGTATAGCATACCCCACCTGTTTGTGTAAGTAAAGTTTTATTGGAACACAATCTCACCCACTAATTTACATGGAATCTCTGGAGCTCTGGCTGCTACAATGGCAGAGTTGAATAGTTACAGCTAACACTGATGGCCTGCAAAGCCACCTTGCTCCACTAGAGACAAAGTTTGCTGACCGCTGGCATAGAAGATAAGAGCACAAATTCTGAAACCAAACTGCTAGAGTTTAAATCCCAGCTCTGCCACGTATTGGCAGCATGACCTTGAACATGTTAATTAACCTCTGTGTGACTTAGTTTCCTCCACTGTAAAATGGAGATAATATGGAGATAATAATATCTCCATTATAATATTAATAATTATAATTATGATGATATAATAATGATATCACCAAAATAATACTTGTCTCCTAAGGTTGCTATGAAGTTCAGAAGAATTAATAATGAGGACATGCTCAGAGTACTTTCTGACAAGTGGTAATGTGTTAAATTTTTAAGGAAGTGGGCAGGTTTCTAAGACTTTAGGAAAGTCCAGTCGCTTCCTCAAATCACAGACAGTTGTGCATTTGAAGATCACCTCAAAACCAGGTTCAGAGGCTCACGCCTATAATCCCAGCGCTTTGGGAGGCCAAAGTGGGAGGACTGTTTGAGCCCACAAGTTCAGCCTGGGCTGTAACATGGTGAGACCCCGTCCCTACAAAAAAATAGAAAAAATTAGCCAGGTGTGGTGGCATGCACCTGTAGTCTCAGCTACTCGAGGGGCTGAGGTGGGAGGATTGCTTGAGCCCAGGAAGTCAAGGCTTCAGTGAGCCATGATCACACCACTCGACTTCAGATTGGGTGACAGTTTTTTTTTTTTCCTTTAAAAAAAAAAAAAAAAAAATCTTAAAAAAAAATAAAGACCACCTCATCATCAGGGTACCTCCCATAGGAAACACAGCCTTGTGGGTGTCTTGGCTTCCTGTTGGTCCAGAACCCTGCGGACTTTCCTCGCAATAAGGGCACAGACTGGCTTGGCTAAAGGAAGGGTGCTAGTGGTGCCAGCCAGCAGGGGAACCCTCACCCGCTCCGGGGATGCCAGGGATGGAGTGAGGCAGCCACAGTGTCCACTGCGCTGATTCCAGCAGGGGATGGCAGCATGGTGACAGGAAGTCACACTTAATAATGCAGACAAGAGGGAAAGGAGACCCACAGACACAGGGAGAAAAAGCTGCAATATGCCTCTTCAACTCATGAGAACAGGAGGCGATGGGCCACAGAGGCTGCTGAAGGAGTTTGTTCCTGCCTCTGTTTTTCTCTCTCCTTCTCCAACTAGAATGTTATGTGCCACTTGCTCCCCTCAGTAGCACTTCCAGGACAGGTGGACTACATATTTGTGGAACCCAGTGTTTTTATTGAGAAGCCTTCTTTTTGCTTTTTAGGCTGGCCTTCCTGGAAAGGTTCTGCTTTTAACTCTTTGCGTGCCTTCCCAGGCCATGCGTCCTGGTGCGAGGCTCTGAGAACGCGATTTATGTCACCGCGTTGGCGACTTACATGTGCTCCCTGATCATTGAAGACACGGTTTTGTCTCTGCCTGGGATCATGGTGGTCATACCACTCCCTGCTTCAAAACCGAACATTTCGTGTTTTCGGAGCAGATTCGTCAGGACGTTTTGCAGCATCCTGGGGTGTTACCTGTTCCTTGCGCCTGATCTAGAGTTCCGAGGCCTACGCACCTCAGAGGAGCAGCTGTGGGGACTGTGGGGCAAGGCCCCTCGCCCGTCCCACACGAGAACGGCTCTTTCTAGCATGTTTTCTCAGGTGTCTCTTTATCCTCTCCCTATGCCTCAAGTTTCCACATTGAAAACTCTCAATGGCGTTTATTTCCTTCTGAGTCTCTGCTGGGCTGTTCCAGCCCTTCCACAGCCCCTACCCTGGGAAGCCCGTACCTCTTCCACACGCCACCTCCTCTCTGCCCCTCAGGGCTGGGACATGCTCGTCGACTAGCCCTCGCTCATCCACGTGTCCCTCAGTTACCTTCTCGATGATGACGTTCTAAGATTTCACCCTATCCCCATCCCAGTGTTCATGTCCCCTCCCCTGGTTTATGTGTCCCCTTAGCACTTAACCACTTTCTGACATTCTCTAGATTTTACTTATTTGTATGTTTTGTTGCTGTCCCCCTGGCTGGAACATAAACTCCACCCGGGTGGGGACCTCTGAGTGTTTTGTTCACTCCCAAACCCCACGCCAGAACCGCACCCCACAAGTAACGGGCACTCATTCCGATTTGCTGACTAACTGCATAAATGTCCTAAAACCACTTCCTACCTTACGCGGCTGTAGAGAGGATAAGAATGAAAGTTAAATAAAGCCTATGAAAATGCTTAGAAAACTTGAAAGCATAAAGTGAATGTGAAAGATGTATTTATGAATGAAGCAGCTCAACAAAAAAAGACACTTGGGGGCTGGGAGTGGGATATGTCGGTGAGACTGATAGCACGATGTTGTCGAGACATTCGGGCTGATTTAAGTGACTGGCAACATCTGGAACCCATCAGGAAAAGCTTTAGCGTAGAAGGCATTCCTCTCCCTACATTTTGAAAATTCAGGCAGGCCTAGTAAGCTCTTTAATATTTTAGGAAGTTCAAAAATATTTAATATCTTAAAGAAAGTCAAAAATACTTACTACTCTGGGAAGTTCAAAAATCACCACGTGCCTAGAAGCTGGCCTGCAGGAGAAGGATTCTCCCTCACTGGGGAAGAGGTGTCATGCTGGGAAGGCTGTCTTGTTCTCTAGACTAGGTAAAATGACAACCAAAGACCCATTTTTACTTTAAAATGAGTTTACAAAGCCACATTAAAGTGTGAAGGCTTCAAGAAGGAATTTCTCACAGATAGAACAGAAAATAACTGGATTGACTCACTAGCATGCAAAATACATTTGGAAGGGAAGCTGCCACCAATAAGTTTCTCCCTTGGGTACAAAGAAATGTCCTGGTGTGCCCACGGCTAGCACGTGCTGAGGACTCGCTGTGAGGCCCCGTGTACCCCGCAGGCTGCTCTTGAAGGAACCAGTTTCCAAGGGAGGAGGATGATGCCAGCCCTGGGCAGTGTTTCCACCACGTTGAGGCAAATGCTCTTTGCAGCAAACCAGGAGAGCATTTGTTTGTTTCTCTGCAGTGAGACTATTTGCATTAATAACTTACTTATGAAGTTTACCTTAAGTCTGTAAAAGCAACTGCAACATCCAATTTTGTGGAGATTTCCATTACAAAGTTGGCAAAGCGTTTTGTAACTAAATATCTGGAGTTAAGGATTTATATAAATCAACATGGAAATGGGGTGCCGAGGGACCCTCTCCTGCTCCAACCGTATCCGTCAACACCTGGTGCAGTGAAGAATTCTGCTCAGTTCCTCCTGTCCCAGAGCAAAGGGCAGTCTGCATCCCTGACAGCCAGACCATCATCCTCTGTGGGCAGCAAATTGCAGAATTAGTGTAAAGCAGACAAATGCAATATCTATGTGAAATAAGCCCAAATCATTAGGTATGCTTTGATTCAGGCTTAACATTTTTTAACATAATAGCAAACCGTATTTAGTATCCTAAATGTAAATTCAGGACTTGTAGTTTTCACATTTTTGTGTTATGTATCTTAAATGCCTTTCTAGAGAGGGAGGTACGAACTGGCTCATAGGGTGATTTTTTCCTGAGATTGGCCACATGATTTAAAGATTTGTAAAAGCCTTTGGACCTATCTGTATTGAGAGGTAAGAGCTTGGGCTCCCTTGGTCCTGGGACCCTCTCCTCTCCCCACAGCAGGGCTGCCGGGAGCCCTGGGTGCAGGGTGCATCGGGCTGCTGGCCCCATTGTGGCCCTGCTCCCATCTGTCCTGTAACTTCTCTGCATCCAAGGCTAGGTCCTCCTGTGTGTGGTGTCCTTAGCGCCTTGCACTGTGGCCACCCCCTCGCATATGGCGAAATGTTTTCCTCAAATGGTGATAAGGGACTGTGCAGGCAAGGGCGGGAGTCCTGGAGGCACCCCCGGTCACAGGATCACCCTCAGCGTTTCCACCCTGCCCAAGAGGTCTGTGGAGCTTCCCCGAGCCTTTAGCACATTTGCTAGGAAGTCCATCCTCCATTGGTGGAATAACCTTCCTTTTTAGAACCTTCTTGAATGGCTGTGCCATATGCTATCAGCATATGCCGTATGCTACCAGGTGGGTTATCTTGGTGGTCAAGTTTGTTTTGCTAAGGTCCCCCTTTTTTTTTGAGACAGGGTTTCACTCTGTCACCCAAACTGGACTGCAGTGGCATAATCATAGCTCAGTGCAGCCTCAACCTGCTGGGCTCAAGTGATCCTCCCACCTCAGCCTCCCGAGTAGCTGGGACTGCAGGCATGCACCACCACGCCTGGCTAATTTTTGTATTTTTTTTTTGTAGAGATGGGATTTTGCCACGTTACCCCGGCTGGTCTGGAACTCCTGAGTTCAAGTGATCTGCCTGCTGCGGCCTCCCAAAGTGTTGGGATTACAGGCGTGAGCCACCGCGCCCAGGCTCCTTCTGTTTTTGATGGAGCTTGCCAGTCTGTGTGTCATGTGATGTGGAGAACTTTAGTAAACACGCTGTGTGCTGCTGTCTGGTAGCTTCCCGAGTCGGAAGTTATTTGCTACCAACAGGAGACCATCCTTTGGTACTTACAGTGTGCCAGGCACTGTTAGGAGTAACTCATCTGTATTAACTCATTCGATCTCACATTTAGGATCCCTGTGAGACAGATACTTAGCACGCTTGTTTTGCAGGTACGGAAACTGAGGCATGGAGCAGGCAGGGTGTGGCAGAATTGAGCTCTTCTGCAAGAAGCTTCATGGCCACCCTCAAAACTCCTTGAGCGCTGGGGACCCAGTTCTAACACAGGCCTCCTTCCTTTTGTCATTTGAGCCAGATTCTTAGGGAAACTTTTTTTTTTTTTACATGCTCACAGATACTTTATTTTTTCTTACCTTTTTGTATTACACTTGACCCTTGAACAATGCAGGAGTTAGGGCAACAACCCCCGGCACAGTCAAAAACCTGTGTGTAACTTTTTATTTTTATTTTTTGAGACAGAACCTCACTCTGTTGCCCAGACTGGAATGCAGTGGTACGATCTTGGCTCACTGCAACCTCTGCCTCCCGAGTTCAGGCAGTTCTCCTGCCTCAGCCTCACAAGTAGCTGTGACTACAGGCATGCGCCACCACGCCCGACTAATTTGTGTATTTTTAGTAGAGATGGAGTTTCACCATGTTGGCCAGGCTGGTCTCGAACTCTTGACCTCAGGTGATCCACCCGCCTCGGCCTCCCAAAGTGTGTGAGCCATTGCGCCAAGTCTTGCATGTAACTTTTGACTCCCTCAAACTCAACTCCTAAGAGCTTACTGTTGACCAGAAGCCTTACTGATAACACAAACAGTTGATCAACACATATCTTGGGAGAACTATACATTATATACTGTGTTCTTAGAATAAAGCGAGCTAGAGAAAAGAAATTGTTATTTAAAAAATTGTAAGGAAGAGAAAATGTATTTACTACTCATTAAGTGGAAGTGGATCATCATAAAGGTCTACATCTTCATCATCTTCACGTTGTGTGGGCTGAACAGGAGGAGGGGTTGGCTTTGCTGTCTCAGGCAGAGAAGAGGTAGAGGAGGTGGACGGGTAGGCAGAGAAGGGAGGCACACTCGGTATAACTTTTATTGAAAAAAATCCACGTATAAGTAGACCCTTGCAGTTTAAACCCATGTTGGTTCAAGGGTCAGCTGTTTTTTGGGGGGGTGGGGGGTAACATGAAAGTAATGACATGAAAAATGTATATATAGTAAGATGATGTGGTGGTTGGTTTGGGTTGAAATAAGGACCTACAAGGAATCCTCTGCCTTTAGTCCCCTCCTTCTCTTCCCTCCTGTCCTCTTGGTCTTCTGCGGTGGCTGGAGATCCAGGTCCCCAGTGCAAGGCCCCATTGACCTGAGGCCACCCACAAAGGAGGCCCACGTGAGTGTGCTGCCCAAAAGGCCGGTGGAAAGGTGGTAGATGGGGCCGACCAGGCATCAGCTGGATTCAGGCCCTGGAGGGTGCCTGGGTGGGGCTGCAGGGGTTGCCGGTAGCGAGGCCTTTGTTCCCTGGGAGGGATCAAGGAGCACTTTTCAAGGTGCCTGGTGGCTGCTGGGGACTTGCTCAAGTACTCCTCTAAGTACCCATTATCAGAACATGCCTGGGAACACTGCAAATACCAGCTCACAGCATGGGATCTCTTCCCAGAAAGTGAGGAAGTGAGCAATGCATCTCTGAATTGGATAAATGTAAACAGATCTGGACCCTCCTGGCCCAACGGATGACTGACCCACAGCTGCCCTTTCCCTTCCATAATTAAACAGATAATTATCAGGGCTCCACAGAGGCTTCCCTCGCCTTTTGGGGGAGTGAGGAGGAGGCAGGTGGTTGGAAGCTGGTTGCCCAGTTACACGCTTTGTGATGCTGAGGAATTTGCCCACCTTGCTACATTTTTCTCACTTATAAAAGGACTATAATTCTTATTTCACAGGAGTCCTGTGAGCAGTAATCGGGTTATCGGGAGTGTCTGGTGGGGAGTAGCAGCTAAATAATGGCTGAGTTACTTTGAGGGGGTGATGTGTGTAGCTGGCAGTGCACAGGTTGGGAGGTCAGACCACCTGGATCCAGTCCTGTCTCTCGGACCTTGGACAAGTTACTGGACCTCACTGTGCTCCAATTTCCTATCGGTAAAGTGCAGATAATATAAGGCCAAGCTCACAGGGTTGCTGTAAGGATCCTGTGGGTCTCGCAGGTAGAGGTAGGAGCAGCAGGCACACAGGAGGTGCTCAGGACAGGAAGGGGCAAGGTCTGGATGAGAGCCCCAGTACTGCTGGAACCCAGAGAAGCACATACCTCAACCCTGAGGGTGAGAGAAGGTTTACACCCAAGGACCATGCATTGGTTCTTTGCTGAATTCACTTATTCAGTGAATATGGGCAGATGCTGGAGGGGCGGTCCTCAGTTCTCCCATCTGACTTTTGCTGCAGTGCATGAGGAGGGATCACCACTGACCACTTCCTACACTTAGAAGCATCTGCCTTTCCTGGCCCCGGCACCCAGGGTCCTGGAACATCTGTTTGCCTCAGCAAGTAGTCAATGATCATTGTTTTTATAGCTCCTTTTTCATTAAGAGACACAAAGCTCTTTTCGTATCATCAGTTTTATTCTCAGCATACTAAGAAGCACGGAAGGGCAGATTTGATTATCTCTGCTTTATGGGAAAACTAAGCCCAAGGTACTTTGTCAAAAGGTGCATTCTAAGGCCACCACAGATGACCTAACCGCTGCTTTGATGCAACAGGGAAACAGGCCACAACAAAGTCTGGGAAAAGTAAAAAAAGGAAGAAAAAAAAAATTTGCTTTTAAATCCTCTCCAATCTGGCTGCAACATGAAAATGCTACAGGCAGCTCTTAGCTGTAGACAATTTATGTCTTCACAGTTGCATCCACGCAACAGCTTAGTAGTGGCCTCGTCACCCTGTGTTTGAAGGGCAAGTCGTGTTTTCATCCTTTGTCTTATTTCATCAATTCTTCATCAATTCTTGGATGAATGAGTGTGCAAATATGGGAAAGGAAGAAACTGACAGAAGAAAAGAGGGGACAAAACAAAAAGTTTGGACCCAACAAGCAGCTTTGAATGAGAAAAAGGGACAAAGGAACTCGAAATATAATTATCTGTAAAACAAAAACCTGGGAACCTCTGGTTGCAGTGTGATAACAGTAACAAACTTCTTCATCGCGGATTAAATCTATAAAGTGGAAGATGGGATACACTCTGGTAAATGCATTATTTAAAATAAGGTAAGGCCAAGAGTTGTGCCTTTTCTAAATCTGAGAGTCTCTGAGTTGAAAGTGCTTTTCAAAGATGACAGCACATAAATGATAACCCTCAACAGTGCTATGAAAGTCAGTGCCTTGGCTTGAAAAATGCTTACGAGCTAAAGAAATTGTAAATACACCTGAGACTTCCTGAGTGAGTCAGAATATAAGCTGAGCTGTGAATGAGATCCCAAAATGTGTTGGCTCAGATAAGATCAAGTTTCCTTTTTCTTACTTCATGGTATGGGGGTGTGTTCTGCAAGGTCACCCCAAGACCCAGGTTTCTTCCCCCTTTGCTCTGGGCATAATATTTGATGGAAAAACTGGCCCACCCTACTGTGTCTACCATGCAGCCCGTGGGAAGGCAGATTTCCTTATGCATGTCATCATAAAACATGCTCCAGAATGTGCAGGAATCACTTTCACTTGCATTCTGTGGACAGAAATGTGGACACCTACCCAGGGCTGCCTGCAGGCAAGGCTGGAAAATGAAGGCTTCTGCTGGAAGCTTGATCTCAGTTGAAATTTGGAATATTCTGACAGACAAAAGAAGCAGAAAGTGGGTATCAGGGGTCATTAGCTGTCTCTGACCCATTCTCAGACCCCGCAGTGCTTGGTGTGTATACAATTAGGGTCTCACCCGCCGGGGCCTATGGACGAATGTGTTCATCTTCCTGACACTTTTCTGCTGGCCACATGCTGTGCTATACAGGTCTGGAGACTGCAGGTGGGCAGACTCTGTGTCCATCTATAACTCTGGGCCTTTGCATGGGCTGAGCCCCTGGCTGGAATGCCCCACTTCTCATCAGCCATACCTGGGATTTTCCCCATTCCGCCAGGCCCAGCTGCTATTAGCAATAGGATCTTGGGCAACATGGACTGTGAATCTCATATTTTGGGAAAAATAATGGGCCAAATAGAGGCTGTGAGCCAAGGCCCCAGTCCCAGGGGACTGGTTTGCTAGTCTGTGTGTTCATTCGTTCAGTAGATATATGGAGCGTATGATCTGTGTCAGGCCAGCAGCGGAGCATCCAACAGTGAGCAAAACAGGCGAGAATCTGTCCTGATGGGCTAATTGTGAAGGGGGCCCTCCATTGAAAGCAGGTGGTGAGAGCCGTGACAAGTGCTCTCCTTGAAAGATTGCATCCTTAGGGTCTTAAACACAGGGAGCCGGTGCTCCACGCTCTCCACCCCAGCTTGCTGGGAGGTCTGGAATAGGCCAGTTGGGGTTGTGCCCTCCCGACGCTGCAGGCCGACTCTGGCACCCGCCCTTACTCAGGGGTACGGCTTGCCTGAGAGTCCCAACCAGGGGTGTCAGGAGCACATTCATTAGAGCCTGCTGCCACATGCCTGATTCCAGTAGAAGCCGGAGATGGCGCCGTTGTGCCCACGTGAGCGCCATCTCCACGGGTAGGACATTAAGTCCAGAGGAAGATGTGTGTGCCACATCTGAGTAATGAGCCATGAAATTGACATTATAAGTTTTAATTATTATTAATGCCTTGCAGGGGTGGCTGATGTTAATTGTCCTGTAGGCATCCCAGATGGGTTTTCCTTTTTTCTTTTATTTCTTTTTCTTAATGTCTTGAGCCCAAATAATGGCGGCTTAGTGACAATGTTTGAATGGAATTCCTCTGAAGGGGAGCACGCCGCAGTGTGAGAAGTTCTTCCAAACACGTCTGTGGGCAGAAAGCAAACAGGCTCTGGAGCAGCTGCCCACCCTCCTGGGTGGGTGTGGAGGCTGGGACATAGAGGCCTCCAGGTTGCTGCCGTGAAATCAGCAGAAGTCTTTTCTCCCCCATAATAGCATCTGCCTGCCTTAGGCCCCTTCCATGGACTAATTAGTTAATCTTATAAAGGGCTTTGAAGATGAAAGACTCTGGAGGTGCCGGGTGTCACCCATGTGAGCATTTCCTGATGAGATCCAGTTTCTGGCTGCTTCTGCTCCTCCAAATAAACTGCCTCTCGGCATCTTCCTTGACTCTTTTTTTTTTCTTTCCCTCAGAAATGTGTCCTGCATCTTAAAAAGGTTCATTCCCCCTCTTGGTTTTGCTCTGTCCAATCTGAGTCTGGCAGTCTGAGATGGGGATACAGGGGGCTCTCTTGCCTTCTCTCTCCCACCTTCTCTGTCCCCTACCCTTCCCCACTTCTCCTCCTGGCTCACCAGCCAGCAAGGCAAACAGGCCCCACCTGAGCCCCCATGCTCTCACAGCTTGCTTGCTCCGAGAATCATGCTCTCAGTACCAGACTCGAGCCCAGCAGGTGGGTTGGGGCCAGCAGGTGGGTTACCACCTGTGGAGAGGTGGCCAGGCGTACAATCTCCAGTCTGCCCCTGCTTCTGCCCTGCTCCTGCCCTGGTTTCCTTTTTTTTTTTTTTCTTAGACACAGGTTCTTGCCCTGTCACCTAGGCTGGAGTGCAGTGGTACGATCATTGCTCACTGCAGCCTCGAACTCCCAGGCTCACTCAGTTTTCTTGCCTCAGCCTCCCAATAGCTGAGACTACAGGTACTTGCCACCATGCCTATTTTTAAAAAATATTATTTTTAGAGATAGGGTCTCAGCGTGTTGCCCAGGCTAGCCTTAAACTCCTGGCCTCAAGTGATTTTCCATCCTCAGCCTCCCAAAGTGCTAAGATAATAGGCGTGAGCCACCATACCCGTCCCCAGATCCTTCTTTTGTAACTTTCCCCCCTGTATCCCCATCCAGGCCTGACTCAGGACTAACCTGAGTGCCTTTGAATTAACAGCATATAGAGGGGACCTGCTACGCAGGGAGAACACTCCTGGGTCCTGGGGTCATCAGAGTGAACAGCATAGTCTCTTCCTGGGGGCCTTAGTGGCGTAGAAGCTAAGGAATTAGGAAGGTGGCCGATGGAGTTAGGATGGCTGGTGAGTGGCTGATGGGTGCTGATGGAATTAGGAGGGCACAGGTGGTGACGGGGGAGCAGTGTGGATTTTGGAGGGAGTGAGAAGGGCAGAGGAAGTAGCATGGAGCTCTGTCTGCAAAGCCCTGCATGTTCCAGGTTCCAGAAGCACAGACTTCTCGTGACTGAGGATGCTGTCTGCCGTGGCTGGGCAGGTATGCTGAGGCCAGCGTAGGGGACCTCGGCTGCCGTGCCGAGGAGCTCGGATCCCCTGAGGTCATCAGGCAGACACTGAAGCTCATAAGCAGCAGGTGCATGAGCTTGGCCCTGCATTTGGGCATCCAGCCCATGACAGGCTGATGGGCCAGGAGACCACTGGAGGAGGTTTGCACTGGGTGCAAGGAGAGATGACAGGCAAGGCAGTGGGAGTGGGAGGGTGCACAGCCCTCTGGGTGAAAGCTCAGAAGTGGAGTTGGCAGGAGGAGTGCCCAGGCCAAGGGAAAGGGTGGGCACAGGGATGACTGAAGGTCCTTGCCGAGCAGCTGAGTGGGGATTTCATGGCCAGAGGAGGTAGGGCTGGAGGGACAGACAGCCTCTAGGAGCTTGCAGATGTCCAGCAGAGCCGTCAAGCAGGCATCTGGGTTCACATCAAGTCCCATGATCAGAGGGGACATCACAGGCACAGGTTGATTTGAGAGCCACTGGCACAGAGGCAGGTTTAGCTGGGGTCTGCATCAGTGAAGGGGGGTGTCAGGGAGGCCTGCAGGCCACAGTGCTGATACCAGTGAGGCCATGGTCCCTCTGGAGAATTCATGAAAGACAGAATCCCCGTGACTCAGGAGTGTGTGTCTCGCAGTGTCTCTGTCCTGGGTGGTGGCCTACAGCCCCAGGCTGCCTGGTGGAAGATGCCTCAGTCTCTCTGGCTCTGCACCCCAGCTTTACCTGCCACACTACCTAAGTTGGGGCCGCAGTTACACAATGTGGGTGTGAGTGGTGTCTTCAGGTGGCCTTTATGTCAACCAGTCTAGAGAAGGCTGATGGTGGGGAGGCCAGAAAGGAAACACAGTGTCCCCTTCTCGGGGGCATTGCAGGGAGATGTGTGTGCTCAGATAGCACGAGCCGGCCGCAGAAGGGAGTGCAGCGTGTAGGCAGGTGCAAAGCTGGCCCTTCCTGCCCACTGTTGTTACCAATGGTAGCAAAAGTCGCCAAACAGCCACCGAGTCTGTAGCTCTTATAACACGGCTTTTAAGCCTCACCCTTGTGGTTTGGGAATGAAGGGAAATGGAGTCATTCCCTGACAGATAAAGGTTTTTTGTGTGCATCTTGTTGAGGCTGGTTTTTCAACTTCAGAGCATGTTCTTTTCTTACATCCCTTCAAAACTGCTCGCCTTGATGGATATCTAAGTGTCTCCATGTAGCCAATAGTGAAAATACTCCCCTCATGAAAATAAATGTTATATTTAACTTTTAAAGTATTCGTAGACTAAGTTCTATTAGAACAGGGAACCTTACTCTGTCTTTTTTGTAAATTTAACCAAACAGGCTGGGCCAGGGTTTCTTAACCTGCTGATGGCTCTGGGCCAGGTCATTCTTTGTGGCAGAGGCTGTCCTGGGCATTGCAGGGTGTTTGGCAGTGTCCCTGGTCTTTACTTGTTACATGTTGGTAGCACCCCACCTTCCGGTTGTGATAGCCAAAAAATATCTTCAGACCAAATTGTCCCAAATTAAGATTCCCTGGCTGGCGGCTGAGTGGCCCCTGTGTGGCAGTGGAATTATTCTGATGGCCTGCAGCCAACTGCCCCTTCCCATTTTTTCTGATCACAGTGCTTGTCTTGCAAATTACCCCTTGCCTCCGCTCTCTAAAATTGGGGCTCGTTACACACTATTGTGCTCGCACTACAAAGCTATCCAGAATGAGTATTATTGGAAGCAAACGGATTTTTTTTTTCTCTTCGAGTTCTGCAATGAAAAATCCTCTGGTGTTACTGTTTAATTGGTTAGTGGTGGCTGTTTGTCAATTTGCCAGCAGGCTCTCTCTTAACTGCTGTCGTTTGACGTTGCTGAAACATAAATGTAGAATGATTGAGTTGCCAACATGCTATTAAGTCCTCTACAAAGAGTTTTTCGATGTACTACTGCTTCAGGCTTTTGTGCTTCTATTGATTGATTCGAATACTGAAGAACTCCTTGGCATAGGCAGCCCTGGTGAGAAAATGCGGCTTCTGGTAGGAAAATCGTTGGGTATTGACACCCGAACAATGCAAAGCTTTCCTTTGGTTTTCCTCTAGCACAGGATTGACCTCTGGCAAAGCTCCCACAGTTGAGCAGGTATTGGCCACCCATAAAGGAAAAGGAGAGAGGCCCATGAGGCCAGATGGACTTGATGAGACAGGGCCAGTTAGAGAAGCCCAGGAAGTGGAAGAAGACATCACATCAGTTTCCGGATTCTTTGACAGGCTCCTTATTGCTGACAAGCAGAAGCAGCTTAGAATCTTGTTTGGATTTCAGAGCTAGTCACGGTTTGAGACCGAGGATGGCAGAACAGGTGCAGATGGGTTGGTTAACCTCTGACGGATACAAGAACATCACTGTTAGGAGGATACAGTCTTATGCCCTTGAACAATTGTACTTCTGGAACAGACTGCTACAAGTACATGCAGCAGAAAGCTGTGTGTCATGGTGGGGGGGTCTGTGATGGCCGGGGACTGCTTGTTAGAACCCCTGCTCCTGGGCATGGCCCCTGTGCTCCACACAGGCTGTTTGTCATCATCCTCGTGTGTGTACCGCTGGCCATGAGTCCTCTGAGTGGAACGCTCAGCACGACGGATGCCATGCACGCCTGCTGCTCAGCTTCAACCCCTGGAGCATGCTCGAGTTGCTGTGACTATTCAGTAGATGAAGTAAAGAAAAAATGGTTGGATACTTGCTAGAAGTCTGGCAGCTTCTTAGACTAAAATCCCTGAGAAATAGGAGCCAGTGGAAAATGATTCAGCATAGAGTATTGAGTAAGAAATTCCGAGCCCAGACCTCCTGGGTTCAGATTCTACCTACTGCTCCTAGGTGTGGGCCTTAGGAAAGTCACCTTCCCTCTCTGTGCCTCAGTGTCCCCATCTGTAAATGAAGACAAGCCAGCACCTACTTCAGAGTCCTTTTTGCACAGAATGAGGTTGTCTGTGTGGAAGGCCTCAGACAGTGTCCTTTTTAGGAGGAATGGCTAGGATGGGGACCCTCTTATCTCAGTGGCGCCTCAGAATGTGCATGTTCCTGTGACAGGCTGTTTCTTTAAAATATTTTCCACTTGCGGGGCACTCTGTATGCACCCCCAGGACACAGAAAGCCCCTGAGAAGCCCCGGCCTGCCCCGGCAGATCCACTGTGGGGCATTGGGAAGGGGCATGCCCGGTGACCACATGCTGTCTGTTGCTTGCAGAATCCCTGCCTGCTTCCCTATGGCAAGGCCCTCTACAGCTACGAGGGGAAGGAACCTGGTGACCTCAAGTTCAACAAGGGGGACATCATCGTCCTGCGGCGCAAGGTGGATGAACAGTGGTACCACGGCGAGCTGCACGGCACACAGGGCTTCCTCCCAGCCAGCTATATCCAGTGCATCCAGCCCTTGCCACACGCCCCGCCCCAGGGAAAAGCACTTTATGATTTCGAGATGAAGGACAAAGACCAAGACAAGGACTGTCTGACCTTCACCAAGGTAAGGTGAGCCCCGGGGTGGGCCCCGCCAGCCCATGCAGCCTCTGTGCCACCCAGGGCTCTTCCCAGCCACAGACCTATAGCCAGACAGTCTTTCTTCAGAGTCTGAATCCTGGCTCCTCCCGGAACCCTGGGCAAATGACCCAGCCTCCCTCCCTGTGCTTCCATGAATGGGGTGATGGTTTTTTTTGGTTGAATGCTATGGAGGGCACCAGCTTGACACACAGCTCCAGCCCAGAGCTACATAGGAGCTTGAGATAATATAAGCCTCCATCAGCACCAGGAGCAGAACCCTCAGTTAACCTGAGTCATGGCTCTAAGCGCTGACCCAGGTGCAGCAGAATGACGCCTTTCCAGGACTCTTGGGGTCCTGTGAGAGGGGCTCATCAGGGGAAACTGCTACAGAGACCCTGGTCAGCTCACAGGGAGATGATAGCTGGGGTCTCACATCTGTGCATCACAGCCCTGTCCTCTAGGGCACCTGAGGCAGGGCCACCCTGGTGCGTAGGGATCCCTGTGAAGCAAACATTTGGGAGCAAACAAAATAGCACTGACAGGTGAAATTGAGTAGGAGGGTTGGGTGAGGTGCAGAAGAGACTGGTTCTGGCTGTCCTGGCAGTTGCTGTTGAATAATCATCTGCACCAAGTGCTCGGCCAATAAGCTCACACTTGGTCTTTACAGCTGTCCCAGGTTCCAGGGGAAGTAGTTGGAACCTCGTTTTCTCCATGTGTAAACCAAAGCTCTGAGAGGCTTTGTAACTTATCCAGGCTGCTTGCTGGGTCCTCTCTCCCTCCTGCTTCCCCTTCCTCCTTTCCATCTTCATCTCCTGTCTCTTGTGTCTCCTCCATCCCCTGCCACTGCTGCACCTGCTCCCCGCCGCCCCCAGATGTAAATGACAGAGCCAGAATCCTAATGCAGATCTCTGATGTTAACACTCAGCATTCTTCCCACCTCCCTACACAGGGAATTCTTCCCTTATGTCGGCCTCACTGTATTTTAGATGCCCAGAAGTTGTTGTTTTCTCTCTCCTCACTCGTTCTGTCTTGCCTGTGTCTCTCTGTGTCAGTATTTCTCTCTCTCTCTCTCTCACACACACACGCACAGAGTTGTAAATAACAGAACTAGAATTCTAACTCGAATCTCTGCTTCTAAAGCCCACATCCTTCCTGCCTCTGAGAGGCCATTGCTCTCTCCCCCATCTGCTGAGTGCAGAGCTCGAGGTGGCACTCTCTGGAGGGCGGTAGGAGAACCATGCACAGTGTTTTTGAGCAAAATTGGCATGTCCTGCGTACAGCTGCTATTTATGTCTTGTTCTATTGTTCAGCCTGACAATGAATAATCTATTTTTCATTCAGGGATTCAACTCCTTCTCCCTTCCTTTTATCAAGGTGTTCTGATGCTAATTCCGATTGTCATCTGGCTGCACAGCTTCCCGGGAAACTGCACTGGTGCCTCCCTCCCTCCCCACTCAGTCGGAGGGCGAGAGCAACAGCTTCCTGGGGCTATTTTTAGGCACACAGAAACCCAACTTGCTTCTCTGCCCAGTGGACTCTTCCCCCTAAGAGAAGACCTGGGACCACTGGTGCCCCAGGTGGTCACTCATGACCAAGAGCAGGGACCTCTGAACTCTCAGGGTCCGGTCAGGGCCTTGCTAAGGAGACAGACCCCATAATGGCTCTAGGCTTCTCCAGGCTTGGCGGGCTCCAGGCTGCAGAGCCGAGGCCCTCCTCCAGGGGCCTCACAGGAGGAGGCTCTCCACTCGGGAGAACCCACTGTGAACGGGCTGTCGCAGGGCCCTGGAGCCTCTGGGTAGGCCTGCTTCTCTGGGCAGAAGTGACTGCCTGCCTTTCCTGTCATCACCATATAACCTGCTGCATTCCACGGGCCTCTGCCCAGGATGTGCAACCCCAGGCTGAAGGCTAGAGCCCACTGGACAAGAGGACAAAGGGCACCTGCCCATTTATTCCACAGAAACATACCGGGCCCTGACTCTGTGTCGGGTACTAGACCTGCTGCTCTTCTGGAGCCCAGAGTCAGGTGCGGGAGACAGGCCAGTGGAGAATGTGCAGAAGACAGGCCAGAGGCTCACGAGCTGCATCGGATCACCAGGGGCAGGCCGGGCATTTAGTGTGGGCTCCTGAGTAGTCAGTGATGGAATTCCATGTTCCATATTTCACAAGAAACAGTGAAATTAGAGCCATCAGGCTTAGACTCATTCTGCGGTTGGCATGTGGGGTGGGGGTAGCCGAGCAGGGGTCCATCTGTTCCCAAGTGGGCAATGTCACCATGGCTGCCCAGGCTCTCTGGAAGGTGACCTCTTGGTTGAATTGAGGTCAGAGGCGCCAGCCACGGGAGGCCCAGCATCTCCTGTTACAGGATCTGTGACGGCTCCCACAGCAGACAAGGGGGAAGTGTCATATCACAGATTCTTTGTTCAAGGACTTTCTTTACTTGAATCCTGTGAGTTAATGTGGAGAATTAGAGGCCTCTGGGTGTGATCCCCAGAGGGACTTGTGCTGTGACACGACCTTCCTGCCATGCTCCTATGCCCACTTTGACCCTCTGACCCCCAAAGGGCGAGGTCGGGCAGAGATTGGCCACCCCTGCTACCTGTTCTGTCCTGTTGCATCTCTCACTCCTCAGTGTCCGCAAATAAAGGCTCCAAGAGACATGGGCAACTCCATGTGACTCTCCGCTCAGTTCCTGTTTTCCCCCACGGTGGGTCCGACCCACCTTACTTCCCCCATGCCTGGCATGCAGCTGAGACGCACACACTGGCTCTGACAACCTCCATGTGAATCAGACCTCCAGGAACCAAATGATTCCAGTGCTGCAGCGTAGGTGCTGGTTCATGCCAGCTTGGTCTCCCCTCTGGGGAATGTTTTTATTCTTTGGATATGTTCCATTCCTGAGTCAGAGAGGAAAGAAGGGTCTCTGAAAGCTACAATGGTATAACCTGCCTTTATACAGCATCACTGTGGCAGACTGATGGAGTTTAAATTAGGTGGATCAAAGCAAGATTTTTACCTTTGGTGTTTGCTTTTGAATAGTCCTGTTAAAGTGGCATTAATTAAAGTCCTTCTAAAATCTAGTTTCTGCTTTATTTCAGAAGAGAATGAATAATCAGTTTTTGTAAAGCAGCTTTAAAAAGTGATATTTTATTACTTCTTAGTAGCCCGACTCCAGAAAGCTGGGCATGTGCAAATAAAAAGACGACAGGCAGGAAGAGCTGTGGGCCCAGCTCTGCCAGCTGGTTTCTGAGGAGCCTCCACACGTGCTGGGCCAGTCACCCGGGAGGGGCTGGCCTTGGCAGGGCCTTGCAGTGAGGGCCCCATGCCAGCTGTGTGACTTAGGGTGACACATAACCTTTCTGGGCCAGGAGCACCTCGCCTTCCCAGTCTCAGGATGCCAGTGTGCACTCTGTGGTGTGCTGAGAACCACATGATATAAATAAATTGTGGAGCCTAGGGCTGGGAGTGCAGGAGAAGAATGTGAACTACTCCATTGTTTGAGCAGCTAACTCTATATTGTCTTACTCAGCTCACCTGCAAGATTCGGCAAGGGTTTATTGAACCTCTTCTCTGTAACTTTCAGTTAATGAAAACATTGTGGTCGCCTTGCCAGGCAGCTGCATTTGCTATGCAGGGCCCACGCTGCTTTTCATGAGTTCCAGCTGGGATGCTCAGGAATCCTCAGAGGCCACGGGGTTTTCTCAGAGAGTGCCCGCTGATCATGGAATCACTTTTGCACATGACTGCAGCGGGGCCCCCAGGCTTGCCATATCAGCCCTAATCCCTACCAGGTGTGCCATGTGAAGGAGCCACAGGGCTTGGTGGCTGCAGCCACTGTGCTGTCCTAACCCTCATCTCACCCTCGATTTGTCCTGATCTGGTCAGACCTTAAGACTCTTCCATGTGACCTTCTTATGCTGCTGAATGTTTAATCATTTCTCAAAAGTATGGGAAGTCTTACCTTTGTGAATTAACCTAGCATTAATTCCAAACTCTGCTCCTCTGATCCTAGGGACAGACATAGATGGATAAAAATCAAATATAGAGTTCAGGCTCTAGCATGAGGTAGACACAGATTCAAATCATGGCACGTTTCTTTAATAATGCATGGTGACTCGAACATTTACTTAGTGTTTGAGTTGCTTTTTTTAACTTTAAATGGAGTTGATATTAGGATTACATGAGCAAAGGCATTTTAAAACCCAAGCTCAAAATAGGCATTCCAATAAATATTTGCTGTCTGCCCTCTCCTTTCTTCCTGTCTCAGGAAAAGTTGCACTTCCGTCAGATGGTACATATCACTTTTTATGTTAGCCCAGAATACTCGCAGGAAAGTAAGCCTCCCTCCTAAAGACAGACTGCATGGAGAATGAGAACTTGCAGGACTGGTCTGCTATGCTTTTACTTTCCTGGTGGCTAAATCTCAGAGAGGATTGCCTGGGGGTAGCGGAGCTGAGCCCCTTGTGTGGAGGCCACGGTCCCCTCACCAGCAGAGCCAGGCGATGGGCAAGCTTCCAAATTTGCAGTGTCGTCTCTGCTTCTTCCTGACTGAGAATTGGGATGACTTTGGGGGCCGAGACGATGAGGAAACTTTAGCTTTACCTCTTTTTGTATCATGAGATAAGCTTGTGCGGAGCTCCACGTCGTTCTCTCCCTTCCTGGGCACCCCGCTTGGGCTACTTTACCCTGAAGTTACCCGAGAAACTCAGGGAACCAGTTCTCCTTTTTGGCTCCTTGCTTCGTGGATTTCTCCTCCTAGGCTCAGTGCACCTGCAGCCACCTCTGTGCACAATGATGCCTCCCACGAAGGAGGCTCAACTCGCAGGGCACGGGGCAGAGGGGAGCAGAGCACCCTCTTAGCCACTACAGACCACCCTCGCCCAGCCCCTTCTGACAGCAAAGGGAGTTTGGATAAACTGCACAGATAACCGTTTTGATTTGCAGGCAAAGCTTGGGCTGTATCTGAAGCTTTGCCAGAAATTTTCAGAACCTACACAGAATGTGAGCTCCTCTCCATGGGCACGCCTGGCTCCTGGGAGCAGTCCTGGCCCTGGCCGCTGCAGCTGCCCCACCTGCTCTCCACTGGGTGCCAGATCCACCTCTCAAATCTGTGCCACATGGAGCCTCTGCTCAGAGTCCTCAGTGGCTCTCCACCTGTCCCGGAGTCATGGCAAAGTTGGTGCTGCCCACAAGGCCCCACCTCACCCAGTCCTTGCTCCCTCAAGGGCCTGATCCACTTCTGGCCCCCGGCTCATTGCCTGCCCAGCTGCACTGGCCTCCTGGTGGGTTCTCCCTGCAGCCGAGCCCACTGCCTCCCTGGGCCTGCATGGCTGCCTTCCTTAGCCTGGGTGCCCCCACACATTTATAGCTCGACCCTCGTCCTCAGCAAATCTCTGCTGGAGGTGGGGGCTACCCTCTCCCGCTGTGGGAGGGAGCACCCCACACTGAGACTCCCTGTCCACACCCTTTCTCCTGAGAGGTAGGTGTTCATAGTCACGTGACACCGCCTGCCTGAGGGTGGGTTGAGACCCCACCACCGCCTGGCCCCAACATAGGGCAGCAAGGGGCGCCTGGAGGGACGTGGAGGGAAGCCCTAACAGTGGAGTGGGGTGCCCTGTGTCACCTGGCCAGGGCTGGCAGGCCTGCTGGGTGAGAGTGCCTCTGTCTCCTCACCCAGGCTTCTTGGTCCATTCCTTCACTCTTCAGATGTTTATCAACCCTAGACTGCGTGCCCAATGCCAGGGATGCTGTGGAGTGCACTGCCCTTAGGCACTCAGAACCCAAAGACGTGGAGACAAGACGAGAGAGTCTCCCCTGCCCGTGTGTGCATGCGTGTGTCCGTGTGCAGTGGGAGCTGCCGGCAGTGAGAGGGTGTGATCTCTGACATCTCTTCCACCTGTGGCCGCAGGTTCCCCTCAGCCCTCAGACCCCCTGAGGGGCCCCTGCCTCCCTCTGGAGTTCAGATACGTGAACACGATGGGAACACCAGAGGAAGCCCCTAGATGCTCTGGAAAGTCAGAGCCCCCCGAAGTCTCAGTGACAGCAGGACAAAGATGCAGGGCCAGCCCGCTAGGTGGGGGAGCTGATGGTGGCTAACAGTTCCATAAGTGCCCCACCATAGATGGCAGTCGGCTGTCAGAGGCACAGTTTTGGGTTATTTCTGCACCAAAAGGCTGAGGGAGTTTCTGAACTATTCCCTTTTTAATTTTCCCTTCTCCCTGCGACACAGAGTGGGTTGGGCCCTGTGTGTGTGGCTGACCTGTGTGCCGCCAACGGATACTGCCTGTGTCAGGCTGGGTCACTGCGGTGGAGCAGGCAGCCCATCACCCTGCAGGCCCAGAGGCTGAAGGGGGCCCGGCAGGGTCAGGGGCCTTCTCTGGGCTCCAGCTTGTTATTGCTTCTAGGAAACCACTCGACTGCATGTGAGCCAGAAAAGTGGCGCAGCGTTCATGTGGCCTCCAGGAGAGCAGGGCTGTGGGCCACTCATGGCCAGGCAGGGACTGCTTCTGGCATTTTACATGTGATTCTTCCACACAGTTGACTTAGGAGAGGGAAATCTTAGGCACTGGATGTGGGTTTATCCAGAGCTGCTGAGGGAGCTCTCCAAGGTTTTCAGTGATCGTGGCATTTCATGCTGAGCTCCCAAATGCCTGATATGTGAGCTGCGATATTTGCCAAGATGTGCCTTTGTAGTGGTGTCAAAGGGCAGTGTGCTCCGCCAGCCACCTCCAGTGGCATCCTAAAGGGACAGGGAAGGCGAGCGTCGGCACCCTGCCCCGCAGCCTCTGTTCTTCACAAAGGCGCATCTGTGTCTGTGGCTTTCCTTCTCCCCAGGTGGAAGTGAAAACACAGACTTTGGAAGAGCTAGTAAATGAGTTTAAAATGCACTTTAAAGACTCCTTGTAGATGGCAGGTCCTACCATGTCACCTGAATCCTTTGTGAATGTAGTATTTACGAAGCTTAGGAAGAAAGGTGATATAGTTTTTTAGTAACCACTTTATGTTCATAGCTCAGGCTTACACTTAGGAAGAAAGGTGATATAGTTTTTAGTAACCACTTTATGTTCACAGCTCAGGCTTACAATCCTTTAGGACCACCCTGAGACCACCTGAATACAAAGGAGAGCCACTGCCATATGGTAACGGCATTTGGTGTATTTTCAAAACTTGGAAATACCAGGGAATAGGGAAAACAGCATATGAAAGTCTACGGGCCCACAGTGAGTAATGAGCACTTGACATGAAACCTGTAAACGAAATTGAGCTTTGTATCTGAAAGAGAAATTATGTTGTGGAAACAAGTTTCATTCATAAAATTCTTGAATGCTGGCATATTGGCCCAGGAACTTGTCTGCTTCATCTGACTCTTGGTGATGCCTGTGGTTTCTGGTTTGGTTTAGTTCACTCATCTACATCAAGCAAGGGTTGGTGGACTAGGACTCTCTGACCAAATCCTGCCTGCCAACTGTTTTTGTAAATAAAGTTTTATTGGTACACAGCCATAATTCATGTATGCATAACTGCTGTCATGCTACAATGGAGGGTTGAGTAATTGACCTACAACTCCTGAAATAGTCTCTGGCTCTTTCTAGAAAACGTTCCTGACCTGTGACATAGAGCACAGCACTATCAGGGCCAAGGGCACAGGTGTTGTCCCTGTATGCTCCCTTCAGCGTGGCTTTCCTCTTCGGCCATTGGGAGCCTCTGGTATTGAGTGTGCATCTGTTGGGAAACAGTGAGTGGAGACCCTGGGGACGCCCTCCTCTGTGAAGCAGCAACTTAACACGCAGGTCCATGCCATGCGGATCAGTCTTGCCGTCTTCATATACAAAGCCCATTTGGTGTTTTGAGGAGGGGTATTTCTCCATATACTAATGAGTCTGTGAAGCAGCTATTTCCTCCTTCCTTGTCCTTCTGAAAGCAATGGCTCCAGGTTTTTGTAACATGAGGACAAATCAGAGTCCTGTTGTGATCTAGCCATGAAAAGTTGCCATTGTTTCCCTGGTCCTGCATTGGGGGTGGAGAATCATTATTGTTTCCAGAACACACCAGATTTATGCTGGTAGCCCTAACATGCTACAGTGAATGTTTTCATTGCCCAGCACTCAAACATTCCTCTTTGGAGGTTGTAATTATTGTGGGAGTTTGGGTTAGAGGCAGAGCTGGGGAAACCTTCCTTGACATTCTTAGAGTTAATTATGGATTTTTAGGTACAGGGAGTGGCTGACTTCCTGCACCCCAGTATTTTCCCAGCCCAGCCTCTACACCAAAATGACTGCCAACTAAATAGGAACATTCTAGATCCCACCGCCCTCCTGAGGTCCCACACAGCCACAGAAACCAGAATTTCCCACATTGATATTTGAGCCAGAAGAGATGCCTGCTGCCAGGTGCCACCACACTGCAGCTAGGTCTATGTTGGACTTGCCTCTCTAGCCAGATGGAGCCATGGCAGGGTCCACTGCTCATTCACTAATCTCACAGTAGCACGACACTCGACATGCTTGGGTTTTAGATGCCACATATGGCAGCCTGGTGGGGTTTTCATGTGCTTTCTCAATACCAGATGCTGACCTTCTCTTTACCACAGGCCCCCTCCTCCTCCTTGGGAGGGGATAGTTTCTTCCTCAGCCAAAGGCCCATCCCAGGGCTTGGCACTTAGGAGATGCTTGAATATATTGGTGACGTGATGAGGAGCAACCTGACCCTGCTGAACACTAGTAGTGATGGCCAACTCCTGGCCTGTGAAGTACACCCATCTTTGGACAGCCCTGCCTCACAGGGAGCCTGCCCACATTGCAGTAACATGGGGTCCTTGGTGCAAATCCCACCCTCCTGGGTGACTGAAAATAAGCCTGGTTCTTCAGCATGGTAATGATGTCAAAGCTTAAAGACATGATCACGGCCCCCACAGCGCTCTCACTTCCCAGGCTGAGCCATCCCACCTCCTTCCCTGGCTTGCCATGACTCGGTTCTGGACTGTTCCGTGATGGTCCACTTCTGCAGCACAGATGTCCTGTAGAGACATGCTAGCACTGAATGCAACATTCAAGGCATGCTGCTGCTTGTCCATACTGGATAGACTGTTACCTTTTTAAAATTTTTTTTTATTATGTTATATATAATATATATTTAATACTTATACATAACATATCAGAAAGTTCACTAATCATAATTATGCAGCTTGATGATTATCACAAACAATATATTCTTGTTTTTTGTTTTTTGGTTTTTTTTTTGAGACGGAGTCTTACTCTGTCGCCCAGGCTGGAGTGCAGTGGCACGATCTCGGCTTGCTGCAAGCTCCGCCTCCCAGGCTCATGCCATTCTCCTGCCTCAGCCTCCCGAGTAGCTGGGACTACAGGCACCCACCACCATGCCCGGATAATTTTGTGTATTTTTAGTAGAGACGAGGTTTCACCGTGTTAGCCAGGATGGTCTCGATCTCCTGACCTCGTGATCCACCCACCTCGGCCTCCCAAAGTGCTGGGATTACAGGCGTGAGCCACCGCACCCGGCCAACAGAATATATTCTTACCTAGTGATGAAATGATGGATACTGGGGCTCCTGTGCCTCTGACAGTTACCAGCCCGCCCTTCCCGCATGTCTACTAACACTACAGATGAGTTGTGTTTGCTCTTGACCTTCACATCAAGGAATCACGCAGGATTTATTTTTGTGTCCAACTTTGTTTTCTCTCAGTTTTATATTTGTGAGCTATACCCATGTTGTTGTAGGGCACTGTAGTTTGCTCATTTTCATTGCTCTGTGGTGCTATTTTAGATTTTTAAAAAATAGGTGTTATATTTTTAGAGCCGTTGTAAGTTCACAGCAAAATTGAGCAGAAGATACAGAGATTTCCCATAAACCTCTGCCCCTACATGCAAAGCCTCCTGCATTGTCAACATCACTCACCAGAGTTAGTGCATTTGTTACAATCAATGAGCCTATATTGACAAATCGTTATTACTCTAAGCCTATAGTCACTCTTGGTGCAGAGTCTACTGATGGAGATGTCATGTATCTACCATTATAGGCCCATACAAAGTAGGTTCACTGCCCTGAAAATCCTCTGACCTGTCTATCCATCCCTCCCTCCTCCACCACCCCTGGCAACCACTGACCTTTGTACTGTCTTCATAGTTTTTCCTTTCCCAGAACGTCATACGGTTGAAATCATACAATATGTAGCCTTTTCGTAATGGTTGCCTTCACTTAGCAATTTGCATTTAAGGTCCTTCCATGTCTTTTCATAGCTTAATAGCTCATTTCCTTTTTTATCATTGAGTAATATGCCATTATCTGGATGTACCACAGTTTGTTTATCCATTCACCTACTAAACGACATCTTGGTTACTTCCATGTTTGGGTAATTATAAATAAAGCCACTCTAAACATCCATATGCAGGTTTTTGTGTGGACATAAGCTTTCAGCTCCTTTGGATAAATACTAAGGAGTGTGATTACTAGTTTGCATGGTAAAAGCATGCCTAGTTTTGTAAGAAATTTCCAAACTGTGTTCCAAAGTTGCTGGGCCATTTTGCATTTCTGCCAGCCGTGAATGAGCGTTCCTGTTGCTCCACATCCTCATCAACACACTACACACTACACTGTCTTCTTTGGTGAAGTGTCTTCTTTGGTGAAGGTCTTTGACTCACCATTCAATCAGACTGTTTTCTTGTTGTTGAGTTTTAAGAGTTTTTTGTGTATTTTGCATAATAATCCTTTATCATAGTTGTCTTTTGATAATATTTTCTCCCAGTCTGTAGCGTGTCTTCTCATTACCTTGACAGTATCTTTTGCAGAGTACAAATTACTAATTTTAATGAAGTCTAACTTATCAATTCTTTCTTTTGTGGATCATGCTTTTGGTGCTATATCCAAAAAGTCATTGCCAAACCCAAGATCATCTAGATTTTCTCCTACATTATCTTCTAGGAGTTTTGTAGTTTTATATTTTACATTTAGGTCTGTGATCTATATTGAGTTCATTTTTGTGAGGGGTGGAATGTTTATTTCTAGATTTTTTGCATGTGGATGTCTAGTTTTCCTACCACTGTTTATTTTAAAAACTATCTTTTCTCCATTGTATTGTCTTTGTTCCTTTGTCAAAGATCAGCTGACTGTATTTATGTGGGTTTATTTCTGGGTGCTCTCTTCCATTCCATTGATCTAGTTGTCTATTGCATTGCCAATGACAGACTGTCTTCATTATTGTAACTTTATTTTCAGTCTCGAAGTCATGTAGTGTTGGCCCTTGTTCTTCTCCTTCAATATTTGTTGGCTCTTCTAGGTCTCTTGCCTCTCCATATAAACTTTAGAATCAGTTGGTCAATATTCACAAAAGAACTTGCTGATACTTTGATTGAGATTGTGTTAAATCTATACAACAAGTTGAAAAGAACTGACATCTTGACAATATTGAGTCTTCCTATCCATGAACATGAAATATCTATTTGTTTAGTTCTCCTTTGATTTCTTTCATCTGAGATTTTTAATTTTCCCTATATACATCTTGCACATATTTTGTTACACTTATACTTAAGTATTTCATTTGTACCTAAGTATTTCATGATACCATTTACATTTATACCTAATGTAAATTGTATCATGTTTTAACTTAAATTTCATTTGTCCATTCCTGGTACAGGTTGAGCATCACTAATCTGGAAACTTGAAATCCAGAATGCTCCAAAATCCAAAATTTTTTGAGCACCAACATGATGCTGCAAGTGGAATATTCCACACCTGACCTTATGTAATGGGTTGTAGTCAAAATGAAGGCACACAACACACAGTTTCTTCAGCATCCTCAAGGGAAAAAAGACCCTCCCAGGCCCCTTCAGCTGTGATATTTATTTTCCACACATGCCCAGATTCCCCCATGCAAGCACAACCATAAAGGGTCATAAAATGGCACATGTGTAGGCTGCACATGCCAATGGCAGGTTCTCCACGTGAAAAGAGAGATTTCTATGACCATTGTTGATGAGGCAGATGACTGCAGAAAAATATTTTTAAAAGCCATCCAGCAGAATGTTTCCTCATCCACAGAGGACCCACTTACTGGTCCCTTAACCACTTCTGATGTTTCCTTGCACCAAAAAAAAAAAAAAAAAAGTATACACTTACCTTTTAATCAAAGCACAGCATCATAGGTAGAGACTGAAAGCCTGCCATTGTTTGTTGTTGCTGTTGTTTAACAGCTGATACAGGTATTCTGGAGAGGCTACTGTGCCGCTTAGTTACTCTGAACATGTAATTTTTTTCACTGTATTAATAATATGTCATATTTTTTACTGCTAAATACTTATGTGTGAATAATTGTAAGAAAATGATTGCTTATTGGTAGCATATAAATCCAGAGTCAGAAGTGAGGCTGATGCCAAACAACCACAGATGGTCCGCATGGGTGATACCCTTTGCTTTTTGTAGGCTCGATGTACACAAACTTTGTTTCATGCACAAAATTATTAAAATGTTGTATAAAATTACCTTCAGGTTGTGTGTATAAGGTATATATAAAACACAAATGAATTTTGTGTTTAGACTGGGGTCCCATACCCAAGATATCTCATTATGTATATGCAAATATTCCAAAATCTGAAAACATCTGAAGTCCAAAACACTTTTGGTCTCAAGCATTTCAAATAAAAGATACTCAGCCTGTATATAGGAAAGCAATTGACTTTTGTATATTAGCCTTGTATCCTGCAACCTTGCTATAATCAAGTATTAGTTCTAGAAGTTCTTCAGTTGGTTCTTTCAGATTTTCTAAATAGATGATCATGTCATCTGTAAACAAAGGCAGTTTTATTTCTTCCCTCCCAATCTGTACACTTTTAATTTCCTTTTCTTGTCTTATTGTATTATCAAATATTTTTAGTATGATGTTAAAAAGCAGGGGCAGAGAGTACATTCTTGCCTTGTCCTTGATCTTAGTGGGAAAGTTTAAAGTTTCCCACCATTAAGTTTCTCGTAATTAGGTGAACTGTAGGTTATTTGTAGATGTTCTTTATCAAGTTGAAGAAGTTCCCCTCTATTTGTAGTTTACTGAGAGTTTTTATCATGAATGGGTATTGGATTTTGTTAAAAGCTTTTTCTGTATTTACTGATATGAGCATGTGATTTTTCTTCTTTAGCCTGTGGATATGATAGGTTACATTTATTGATTTTTAGATGTTGAGCCAGCCTTGCATACCTGGGATAAATTCCACTTGGCTGTGGTATATAATTCTTTTTATACCTTGTTGGATTAAATTTTCTAATATTTTGTTGAGGATATTTGCGTTTATGTTCATGAGATATATAGGTCTGTAATTTTCTTGCAATGGCTTTGTCTGCTTTGGTATTAGGGTAACGTTAACCTCATAGAAGTTAGGAAATATTCTTTCTGCGAAGTATTGAGATTGTAGAGAATTGGTATAATTTCTTCATTTATATGTTTGGTAGAATTCACTAGTGAACCTATCTGGTCCTGGTTCTTTCTGTTTTGAAAGTTTATTAGTTGTTTATTCAGTTTCTTTTTTTAAAATGGAGTCTCGCTCTGTCACCCAGGCTGGAGTGCAGTGGCGCGATCTTGGCTCATTGCAACCTCCGCCTCCCTGGTCCAAGCAATTCTCCTGCCTCAGCCTCCCAAGTAGCTGGGACTACAGGCATACGCCACCATGCCCGGCTAATTTTTTTGTATTTTTAGTAGAGATGGGGTTTCACCATGTTGGTCAGGCTGGTCTTGAACTCCTGACTTCAAATAATCTGCCCACCTCAGCCTCCCAAAGTGTTATTCAGTTTCTTTAATAGATAAAGGCCTATTGAATTATATATTTCTTCTTGTATGAGTTTTAGCAGATTGTCTTTTAAGGAATTGTTCCATTTCATCTGGGTTATCAAATTTGTGGACATAGCATTATTCATAATATTCTTTTATTTTTTTAACATCCATGGGACATACAGGGATGCCCCCTCTTTTATTCCTGATATTAGTACTTTGTGTCCTCTGTTTTTCTTAGTTTGCTTGCTAGAAGCATATGATTTTTATTGATCTTTTTAAAGATTAATTTATTGATCTTTTTTGTTTCATTGATTTTTCTCTATTGTTTTCAATTTCATTGATTTCTTCTATTTCTTTTATTTTATTTATTATTTGCATTTAATTTGCTCTTTTTTTCCTAGTGTCCTAAAGTGAAGATTTAGATTATTTATTTTAGATCTTCCTTCTTTTCTAATCGATGCATTCAGTGCTATAAATTTCCCTGTAGGTGCTACTTTTGCGGCATCTCACAAATGTTGGTAAATTACATCTTCATTTTTATTTAGTTCAAAATATTTTTTAAATTTCTCTTGAGAGTTTTTCTAAGACCCAAGTGTTACTTGGAAGTATGTTGTTAAATCTCCAAGTATTTTGGGATTTCCAGCTATCTTTCTATTATGGATGTCTAATTTAATGCTATTGTGGCCTGAGAGTAGACATTGTATGATTTTTATTTGTTTAAATTTGTTAAGGTGTGTTTTGCAGACCAGAATATGGTCTGTCCTGGTGAATGTTCCCTGTGGGCTTGAAAAGAATGTGTAATCTGCTGTTGTTGGTTGAGATATTATGTGGATGTCAGTTGTATCCAGTAGATTGATGGTGCCATTAAGTGCTATTAAGTTCAGTTATATCCTTACTGATTTTCTGCTTGCTGTCTCTGTCCATTTCTGATTCAGGGGTGTTAAAGTCTCCAGCTGTAATACTGGATTCATCTACTTCTCCTTCTGTCAGTTTTTTGCATCATGTATTTTGACACTGTTGTTAGGTGCGTGTAATGATAAGGATTATTATGTCTTCTTGGGGAATTGACCCCTTCGTCATTATGTAATGCCCCTATTTATTCTGATAACTTTTCTCACTCTGAAGTCTGTTTTGTCTGAAATTAATATGGATATCTTTTGATTAGTGTTAGCATGTTATCTCTTTCTTCATTGATTTGCTGTTAATCTGCTTGTGTGTGTATATTTAAAGTAGATTTCTTGTAAACAACATATAGTTGTATCTTGTTTTATTTTATCAACTTAAAATTTTTAATTTGTATATTTACATCATTAATTTTCAAAGTGATGTGTGATAGAGTCAGGTTAAATTCTACCATATTTGCATTATTTTATTATATTTGTTGCCCTTGTTTTTTGTTATTTTTCCTGTCTTTCACTCTTTTTCGGTCTTTTGTGGTTTTTATTGAGCATTTTTTATTTTCTATTTTCTCTCCTTTATTAGCATATCAGTTGTACCTCTTTTTTTACTTTTTTAATTGGTTGCATTGGAGTCTGCAATATTCATTTACAATGAATTCAAGCCCACTTTCAAATAACTGTGCTGCTTTGCAAGCAGTATGAGTACTTGTAATAACAAAATAATACTTATTTCTCCCTCCTGTTCCTTGTATCATTGGTGTGATTCATTTCTCTTGTACATGAGCATTGTAAGTGTATGTAAACACACACACATAAGCATAAAATGATCAAATACATTGTTTTTATTTTAAACAGTTATTTGTTAAATCAATTAAGAATAGCAAAAATAAAAGTTTTAAGTTTACTGCCATTCCTTCTCTGGTGCGTTGCCTTTCTTTCTGTAGATCTGAATTTCTGACCTATATTATTTTTCTTCTCTCCAAAGAACTCTTTAAAAACAGTTCTTGCAAGGCACATCTACTGGCAACACATTCACTCAATTCTTGTTTGTTTGACAAATCTTTATTCATGCTTCACTTTTGAAGGATAATTTCACAGGTACAGAATTCTAGGTTGGTAGGTTTTTTCTGTCAACACCTTAAATATTTTACTCCACTCTCTTGCTTGCATTTTCTTTTGAAAATTCAAATGTAACTCTTTTCCTTTGCTCCTTTATAGGTAATGTGTTTTTTCCCCTCTGACTTCTTTCAGGATTTTTTCTTTATCTTTTATTTTATGTAGTTTGAAAGTGCTATACCAAGGTGTCATTTTTCTGGCATCTATCCTGCTTGTTGTTCTCTGAGCTTCCTGGATCTGTGGTTTGGTGTCTGACAATAATTTGGAGAAATTCTCAGTTATTATTGTTTCAAATATTCCTTCTGTTCCTTTCTATCTTTCTTCTCCTTCTAGTATTCCCATTACATATGTATAATTGCCCCACAATTCTTGCTTTGAAGTTGTCCTGCAGTTCTTGGATGCTCCATTATGGTTTTTTTTTTTTCTAATTTTTTTTTTCTGTTTGCTTTTCCATGGTGGAGGTTTCTATTGAGATATCCTCAAGCTCAGAGAGTCTTTCCTCAACTGTGTCCAGTCTCCTAATAAGCACGTCGAAGGCATTCTTCATTTCTGCTACAGGGTTTTTGATTGCTAACATTTCTTTTCTGGCTCTTTATCTTTGCTTACATCACCCATCTGTTCTTACATGCTGTCTAGTTCAAACATTAAAGCCCTTAGTATGTGAATCATAGTTGTTTTGTATCCGTGATCTTTTAAGTCTAACATTAGTTGCCACATCTCAATCTGGTTCTGATGCTTGCTCTGTCTCTTCAAACTGTGGGGTTTTTTGCCTTTCAGTATGTACTGTGATATTTTCTTGATACCAGACATGGTGGACTGGGTAAAAAGAACTGCTGTAAATAGGCCTTTGGTGCTGTGGGGGCCATGCGGCCACAAATGTTCTATAGTCCTGGGATCAGGTCTCAGTCTTTCAGCAAGCTTGTGCCCCTGGCCTGTGAACTTCCCCAGTGCTTCTCAGTTTCCCCCACTCCTCTGTAGGTGAAACAGGATGGCTACAGTGGGTTGAAGTTTGGTATTTCCCTTGCCCCCAGTAGGTAAGGCTCTCATAAAACCCCAATGGGGGCCAGATGTGGTGGCTCACCCCTGTACTCTCAGCACTTTGGGAGGCCAGTGCAGGCAGATTACTTGAGGTCAGGAGTTCGAGACCAGCCTGGCCAACATGGTGAAACCTTGTCTCTACTAAAAATGCAAAAATTAACTGGGTGTAGTGGCACACGCTTGTAATCCCAGCTACTTAGGAGACTGAGGCAGAAGGATCGTGAGACTCTGTCTCAAAAAGAAACACAGACACACACACACATATAAAACAAACAAACAAACAAACAAACAAAACATCCCAATGGGTGAGGCTGTGGTTAACTAGTTTATCCTGTATGTGGATCTTATTAAGCACAGAATGCTCTGGCATGTTTCACAGTGGTTCCTCTTCCCCTCCCCCTGCCAGAAGCACGAGTGGATTTTTCTCTGATATTCACTATGAAGACTTAGTGGAGCTGCTCCTTGAGGCACAATTCACAAAGGTGTGGGCCCCCCAGTGACTGGGCCCCTGCAGTTCTTACCTCTCAGGCTGTCCACACTGAACCTCCAGCACACATCAGTTACAGTTCAGGCCCTCCTAGCCGAGCACTGCTTCCCACGGAGGCTGCTGCTTGGGGATTTCTGGTATTTCCCTATTGATCTCTTCAATTTGGGGGGCAGCAGTTTGCCCTGTGACCTCAGTTCTCTTACAGATCTAAGAAGAGGAGTTGCTTTTTCAGTTTGTTCAGCTTTTTTACTCATTGTTAAGATGGAGTGGTGACTTTCAGCTTCTTACGTTCTAGACTGGGAGCCGGACACCCCCCTGTTAGCTATTGAATGGTGTGTGTGCTAATACACCTTTAACAACCAACTCCTAATGATAGTTACTGTGGCGGTTGTATTTAACTAAAAGCCACAGACACTGTTTTATTTCATTGATCTTCTTATCAAGGAACATTTATGTTATTTAGTTTTTTTGCCTAAATGGAGAAATGTACAATTTGCATGTATCTGTGGTCCCGGCTGTCGACTGTACTTGTGAACTATGATCCTGCCATCGCAGGTATCCATCCCTTTCACTGTTAAATTGCCTGGAAATCAACTTTCTTTACAAAAGAAAAGTATATTTTTGATATTTGGTTTTTCAACATTTAAAAAAATTTCAGAGTGGAAATATACATGTCATTTAGAAGCACAAGAAAATTACATGCTGCTTGCTTTCTTCCTGAATTTGTTTTCTGGCATATAAGACAATTCTGTTATGAAACTATTAAATACTTGGTATTCACTGAGATTATTTGAAAAATAGGAAAGAAAAAATAAATATAAAAGTGTTCCACCTCTTCTATCTCCTAGAGTTATCCATTCTTTAAATTTTGGCATATATATTTTCAAACTTTTTCTAGGTATATATATATTTAAACTTTCTTAAGCAAAAATAGTAAAATTAATGATGACATTCCACTTTATGGGCACCATGCAAATGGGTTTGTATCTTACTTTGCTTTTTTCGTTTAAAAATAACTATCAAGTCCACTAAGTAAATTACAGTAAATTCATATAATGGAATGTCTCTGTGTAGTTAGTGAGGAAGATCTATATGTACTGTCACTAAATGATCTTTAGACTAAATTAAGTGGAAAAAAGCAAGATACAGAAAAGTGTGGTGAGTTCACTACCATTTATATCTTTCTAAAAGGCATGAATGTATGTGTGCATATATACGTTTATGCACGTATACATATATACATACTTGAGGAGAATATCTCTGTACTTCTCTAAGGCTATATAAGAAGCTTTATGGCTGGGCATGGTGGTTCATGCCTGTAATCCCAGCACTTTAGGAGGCTGAGGTGGAAGGATCACTTGAGCCCAGGAGTTTGAGACCAGCCTGGGCAGCATAGTGAGACCTTGTCTCTACAAATAATAATCAACAAAATTAGCTGCGTGTGGTGGCACACGCCTGTGGTCCCAGCTACTCAGGAGGCTGAGGAGGGAGGACCACTTGCGCCTGGAAAGTCAAAGCTGCAGTGAGCTGTGATTGTGCCACTGCACTCCAGCCTGGGCAACAGAGCAAGACCTCGTCTCAAAAACAAATAAATAAATAAACAAAAAGAAACTTATTAATGATTGCTTTGTGGAAGGTAAGCTGAAATACCAGCGATCAGGACTGGGATTCGTTTTTTGAATTTATTTTATTTTATTTTTTGGGACAGAGTCTCATTCTCGCCCAGGCTGGAGTGGAGTGGCATGATCTTGGTTCACTGCAACTTTCACCTCCTGGTTCAAGAGATTCTCGTGCCTCACCCTCCAGAGCAGCTAGGATTACAGGCATATGCCACTGTGCCCTGGTAATTTTTTTTTTTTTTTTTTTTTTTTAGTAGAGACAGGGTTTTGCCATGTTGGCCAGACTGGTCTCGAACTCCTGGCCTCAAGTGATCTGCCTACTTCGGCCTACCAAAGAACTGGGATTACAGGTGTGAGCCACTGTGCCCGTCTTGTTTTCTGAATTTTTTACTTTTTATTTTTATTTTTAGATGGAGTCTTGCTCTTGCCACCCAGGCTGGAGTGCAGTGGTACAATCTCAGCTTACTGCAACCTCTGCCTCCTGGGTTCAAGCAATTCTCCTGCCTCAGCCTCACAAGTAGCTGGGACTACAGGCACACGGCCTCATGCCTGGCTAGTTGTTGTATTTTTAATAGAAACGGGGTTTCACCATGTCGGCCAGGCTAGTCTTGAACTCCTGACCTCAGGTGATCCACCGACCTCGGCCTCCCAAAGTGCTGGGATTACAGGCATGAGCCACTGTGCCTGGCCTGTTTTTTGAATTTAATATTAACATTTCTCTTTTAATTTCCATTATTTCTCTCCTGTATCATTTTTAATGACTGAGTGTATTCCATTGAATGCACAATACTGTAATTTATTTAACCAGTCCCCTTTTGCTTTGCATTTGTCTCTAGTTTTTCTCTAGTTTAACAAACACTGTAATGAATGTCTTCAGTAACAAATCTTTCTGCACACTTGATTTTTCTTAGAATAGAGTTCCTAGGAGTGGCTATTTGTAGCTCAGAGGGTGCACAGGCTTCCAAGGCTTTGATATTTGATAGGAATCACCGAACTGCCTGCCCTACATTTATATCCCCACCAAAAATGGGAAAGTGCCTGTTCCATGCATACTGGCCACCACTGTGAGTTGGGTTTATGTTTCTCATTGCTAATTTGACAGGCAAAGGAACAAAAGGGGAATCTTCCTGTTTAAAACTGTGTTTGTTTGAATATTAGCCAGGTATGCCATTTTAAAATATGTTTAATGGAAATTTGTTTTTCTTCTTTCATGAGTTCCCTGATTTTTGGCCTTGGCCTATTTTTCTCTTAAGGTATTTGTCTGCCTTTCCACTGTTTTTTTAAGTCTTTATACAGTAAAGACATTAAGCCTTTGTCTCTCATGTATCCTGCAAGTATTTTTCTGTTTATTTGCCTTTTTGTTTTGTTTCTGTTATTTTTAACATTGAGTATTTAGTTTTGCTGTAGCCAAATCTTTGTTATCATACCTTGAAATACATTCCCCAGTTCAAGATTAAACATCTATTCATATTTTCTTCTTGGACATTCAAGTTTAATCCTTATGGAATGAATTTTGGCATATACAGTGGATTAGAGAACTAATTTTATTTTTTTAATGATTGGCCAATTTTAGTAACATTTTCTAACTGATTATTGCTGGTATATGAGAAAGCCAATGATTTTTATGTATTTATCCTAAAATTGGCAACCTTCCTCAAATTCTTATTCTAATATTCACTTGCTTCTAATTTTTCTAGGTAGAAAATTATATACCTTTCTTTCTAATATTTATACTTCTTGTCTTATTTTTCTATTTATTTGGCTCTAATTTCTAGACCAATGTTAGATACCAGTGTGGATATCATGGTATTTTCTTTAAAAAAAAAAAAAAAGAAAAAGAAAAAGAAAGAACGAAAGAAACAAAATTAATCTGGCATTTTCTTCTTTTTGTTTTTAATTTTTATAAAATTAAATTTCTATCTTGTGATATTTTGCTGTTGTGACAGCTCTGATGTGTGGGAAGCCTTTGGTTATCTCTCCCTTTATGTGACAGCGAAGCCTTAGGCCCTTAGGCTGATCTGAGCTGGGCCAATCATGCCTTGGGCCTCTGCTGGTGGTGAGCTTGAGAGGCAAGTCAGGCACAGATTTCCGGAGCATTCTGTGGGCGCCTCCCCCAAGCCAGGGCCCCACTCTAGTGTCCTCGTGGTGTTTAGAAAAGCCCTCCCACACTTGGCCGGGCATGGTGGCTCACGCCTATAATCCCAGCACTTTGGGAGGCCGAGGTGGGCAGATCACGAGGTCAGGGGATCGAGACCATCCTGGCCAACATGGTGAAACCCCGTCTCTTCTTAAAAAAAAAAAAAAAAATTAGCCGGGAGTGGTGGTGAGCACCTGTAGTCCCAGCTACTCTAGAGGCTGAGGCAGGGGGAATCACTTGAACCCAGGAGGTGGAGGTTGCAGTGAGCTGAGATTGGGCCATTGCACTCCAGTCTGGCGACAGCACAAGACTCCGTCTAAAAAAAGAAAAAGAAAAGAAAGAAAAGCCCCACACACTCAACGCTGAGCGTTGCTGGAGGGACGCTCTGCTAAATGCCCCCAGACCTGAGGCTGACTTTTGGGCTGTGTGAAGTGATATGATGCTCTTAGAATGCTCTTTACGTTTTTCTGGCCTATAATGTCAGTTGGAAAAAGTGGCATTGTAAAGTCATAAATCTTTTTGGTTTGGGTGTTTTTGAAGCTGGGGGTTGGGGGAGAGGATGGGGAAAGTGAGGGGTGTGATTGCCTCTGGTGGCCCCCACGCTCTACTTGTTCTCCTGGGAGAGGGCGGTTTGGAAGAGGCATGGGAGGAGCTTCCCAGCACAGAGCCCAGCCTGCCCTCCTTCTGTGTGATCCCACATGGGCTGTCCAGCTCTGTTAGATCAATGCTGCCTCAACTCGGATGGACACCAAACCCTACGGCCCCCTCCGCTCCCGGTGAAGCAGTTTCTCTGATGATTTCTTAGACCCCACCAGCCTAAAACATCTCTCCCTCTGACCCCAAAAGAGGCCTGTAAGTCCCGAATTGCTGCTTTGTGTTACAGCATCAGAGGCTCCTTGGAAAGGCGGGTGGTGCACTCAGCTCTGAGGGGCTTCTCCATGAGGCCATCTCTTGGCCATCTCCTCCTTAGCCTGTTCAAGTCACACATGGGCCAGCTGGTCTAGCAGAGAACAAATAACGGGGGCAGTTTAGGCTGACAGGCCTTGGGGCGTTCCATGATGCACCTGACTGCCGAAGGAGGGATGGTTCCGGAGAAGGGAACAGAGGTTCGCCAAAGGCCCCTTGGAGTGGCACCCGTCTTGCCCAGGCCATTGCTGTGGTGGTCTCTGTCTCTGTCTCTGTCTCTGTCTCTGTCTCTGTCTCTCTCTCTCTTTTTCTTTTTTTTTTTTAATATGGAGTCTCACTCTGTCACCCTGGCTGGAGTGCAGAGGTACGATCTCGGCTCACTGCAACCTCTGCCTCCCGGGTTCAAGCGATTCTCCTGCCTCAGACTCCCAAGTAGCTGGGACTACAGGTGCCTGCCACCATGCCCGGCTTATTTTTGTCTTTTTAGTAGAGACTGAGTTTCACCATATTGGTCAGGCTGGTCTCAAACTCCTGATCTCAGGTGATCACCCGCCTCGACCTCCCAAAGTGCTGTGATTACAGGCATGAGCCACCGCGCCCGGCCATCTGTCTCTCTTGACACTTGTTACAGCTGTTTTCTCCTTCCCCCAGGGCTCCTCTCTGGTCACGTCCCACTGTGAGTCCCCATCTCTCCTCCGTCCTTTTCCTCTTTCTCACCCGCCCTGCCATTCGTCTCTGTGTCTCTTGGTACCTGTGACAGTGTCCTATTTCCTTCCTCGATGACTGCTCATCTCCCAGTCTCAACCCCCCCGAAAGCCCGCCTTTCCTCCTTGCTGCCTGCCTCTTCCTTTCTCCTTCCATCTGTTTCCACTTTGTGCATTTATACTTGGTATTGTTTAATATTCCAAAGAATTGAAGAGGGTTACTGAAAGCTTTATGTGCCCATGACTCTAAATAAATGTAGTTGGACTGAGTTATTTTTTTGTTCTTGGATGAAGCCAGAATCTTAAAGCCTTTTCTACTTAGCTGAATTTATTTTTATTCCAAATATTTTTATTTCATTAAATAAATAATAGGAGTTGCATTTTAAAGCCCTAACTCTGTGGTACATTGCCAGGCTTTCCCATATGGGGCTCTTTGCAGCTATAATCAATAGTGTCAGAGAGGGTGCTGGCTGGGTTCGGTGGCTCACACCTGTAATCCCAGCACTTTAGGAGGCCAAGGCGGGCAGATTGCCTGAGCTCAGGAGTTCAAAACCAGCCTGGGCAACATGGCAAGACACCATCTCTACCAAAAAATACAAAAATTAGCTGGGTGTGGTGGCACACGCCTGTAATCCCAGCTACTTGGAAGGCTGAGGCAGGAGAATCGCTTGAACCCCGGAGGCGGAGGCTGCAGTGAGCGGAGATTGCGCCACTGCACTCCAGCCTGGGTGGCAGAGCGAGACTCCGCCCCTCCCTCCAAACAAAAAGAAAGAAAGAGAGGGTGCTCCTGGGTGAAGATGTCAGATACCTGAATGGATAATGCACTCTTCTTGAACTCATTCCTTGGAATCTCTTCCGAGCCTCCACAGTACTAACCAGTGTCTTGCTTCCTTTTTCATTGTGTGTGTGTCCGTATGCTTGTGTCCACGGTGGACCCGGAACTGCAGGACGAGATTCTGACGGTGCTCAGGAGAGTGGATGAGAACTGGGCGGAAGGCATGCTGGGAGACAAGATCGGGATCTTCCCGCTCCTGTACGTGGAGGTAAGACCGTGCCGCCCTCCCACACTTGGCTCCTTCTTGCCCACCCTTGTTTCACTACAGTGGGGTCACCTGACCTTCAAGCCCCTTTTCTAAGAGAGAAAGAGGATCCTCCACAATAGCCTCTGGCCAGAGAGCTGCTATGTGTGGGCTTTGATTCACCTCATGGGGTCAGTGCTGTGAGCACTGCCTTGGCCAGTTTTGAGTGGCTGGTCCCAGGCCTGGCTGCAAGTCATCTCACCACGTGGGCAGTGGCAGCAGGGCCCCCTTGTGCACCTTCCCCGTTTTCTCAAGGGACCCCTGCGCCTGGCACCCATGCTTCTCCAACTCCCCCAAGTGCTGCTGCTCTTTTCTCATGAGCACCAGAGGGGAAGAACCCGTCCCAAGGCAGCATTTTCCCTTCCCACTGCACACGGATTGGAAGGAACCGTTGCTGGCCATCTGCAAAGTCCTCCTTGGACTCAGGGTTATTGGGCAACTCTTCTGCCTGAGAGGCACCACAGCAAAGGTGTTTTGAGGCTAATTCCAGACCTACTAATTTCCTTTCCCTTTTCTGTAACTAAAGCACCAGGTTTCTAGTGAGTACGTTTAGGGTAGCTGCTGTGCAGAAAGCATCTTAACACGTGTGTCTTTAAAACACCTGCTAGCCTGGGGCTGTGTGTGTATGTAGGAGTATTTGCCTATGGCGTGTGTGTCTGCCATTTGTCAGTGCAAGGCCACATGTGCACATTGGTGAGCTGACCACATGCTTTCATGCTGTAACCACCAGCGTCATCCCATAAGAGTGGCTTCAGTGAATGCTTACTGAGTGCTTGTTGTGTGCCAGACACTTGGAAGTACCTGCTCATTTAATCTTCTCAGCAACACTGGCATATGAAAACCATGAATGGCCCTGCTTTACAGATGAGCAAACAGAGGTGCAGAAAGGTAACGTAGCATTCTCAAGGTCCCACAGCCGAGGAGTGGCAGAACCAAGGTTTCAGCGCGGGCCTCTTGGCCCTAGACTCAGCCAGCCCTTCACTCTCCTGCTCTCACACCATATCCTGCCTCTCCACTGTCTCTGGCTAATGAACTGCAGTTTACTCAGCTCAGTGCTGGGCTCCATGTGTCCCCCCTGCCTGACACACTTAAGGGCTTCAGAGTTGGCACCGAAAGCCCACGGGTGACACGGCCAGCTTTGCCACACCTACCACACAGTGTGCAGATACTTAAAGATGTTTGTTTAAAACATCTGTCAATTCCCCGTTGCCTGCAGGATAAAGTCCAAATGCTTTAGCTTAGCATTCAAAGCCCTTTGCAGTTAGTCCATAGTCTATTTTGCAGCCTCATCTCTCATTTCCTCCCCTCTTCCTCAAATATTCGGGACCAGTGGTTCTCGCACATTTAGTTTGAATGTGCTGCCCAGGCCATCTGAGGCCCTCCCACAGCAATGGCAGATAATTCACACACACACACTCTCCTGTAAGATTCACATCTGCCCTCAACACTTCGCAAGTTTCCATGTATTTGCACATTTGCTTTAGCTTTTCTGTCCTGGTGCTTAAGACCAAAGAACTTAATGCGCGAATACCACTTACAATGTCGTCCAGAAGTCAGAAATCTGAGCTCTCGGACATTTTTAGCTGGCCAAACTTTTTTCTCCAGGCAGAATCTTACTGGGATACCCAACATATACATGAATGTTCATGGAAAGTTCATTACAATGGCCCTAAACAGCATACCACTCAAGTGTCCATCAACAGTGGGATGGCTGAGGAAAATGCAGTATATCCATACAATGGAACGCTCTCCCACCATGCATGTGAACAAAAGAGTAATGGCTTTAAGGGCATAGGCAAATCTCCAAGTGAAATTTTTGAAAGAAGCCAGACATAAAAGTAAATGCCGTATGGGTTTTTTTAGGAGGTTCAAAAGCAGACAGAACTCCTCTGTTGTGACAGAAGTCAGAGCAGTAGTGACCTTGGGGATTCTGACTGGAAGAGGTAAGGAGGTTCTGGGCTGCAGAAAGGTTTCGTGTCCTGATCTCGGGAGAGCTGCACAGATTATGCTGCTGTAAAATGGTGTCCAGTTAAGCTTTACACACTTCTAACTGCAATTTCAAAAGCTAAGAGCAAATCTTAAAGGACAGGTAAGATCTTACCAAGGCAGCTGACAGTAGCGGAGGTGGCTGAAGGCTGCGTTGGGCCCCTCAGCCCCTCCTCTGGAAGAAGCTGTCAGGCACCATTGGGAGTCCGCAAGCAGGTGCAGGCCCGAGACCCAGTCCAGCAGGCTCTCTGTCATCTCTTCCTGGTTCCACAGGCACACTCAGAGACAAACTGGGGAGTCAGCCGCATCTGTGCCTTCCTGCAGCATGACTGCCTGTGGGTCTGAAAAGCCACCTTAAAGCCCTCCTCCCTCAGGGCCATGAGGAGGGCTCCATAGCCCCACCTGCCCCCACACCCCCTCACAGGTTCTGCCTCCACTCTTGGGCACAGTCCCTTCCACCCACCTGGATAGGAAGCCCTGGACTGTCCTTCAGGCTCAGAGACACAGACCTCCTCCCAAGCATCCTTGGGCAGGGGGCCCCACTGCCCCTCTTGCCCCTTTCTGAGATGGCTGCCCATGCAGTACTGGGCTCCACGCCACACACCCATAGCCTGGCAGCCTCAGCTCTGATACAGGCTCCCGGACTCTCAGCAGCCACTGAAGACCAGCCTGAACAGGTGTTTCCTGGGACTTTTCATTCTTTATGTACTGACTGCTTGCACGCCACACACCACATGGATCCTGGTGGATCGGAAAGTCCTGGTTTGGCCCAAACTGCTTCCCTCTGGGAGGCCGCACAGGCATTTGAGGTGGGAACTTGGGTGTTTGCAGGGTTCCTGAGAGAGTCAGACCCACCTGCCAGGAGGGAGCCTGGAGCTTCCATCTTGGGCTACTGCACAGGCAGCCGGCACAGTCCCGGTGATGCTTGTCCCCTGGTGCAAGAAGGAATGTAGCAGACCCGTCACCTCACACTAAGAGGATATCTTCTTTCATGCTCACGTAAGCTTGGATTGCATGAAGGTCTCCTCCACAGCCGCTCCAGCCGGGATCTGCAGGCACCTGGCAGGGTTCTACCCAGCGCACAGCTGCCCTATGGGGTTCACCGAGGGACTCTCACCTCGCCTGGCCTCACCTGGCCTCAGCTTCCCATCAGCGCAGCTCAGGCCATGATGCTAAGCCCACGGTGGACCTCACAAAGTAAACGAGAGTGTGCCCTGCACAGTGCTCTCCCTCCGTGGTTGTGTCTCCACCAGGGCCTGCCAGTGGCACAGTGAGCTGAAGGGCACACACCTGGCCTGGAGCCAGCCTGGCCTTGCACTGCTTCAGCTGCTTTCAGAGGAGGTGGACCCCGCCCTGGACATACGTACATTTCCCTCTGCTGTTCTATAGAAATAATCGTCTCTCCACAGCCCCTGGCACCCACCTGCCACAGGCATTCACCCATGAGCTGGGCTTGCTGCCCCTGGGCACTGACCCCATCTGTGCTGTGCTCACCGGAGATACCTCACTCCCTGCCCAGCTCTTCTTCCCATGGCTCCAGCCACCGTCCCATGCCCTGGAACCTGCCTCCTTGTCCTTTTCGCCCATCGTTTTGCAAAAGGAAGTGAGAAACTCTCCTGCGGCCGTCCCCACGCCAGGACCCAGGGCACGTCTCCCTGACACCTGTTCATCAGATGCCAGCTGGACAGCGCCCCTTGCCAGGAGCCTAGGCTGACCCTGCCCCAGTGTCCACTCGGGCACAGAGAGGAGTGGGCCTGGCCTCTCACCCTCTGGAACTCTAGTCTAGCGGATGGGACAAGAACTAAATCCAAACACTCCACCGGGCCTTCCTTCTGGGTCTTTAGCCCTTGAGGTTTTTCAGAATTTCAGAAGGCGCTTGTTCTAAGGGGAGTGAGGATGAGCCAGTCTGAGGAATTCCTCCTCCCCAGTGGGCCAGGGCAGAGTGAACTCACAGGAGGATGGCAGGCGAGGGACTCCGTCATCCAGAGTTCTGCCCTCTCTGTGGCATGAGTGCCGGGGCTGAGCACCCCTGCAGCCCCCCTCTCTTTCTGCACAGGGTCCAAGTTGACCTGCTTGGGGTCAGGCCTCGGCCCAGCCCTCAGCTGTTGAGAACAGGGCCCATTCCTCATAGGCCCTGATGGCAGGACCATGAGCAGCCCATGGGCAGTTCAGGGCGATGCGGGCTTCAGAGCAGACCTGGCTGGGCCCAGCTTGTCCTACATCACCTGCACATTGGGGGCATGGCCTGTGGTCACCCCCTTTACCTTCCTGAGCCTCAGTTTCCCCCTTCAAACAAGGGCAGTGGCAGACGTCATGGGCTAGCCATGGGGCATAGAGAAGATAAGAACACACAGGCTGGGCTGGCTGGGGTAGGCAGAGAGCACTGTCCTGTGCTGGTGGTGGTGGTGTAAATGTTTGTGGAGTGAAAGCTGCTCCTCGGTCCATTGCTGTGTTGATTGAAGATCACTGTGTCATTCCTGAGCACTGAACACATTTGGCCTGGTTAGCTGAATGGGTTTGAAGGCAGGGCAGTTTCCTGCCTGGGTGAGGTTTGCAGTTGGATGATGTCAACAATACCAGGACACAGGTCCAGGGTGTGGACGCTTAGGAGAGGCAGCCCTCTTGGAAGCTGTCTTTAAGGAGCATTGTCAGGAAAGGAATCAGCTCGGGTTGGAGAGACTTGGGGGCGGGACACAGGCTGCCTCTGGCTGCTCACACAGAGCCTGGGTGGGTGGCTTGCATGGAGACTTAGAAGGCATGTTAGCAAATACGCCAGTGATTCTCGTCTGCGAGGAAAACCTCTCCATGGGGCCAGGATCGTGATCCAAAAATAGTTCAAAAAAATGATGAAAGACAGTAGACACAAGTGTCAAGCTCTGCCTCCACATTGACAACATCGGTTGTCCAGGTAGAGTAATGGGGAGACCCAGATCTCAAGGAACCAACTGAAAAAGACCCCCCAGAGATAGTGCTTTACTTATCCTCAATAGGATATTCAGAAATTGGCTGCTCCCTGTGTTGCTGGTGTGTGCGTGAGTGGTCACCTAGGTAGACCCTCATGCCCTCACCCCACACGTGCATGTGGTGGCATCCCAAGGATCCTTAGAGACAGCCAGCATCTCAGCATCTCTGACAGTAAAGGGCGGGGAGGAAGAACCCCTTCCTTTGTTCCCCTAAGTTTCCATGGTGAACAGTGACCATCCTGTGCCTAGATAGACCCTAGTCTGCAATGTGAGGACAGACAGAGATGGGGTGCGGAGCACCTGTCCCGGCAGCCAGCACATACCCCAGACAGGTCTGCTTAGGAAGGAACAGAGAGCCGCTCAGAGTCCGGGCTATTTTGCTGCCTTTGGATTTGGCTTGGGCTGAAAAAATAGGTGCCTTTCCCTGGGGGGAGGTCTAGAATTCAATCAGAGCTGTAACTGTTTATTCTTGGCGTTTCCCATTGATTGTCTGTTTCTAATTGAGCAGCTTTTCAGGGGCATGTGATGGGTGCACACTCCTCTCCACTTGGCTAATAAGAAGTGTGAAGCCTGAGGGTGCTGGACCTCCGTGGGCCAGCGGGGCGTTGGTCTGTGTGGGGAGATGCTGGAGCACGTGGTGAGCAATGGGTCACAGATGAGAGGTGGAGGTGGGGCCCAGCTGCTGATGATGAGCCTCCTAGTCATCCCAGTGTCTGCTAACCCAGAAAAAGGCCATAGCGTCAGTGGCTGTGGTAGGATAACCCTAGGATCCGGGGAAGAAGCAGAGCTGGAGGGGGCAGAAGATTCAGACTCTGTGACGCCAGACCCAAGCCTCTGTCTGCTGTCAGGATGCTTGTGCCTTAGTTGGTTGTTGAATTAATATGGTGTGGTGTTTGGGAAAATTGTGGATGGAATGCTGTTTATAGATCCTGGAAAAAATAATGGCAGCCAACATGAAAATCTTTATTTAGTGAAATAATATAATACCCAGAAAAATAGCAGGAGTTCCTGCTGATGGCCATTTCCCGTTTGAGAGTGCTTATCTTCAGCACAATGATGATAGCGTGCCTCATCAGACCACTGGGTTCTAAGCCTTGGTTGATGCAGCAACATCAAGCTCAGTTCCTCCTGCTCCTGTAGCACCGGTGCCTCCTTGTCACTTTATCTTTTACAAAGAGAGGCTATTATTTTGAACCTCTGCCTCTTAAGTATGCTCTTGAGACGTTTGGTGGTGACTTAAAGGCACAACGACAGCTCTCATTGGGAGCGGATAGCTCGGGCATTGTTGTTAATTGTGCACACTCCGCGTTCTGCACTACCTCAAAGTAGTGAGCAGCTCCGCCGTGTTGGATTTGCCATTTTACCTTGGTCTTGTGGGTTTTCGGCCCTTGCCTGGGCCAGGCGGGATGTGTTCAGGGAGGAAGAGGGGAAGGGTGTGACTTCCCATGAGAGCCACAAGGGAAGTATCCCAGGTGCTGAACTGAGGCTCCTCTCTCCTCCGCAGCACCTCCAGACCTGTCTGATCCTGTGGTCCGGGTGGGTTCACCCACCGGCTTGCACTCTGGGTCAGGGAGCTGGCTCATATTCACAGTCCTGGTCTCTGCCTTCCCTCCTCCTTCCAAAGACCCCCTCAGCTTCTCTAAGAGAAACCCAGCATGCCAAGAACCACATAGGCAGTGGGAGAGGGATGGAAGGATGGGGGCTCTAGTTCTCAACTCCCAGTTGACTTTATGCACCCCCACCTGAGACGGGGTTGGAACACCTCCGACTCTTAATCTTGCCTATGAACTAGAGGCTGCATGGGCTTATGGAGCTGTGTGATGCTTCTGAGGCACCCTCCTTTTTCTTTGCATGCCTGGTAATTTTCAGCTGGTTACTGACTTTGTGAATTTTACTGTTTGAGGTATTGGACATCTTGGCATTCCTGCAGATGTTCTTGAGCTTTGATTTTTGTTAAATTGCTTAGACTCAGTTTGGTGTTTTTGAGGCTCGCTTTGAGGCTTTGTTAGGCAGGGCCAGGGAAGCCTTTCATGTGGGGCTAATTTCTCTACTGCTGAGGCTATAACCTTCTCTACTCCATGCCCCATGACTTATGAGGCTTCCACTCTGGAAGTTGGAAATGAAAACTATTCCTGGCTTTATGTGACCTCAGAGATTGCTCTGCCTTCTCCTTGTGGGCAGTTCTTTCCCCAGTGCTGGATAGTTCCCTCATATGAATGCCCTGATCAGCTCTCAGCTGAAGACTCCAGGGGACTTTCTGCAGATCTCCAGGACTGTCTCTCTCTACAGCTCCCTCCTCTCCAGAACTCTGGCCTGCATCCTGTAGCCACTGTGGCTCCCCAGATCCAGAACTCTGTCTTCTCAATGCAGGGAGAGGCTAGAGAACCCAGAGACAGTAACAGAGCCCATGTTATGGGCTCCGCCGCTCTTGGTGATTGCTGTCCTGTGCGTTCTGCTGTCCCATATCTGCAAATCTTGTTTCACAGATTTGTTTTCAGTGTCTGGAGCAGGAGGGTAAAAATGTTACCCATCATTTCACCTTGGCTAAGCAGATGTTAGCCAGTGATGCTTTAGGAATTTTGAAATAAGGGTCAGAGGTTCCCCAGGGCTCAATCTCTCCAGCTTCAGTGCCAAAGTAATAATCCAGGACTTTTCCTTAGATGAGGAACTGGAAAACGCCTTTAAAGTCATGGTTTACCATGGAGATGGGTTACAACCAAACGCCAAAGCCCGTCCCGTGGTCCCACTCTCCAGGCGAGCCCCTCGCATGTTTGTTTCACTGCTGGTGTTCCCTACACTTCTGCTGACAGATGTGGCCGCTGCTTCTAAGAGTCAGGACACCCTGATGATGCCACATCAGAAGGGATGTGAAAGTATGAAGGAAAAATACTCAGGGATGTCTGCCAGGGAACGCTGGGGAAGATGCAGTTTTGTTTGAAGTTTCATTTTATTTTTCTTGCTTTTCGTCATCCTCTGTTTTTACAAGCTCCTGCCGCAGCGACAGCCTGTGGAAGGGATCCCCCAGCCTTAGTGTGGATGCCAATCCTGCTTGCATTTCTGTGTCAGTGTGGACTGTGCCTCCAGGAACACTTTGTAAAGCCCTCCTGCAGGTGAAGCCCGGTCATTGCCAAGAACACTGGGCAGGAAAGCCAGAAGCGAGGACCAGAAGGCAGGGACCAGGAAGCACCCAATGGCGTGTCTCCTGGAGTGTGATGTTGTGTCTATGTCTGAACAGAGTGGTCCAGGAGGCAAATTCTTAGACCTATCAGGGAGAATAAGCAGTGGTCTTGCCTTCACCAGTAACCCACTGTTTCCCTTACCTTTCAATTGGATTAACGACATAAAGAAATAAATGAGTGTAAAGAAATGAGACAAGACTACATAAGAGGGAGACTCCAGTCGCATTCATGGTTGGGGTCTGTACATTTTCTTGCCGGGATCTGACTGCCAAGGCGTGATCCACACATACATGGGTGTTCATTGTAGTTTGGGTTTGTTTGTCTCCAGCAAAAATAGGTAGGTGCCTAGGTACCGGCTCGCCCTGATTTCTCTCTTCTTAAGTCTTTTTGAGGTCTTCGTGAAATTAACATCTTATAATAGAATATCTTACATTCCATTGCTGCTGGGAGTCTTGTTGCTGTGATTGTTTTGTCTCCCTAAGCCCCTTTGAGGCCAGACCTGTAACTCACAGTTGCTTCCCTTCTGGGTCCTGGCACAGGGTGGGGCCCAGGTGCTAGCTACCCTGTGCACCTGTGCAATGTTATTGGGTTGTGGTTCAGTGTTTTACAGAGCTCATCAAGCATGGGGAATGCCCCACTGACCATCTCTAAATGGGTCTAAGCTGGGAAGCTTGCAGCAGTTCTTGTATATCTGTGGCAAGACAGCTTAGTAAGTTTTTGTGAAGCCCCTTGTCCTCGCTGCCAGCCTCCCTGGGAGCTTCTGTGGGGACAGTGAGTAGCCCTGACCGCAGCCTGAGTGGCTCAGTCATCACTGGGGCCACAGCCCACCTTAAATGTTGTCAGGGCCTGGCGAAGGGGCACATGGAGCCTTGTGCCATAGTTCCTGAGGTTTGATCTCACCCTGCCCACCTTAGCCAGGCAATCCCTGCCCACCAGGTGCCCCCCACCACCTGCATAGGCAGACATCAAACTTTTTAGATTCCTCCCAAGACCTCGATGCTGGAGAGCCAGACACTAATTCAGGGCCTTTGGAGGCCCCAGCAGGGCACGCACTGGTCCTCAGCACCAGTGCACTCAGCCTTGCCAGAAAGAAGCTGCATGCATGTAGACCAGCAGGAGTCGTTGCTGATTGCCGACTGTTTTGGTAACTAAAATGGACTACCTGTGTTGGCTTTAAGCAGTAGTTGTGAAATTGTGTGTCAGGAAGAGGGCTTCCTCCACGGGTCTACCAAGTGGTCTACCACTTGCTGAGTGCAGAGCCTTGTCCTGGTCTGGATGCGACGATGGAAGGCTTAAGTGAGTCATCTCCTGAAGAGACTACTCAGGACTGGAAGTGTGTCAGCCTAGGGGCAGCTGAACACCCAGGTGGCCCTGGAGCAGGCTGCTGGAGCGTCTGGCCTGCAGCCGGTGGAAGTAACTGAGCTCCAATCTTGTGTCCAGACTGCTTCTCCCCTAGGCTCCAGCTGTTTTTCTGCTTCTCCTGTCACTCATATGGACAGTGCACTTTCCACTGAGCAGGTCAATGGCGGGGTTACTTTTACACCTAACTTTAGCTCCTCTCTGGGCCCTGCTGGTCTCAGCACGCACACCCACCCAATCCTACGGAGACAGAGTTCTCACACCTACCCTCCGCAGGGCATCTTGGGCCATCCACGTCCACCTGCCCTCCCTTCAGCGTGGCCATCACGGTGCCCTGACTCAGCTTCCAGTCCCCCGGGCTTCCATGTTCTTGTCTTCCCTTTCACTTCTACCTTTCCTGCTTGAGTAAGTTAGGCTGTGGCTCGCAAACTTCAGTGAGCATTTGAGTGTTGTCAGAAGGCCCCCAGGATGGCTAAATAGTAGAAAGGACAGCTTTACTGGTGACATCAGTTTGCAAGCCAGGAATAGATAGTCTCTGACATGGAACGAAGGTGCTCTCGCTTCGCAGAAGGGGAAGGGCAGTTGGATTTTATGGCTCGCAGGGTCTGTGTTACATAGTAGAATCAGACATGTTTAGCAGGTTTGGGGGAAAGCTGTGCATGTTTATAAGGGGAGCTGAGTGCATGTGCAATGGGCAAACATGTACGTAACACACATCTCATGTCACTTTAGGGTGGGGTTTCAGCATTAAAATGAGGTGGAATTTGGCTCTTTCCATCAACAGGTGAACTATAGGACACAAAGACAGCCTGTGCACAGCCTCCATAAGTTGCTGAAACTGGCTTGAGGTCTGCAGTTGCTTATGAGAAAGGGGTGTTTGTAAGGGCTGTCCTCTGTCCCATCAGAGTTGCAGTGGTCTGGGTTATAAATCAGAGGGGTCTGATAGCACCTATTGTTAGGGAGTTTAGCAAGAGTGTGGCTTTCTTTGTAGCCCAGGAATTTAGGAAGTTACCATGCCAGCACATAGGTAACTTTGTTTCCTTAACCATAGGGTCTGTCTTAGTTGCTGAAGGGACATCTGTTTTGGTCTCAGATAACACAAGTCATTGGGAAAGCTGCAGGCCCAGCCCAGGGGAGAGTCTGCTGCAGTGGGGCTGACTCAGCCTGGGGCTGAGGCTGCCTGCACCAGGCCCACCTGCGCCCAGCCCACTGGCCACCCACCTCCCTCAGCAGCCCACCTCCTGACCCCCGACGTGGTTGGCCTTTCCTCAGTCCTCATCTGCATGAACTCTCCACACTTAGCACATGCCCTTCCGTCTTGCAGCTGTGTCCCCAGGCCTCAGCAATCTTAAAACAGCCCCTCTGTCACCCCACACAGAGCACCCCAGTCGTCTCCAGGACCTTCCTTTGGAACACCGAGCCCTGTCACATCTTCAAATCCTTCTGGTGCATTCTAACATCCGTCTGCCACTGAATCTTCAGAACAGCCTTAGGGGAAGAGGAAGGCTCCATTCTCCTGGCGAGAGATGCAGCCAAGCCCCATCCAGGGCCCGCAGCTGATGAGCAGTTCCATGCCAGAATTTGAAGTTAGCACCCCCAATGTTCTCTGCTTTCAGGATTCCTAGTGCAGAGACATTTGGCTGTTGGATTATGAACCCTGCCCCAATCTGACCTGCAGCTTCTCCTCCCACCATCTCATTCTATGGATTAATGTGTGGACCACGCTCTTCCAGGCCCATGCTCACTTCTTTCCTGAGTGTTCCAATCACAACACTCAGGACTTGAGAGTGTGTCTGAACCTGGAGATCGGCCTTAGGAAGTACCATCCACATTTAAAGAAGTTTGGAGGAAACCGGTGTCAGATTCCATGCAGCCCTGAGGGCGGGCCCTGGCTCCGAGGCACTTGTCCCCAGGCAGACCTTGTGAGTGCTTGCAGCTTTTCAGGCATGGAAGTGAAAGCATACTTAGCTGTGGAGAGATTTGGCACTGGGTGCCTGTAGGATGACAGCAGCACTTCTTGGCTGAGGTCCAGGGCTATGTTTGGTACAGAAGAAACCATGTCTGATTTTTCAGCTGGAACCAAGCACACCCATGTGGAGTCACTGGGGGGTCATGGGGGACCCCAAACATCTTTATTCCAGAGCAGCCCATCTTTGCAGGGAGATCTATCCTACAGGTCTCGGTTGCTGTTGCTGCCTCACCCTTAGTTCTAAGACTTGGCAATGGATTATGACCAAGGTTGACACTCTGGGCCAGTTGGAATCATTCTTCTCTTGTCTTCATGCTTCTCCTCCATGGTACCTTCTGTTAATACTTTCTGTTTCCAATGGATAGGGTGCAGGCTTCTGCGGGCTGAGGCACGTTTAAGATTCGGGTCCGGGAAATGCCCAAACCGTGTGTGTGCCCTGTGGGGTACTTTCTGTAACCACCTGAATTCCACCTGTGATGCAGAATGAGAAACAGCACTGATTCCAGCTTCATTTCGTTGCTGCTCAACCCCCGCAGAGGAGCTCAGAGCTACTCTCTGTTGCTTTTATAAACGCCTCCCAAATCCTTGAAAGTGAGAGCAATTAAGAGTCTTAGTTTGAAGCTCTTGGGACATCAGCCGCATTTTCCAGACGTCCTGTTTTCAGTGATCAGTCCGTCCTTATACCCTTTAAGTAATTTCTCATCCCTCAGCCCCTTCCACCCTACCACCCCGCTGAGTCTCCAGTGTCTGTTAGGTAGAAGGTTCTGATGACAGTCTAGAGGCTTCCTGGCTGCCACAAACAGTTCCTTCAGGGCTGGCCCCTCACAAATGAAGGCAGCCCATCCTTTCCATCTCTGCTTCCATCAGAGGACCACTTGCTCCTCCCACCCTTAGGTTTCTGTTGGTGGCTTAGCCTTTGGTGGAGAGAGCACATCCCACTGCTGGGCAGGGCAGTGCCCTCCCCACAGTTCCTTCCAGGCCGCCTGGGGTCCCACGTTCATCCAGTCCTTAAGCGCCGGCTGCGGGCCAGGCCCCGGGGATGCAGCCTGAATGAAGCAGAGGAGAACCCTGGAGACCACATCTGCCAGGGAGGACACAACAGCGAAGAAAAGCAAGTCTGGAGGGGATTCTACTCTCCGTGGAGAAAGTAACACCAGGAGAGGAGGAAGGACCTGGGAGGAGGGAACTGCAGTTTTCCTGTCAGCGCTCGGGACTTGGCAGGGAAAGCGGCCTTCGGGGAGGGGCAGGGAGGGAGCAGGTCCAGGGGTGGCCTGAGCTGGCCGAGGGACTCTAAGCCAGGGTGACCAAGCAGGCAGGTGGGAGGAGAGGGGTTGGGGTCAGAGGGGCAGTGGGAAAAGGGCTTCAGGGGTTCCCGCAGGTCACTCTGAGGACATTGGCATCTGCTCTGCATTTGGGTCTGGGGTCTCTCTTCCAGGCCCCTTCTCTGCCGAGTGCCCGCGACCTTGTGCCTGTGTCCATAGACTCCTCCTGACCACGTCCTTGTCATTCCTAAGCCCACCCCCGCTTTGCTGAGGTGAACTTTGATAGTGTAAAATGCATGTGGAGGGAGCCTTCTAGACTAAAAGTTTCGAGCTCTGGTCATAGGGAACCCACAGGGTCTTGGGCCCCTGGGGATGTGGGCAGAAGGCCTCAGGGTAACTCCAACCCGATGGTTCCCATGTGGCTTCTGAGGGTCCCACTTCCCCCACAGTTCATTCTCACACAGCCATGGAACCAGGAACCATTTACTTCACTATTGCTTAAAGCCACCAGTGGGGCCCATTGCTCTTAGAATAAATCTAGACTCCTCACTGCAGTCTACCCTGTGGGTCCACCCAGCCTCACACCCTCCCTGCATGCCTGGCCCTGATCGTTGTCCCGGCATGCTGGCCTTCCTCTGTCCCTTCATCTGTCCCTTCCTCTGTCCCTCTGACAGGCCAGACCCCTGCCCACGTTGGCATCAGACAGTCGAGCAGAAGCTCTGGCTCTCTCTGTCACTCCCTGTGCCTCAGTTTCCTCATCTGTGTAATGGGAGTAATAACCTTACCCACCTCCAAGGGTTCTTAGGAGGATTAAATTGGAGACATAGTGAAGTGCACAAAACAGCGCACAAAGGGAGAAGTATGTGTTAGAAATGATTGTTAACTTAATTGTAGTTTGGGGGCCCTGCACAACCCCAGTGTCCCCTGAGTCACCTCCCATGTCACTCTGCAGAGAGCAGGAAGAAGCCCCCATGTCCTGTTGCAAAAATGCATTTTAGTAGCAGCGTGTTGTTTTTGATGCTGCAATATGAATATCCAGTCCTCTTGAAAATACAATTTGGAATAGTCTTAGGTTTCATTCGATGTGAAGGAAACAATCACTTAGAGAATGAGTTTCCTTGAACTGTCCAGGGCAAAGGAGCCTGTTTGAAATAATCAGCGCTTTTGGGAAAGGGACAACCAGTGTATTGCAGGCAGAGCCTGAGGTCAGCTGCTTGAGCATCAGAGGCAGGGAGCACCCCACACAAGCTCTCAGACCTCAAGGGGTTGGCCAAGCCTAAGCCTTTGTGTCCCAGCCAGCCCTGCCAGGGTGGACTGTGTTATGGCTGCAGACTTATCCTGCAGCCACTGGACTGAGGTAGGACCTGGCACCAGAAACAAAAAAAATAAACCCAGGAGGTCAAATTTACACGTCCATAAAGCCTTTTGTATTTAAAAAGAGATGGACGTTTGGTTGAAACTCTGCTCTTCTTCATATTTCTTATTGGTAAATTTGCAACACAGTGCATCTGTTCACCTGTTTTTAAATATGTCCCTTTGGGTTAAGTTGGGGTTTTAGTTGTAGCAATTCTTCATACCCTGTTCTTGGATCCAGCTGAGGGATGAGCTGGAATGGAAGTGCTAGCTTTAGGATTGAAAAATCTCAAAAGAATGTAGATTGGATCTGGAAGCTAAGGAACGTGCATAGACCTTGAAAGAGAGGGTCAAGGCTGCAAAGCTGACCGCCTTGCCTGGAATTGCTCCTTTCAACAGAGCTGGGGAGGGAAGGAGGAAGTGACCCAGGCTTCCGGCCTTCTCCCCAGTCCCTGAGGATGGCCTAGCCCCTGTGGATCTCCCTATCCGTTAGAGACGCATATGGAGCATGTACAGGTGACATTGTGTGGCTTCTGCAATTTGCTGGAAGCAGCAGGGAAGGTCAGGCCGTACATGAAGCCAAAAGGACCAAACACCAGGGGGCCGCTATGACTGTTACAAGAAGTTTAAAAAAAAAAAAAAAAACACTGTGGCTGCTTGTGTGGCAAGTGCAGTTATAAACAATAGCTCAGCAGGCGGGCTGTCCCTCAAACAACTTTATTTACAAAAACCAGCGTTAGCTGGATCTTGGGCCTTGGTTTGCGGCCCTTGAGTGTGAGTCCTCTACCCACCTCTCTGTGTTTCTGCTTCCCTTCTGTTTGGGCCCGGCTAATCCCTACCACTTTCTGAGCTCTTAGAGCTTATCCTAGGGGCAGCCCCAGGATCCTGGCATCTCCCTCAGGTGTCAGTCCAGGTCTGTGTCCCCCTCAGCTGGTGGCTGTCACCTAGGGCTGGAAACAAAACTGCCCAAGGAAGAGGAAACCTTTGCTAGACCTTGCCTGAAACATCATGCTCTTAAAAAATGACTGCATTCTCACAAAACCAAAGACACCAAAGGCTCTTTAGGGCACCTCACGCTTTGTACAAAATCAAAAAAAATCTGTCACTGCCGCAGCTCAGGAGGTCTCCCCATAGGTCGATGGAGACTCCAGCCTAATCTGCTTTTTTGTTTCTAATGACTTTTTCTGATTATAAAAATAATACCTGGCTATTGCTCAAAATAAGAAAATTCAGAAAAGTGTAAAGAAGAAAATTAAAATCACCCATAATCCTACCAGTAAATATGAATATATGTGTAGAGAAAGAACGAGGTGAAACGTTGTTAGCATATTGTTCTGTTTCTTTTATTCTTTTCTATGTATAAATTTACATATATTTTGGACAAATTTGAGATTGCGCTGTATCAGTATTTCTGCCTGGCTTTTCTCATTAAATTGTGAGAATATTCTCATAACATGATTGCAGTAGCTTCCAAGTGCCTCACCTGTGCAACCTTTTCTCAGCGCCAGGGCCGGGGGATCCTGTTGTGTCCCTGTGCTGCTGTAGAGCCCTCCGGTTCCCCATCTCAGGGGAGATCCAGGACCTCCCAGGGGCCCAGAAGCTTCAGCACTAGTTGACCCCATCACCCCCACCTTATTTCTGCCCATGTGTCTGCTCCAGCCACTCTGGCCTTCTTGCTTTTCCTCAGACACTCCAGCCAGCTGCTGCCACAGGGCCTTTGCACATGCTGTTCCCACCTGCCCATCACCCTTCCCCAGATGTGATGGGGCCAGCTCCCTCCCACATCTCCTCAAGGTCTTGGCTCACAGGTCAGTTTCCCTGTGAAGCCCATCTGGGCCCCCTATTTAACCTGCAGCCCCTCAGCATATCCTCCTCTCATACTTTTTCCTCCATGTACTTCTCACCATTCAACGTCCTCTATGTAATGAAATATTCACTTATTCCTTGTCTGGGTATCTGGGAGAGCAGGGGTTTTGTCTGTATTTATTTCACAGTGCTAAGCAGAGCCCCTGGCCTGCAGTAGGTGCCCAATTCCACCTTCTTCTTCCAAAGCAACAGCCCCAGATGGTTGGGGGGGGGGTCTCCTCCCCCGGCCCATCCACCCGCACACGGCCCTTCCTGACTCGTTCCACTGCTCCCACACTGGCCCAGATTCCCAACCATGCTGAGGCTCCCCACACCAATTCCAGGGACTCCTCGGTCCCTGTTCAGGAGTCGACAGAAGCTTTGTGTCCATCCTGACTCCTGTTCAGCCCTCACAGCCTGAACTCCTTTAGACAACTCTTGACCCCTGTGCACACACATGCACACACATTCACCATCCTACGCCTGCCCACGCCTCTCCATGACCTTGAAATACTTAGGTCACTTATGTCCTTTTGGTTGAAATACTTTGTCACTTTCTATGGTTATGTCCTGTCTGTAACCATAGTAACTGAGTTGTCTTCCCCTCTCAGCCAAGCCTTTCTCTAGTAGCACTTTCATTCAATTTTTCACTGATGAGTTAGTTGCAGCATGCCTGTTCTTAAGCTCCTTTGTGAACATGGAACACATCCTAAAGAAAAGTTCTTGCTGTGAAAAAGCTCCACCTGCCACAGATTGCCTGGCAGAGCTCACAACCAGCAGCAGGTACTCAGTGAGTGCTGAGTGAGGCTTGGACTCATGCAAGATCCACCACCCTCCCCAGCCAGGCCCCCCAGGTACTCTCAGCTGCTGACCCTGTGTCTGAAGTGTGATGTGAGTTACAGCTCTGTAGAGGGGTGAGAAGTGCTGAGCAGTGTTTAGAATATACTCAACAAACAGCCACTGCTGCATGCACATGCAAATGCTAGCTGCATTCATTCAAACACCTATGCATGGAATAGGTGTTTATCGAGCATGTACTTTGCCCCCAGCACTAAACATTTGAAGCATCTGTGAAATGAGACCCCTGCAAGAGGATGAAGTAGGCTCTAATCCTCAGACCTCCAAGGATCAGCTGTGACATCTTGATCTGATCACTTTGGCTTTGTTCTCCTAGGGTTGCTCTGGGATGTCAGAGAGAGACTAGAGAGAAGGGGGTATAGAGACGGGAGGGAAGGAGGAAATGCTTGCCACCTGGAGGCTTTCTAGGTAATAGAGATTAGTGGTGAGGAGGTAGCAGGTGAGAACATGAGGGCTGCAGTGTGCAGCCACCACGATAGTCTGGCTGATGTCCTGTAAACCACAGCCCAATGCACCATCCCTCCAGCTACACCAGGAGCCCATCACATGCAGCATCATAGGCCCAAGGCCACACAAGCCAGGGTAAGTTCAGGTGCCACTCACCAACCTTGGGAGCTGGTTTTCTGTCCCAGAGAAGCTGCACATAGAACACAGGTGAGCGTACCTGCAGACACACAGACATCCAGTCCCAGCCCCAGGTGCCTGTGGGTTTTGAGTCAGCTGTGAGGGCCCCTCCTGGTCCTCAGCAAGAGGGGCAAGCGTGGGCCAGGCCCCGCTCCTTGTGCATCAGGTTCACACCCTGTGCAAACAGGAGGAAGAGGGCCTTTTATTTCTACTGGAGGCAATGTCTGTCATCTCCCCTGGGTGCCGACAGCTTTCTGTCTTTGTGGGTGTGACCCACAGTGACACTGCATTTGACATCTTGACCGAGGGCATACCGCATGAGTGTGTGAGCCTAGAGAAATGGTCTGTGAAGCTACTTCCATACCACATGGACGCATGCCAATATTTATTCTATTCCGTTTCTTAAAAAGGCCGGTCAGGACCCAATCAATGGATCGTTTGAAAACCACTGCTCTAAGCCAGAGATCTCCAAGGTAGGGTGCATGCCACTCTGTGCAAAGAAGACATGAGAAATTCTACTCAAACTTACTGAAATTTTAACTTGTTAGTTTTAATTTCTATTTTGTGTATGGCTATTTTATATATTTTTGGTAATCAAATATATTATTTGGTCCACTAGATAAATACACCAAAAGATACACATTACATATGTATAATGCGAGTGATCATTGGTACATCAGAATATAAATGCAGAAATGCTTCCCTGATGGGGGTGCACTGTCAGAGAACAGGTCAGAGCCCACCTGCCTGGGCTGTGGCTGGGCCGGCCCTGGGAGCTCTTTGGGTGGAGCGGCCATCTGCCTTCTCCTGAATCTGTGCCAGCCACTCCTCTTGCTCCCCTTGTTCCTCCTCACCCACCTAAGATCTGCGATTTCTAAGGCAGAAGCGCCCTGGGAAATTAATCACTTTGGTCCTCAGGTTAAAAATGGCCAGAAATCCACGTGCAGCACACACCCCACCGGAGGGACTCGCCCAGGATTTAAGTGTCTACCGGAGGCCATGCGGGTCCCCACCTGCTGCCAAGGGTCTGAGGTCTCTTCACTGTCCCAACAGAGAGACTTCCCTTGTGGCAGTTCTTGGAGAAAGTGGAGAATAAGTGATGCCCTTCACACACTTCTTTGCCCATAAACTACCAGTTTATCTCCTTTTAGGTTCATCTTCAGGTAAAATTATCACAGGGTCCTTATCCCAGTCTGAAAACTTCTAATCAGCGGTCCTTCTGCTCACAGGACACCCCTGCTGAGGGGCTAATCAGGCCGTTCTGCTGCTCCTGGTACTTTTATGGACTTGGACACATTCCTAGCAAATGAGTGAAATTTTCTGTTTTCTTATTTAGTCCTGGAATCTTCCTTCTGGCAGGTCTTAATACTGAAATGACAATGTAGATTGCCAGTCCAGGAGGGACACATCACCCAATATCAAGAGGTTAAACTCGAAGCAGGTGGAGCCTCATTTCCCCGTGAGGACTAGGGTGGGATCCAGGGAGGAAGAAGGGTGACATAACTATGACAAAGGTGCAAGTGGGGGTGCGGTCGGCATTTCTGGTTCTGCTGGCGAGACCCATGGACTCTGGGATGAGGAAGGAGGCATTGACAGCCGCAGGGCAGCTGGAGGTTCTTTGGCAGATCTTGGTTTTGAGGGCTGGCTTGTGGGGCCTCACAGGGGCGGTCGCTTCCCGGGCTACCCACTATGAGATGAGCCTGGCCCAGGGTGTGCAGATTCATGTGCCACATCATAGGGCACTGGCAGAGGGCGGCCCCTGAATTCTCTAGAGGGTCCCGGCATGAATGCTGCTGTGGGCTGTGTGACAGCTGGGGTAGGCGGGCAGGTTCCACAAACTGATCTGCAGCTTGGCCAACTGCCCCCAAGCAGCTAGCACCCAGAGGCGGACAAGGTGGACGGGTGCCACCTGCCTCTCATGGGACCAGCCTGCACCTGACAGGGACAGGGTTTTGTCCAGTCCATAAGAGGGGGCTGAAATGAAAACCATTCGCTCCGACTCCCTCCTCAGATTTTTAAATGTCAACTCTTCCAAAAGCCTTGCCTGTACTCAGGCTTTACGTGCAAAATTAGGCAGCCATTTGTGCAGTGCAGGTCTGCACCTGCGTTTTAAACTTCAGTTATCCGAATAGTCACCTCAGCTTGCCAGCCCATTGGGCAGCCCGACAGCAGCCTGACCTGTATGCTTCAGCCATTACAGGACGGGGACCAGGGCTAGAATGCAAACACCAAGAGGACAGGATGGGAAAGGCACATCTGCCATGTGCTGGAGGGATGCAGGTCACCCACAGGCTCGGGGAGGGGTGCGGGTCACCCATGGGCTCGGGCCTTCACTCTGGCAGGGCCGGCGGCCTCACACAGGTCTCCAGCACACTCCTGCAGTGCTCTAGTGTTGCTCAGCCTCTGTCAAACTAACTTCAAGGGGGGAATCTCCTCCAGGGTAGAAGCCTCTCCCATAGCAGGTGTGTGGCCACGGCTTGTGGCCGGGCAGGGAGCATCAGTCCAGAGTGCTGGCACCAGTGTTTTACAGATGCCTAGGGTTCGATGTCCCCAGGAAATAAGAGTTTGGCATTGTCCACAGGCCTCTGAGGCCACTACTTCTGTGAATAAAGGGAAGGGAACAGAACGGCCACCAACCCTTGGTAACTATAGCTGGCATCTGTCCCATATGAGAATTTGCCTGACCCACTTTTCATGTCATTTTCAACCTCCTAAAAATATGGTCTTCTTTTTTTTTTAATTAAGACAGGGTCTTACTCTGTCACCCAGGCTGAAGTGCAGTGGCGTGACCTCTCAGGCTCAAGCGATCCTCCCACCTCAGCCTCCTGAGTAGCCAGGACCACAGGTGCATGCCACCACGCCCAGCTAATTTTAATTTTTTACAGAGACTGGGTCTCACTATATTACCCAGGCTGATCTCGAACTCCTGGACTCAAGCAGTCAGCCTGCCTCGGCCTCCCAAAGTGTTGAGTTTACAAACATGAGCCACTGTGCCTAGCCCAAAAAGGCCTGATTTTTAAAGACCCACATTTGAATCTCTAAAATGTACCCAACCCATTCCAATAGTCAAGGGCATAGGTATACCTCAGTGAATATATTCTTTTTTTTACATCAAGATGTAGCAAGAGGGGAAGGGCCTCCTCGTACTCTGCAGTGACGAGGGGATGGCAGCAGATTCAATGAGACATCTCAGAAAAGGGGTGAGCAGTAGCAATGGTGCTGCTTGTTCACTGTGTAACTTGGAACAGGTCACTTAACCTCTCTGAGCCTCAGTTTCCTTATCTGTAAAATGGCCACATTGCTGTCACCTCGTGGTGGATATAAGGGTCTGATGGGCACATGTGGGGATGAAGGTAAAGTCGGCTTGGCCAGGGGTGGTCACCAGGCCCCTTGCTTCTTCTTTTTTTTTTTGGAGACGGAGTCTCGCACTGTTGCCCAGGCTGAGTGCAGTGGCGTGATCTTGGCTCACTGCAAGCTCAAGCTCCGCCTCGTGGGTTCACGCCAGCCGTTCTCCTGCCTCAGCCTCCGGAGTAGCTGGGACTACAGGCGCCTGCCACCACGCCCGGCTAATTTTTTTTTTCAGTAGAGATGGGGTTTCACCGTGTTAGCCAGGATGGTCTTGATCTCCTGACCTTGTGATCCGCCCACCTCAGCCTCCCAAAGTGCTGAGATTACAGGCGTCAGCCACCACGCACGGCCCCCTGGCTTCTTACTAGCTTAGTCACTGGCAAAGAGTCCCTGGCTTTGGAAGCCTTTCTCCTTAAAGGCTCTTGGAATGTTCCACACACAACTCTTCAGGATGAGGGGTGCCTATGAGGAGGGCGAAGGAACCAGTGTCAAAGGGAATCCTTCCCTCTCCACCGCCCCTGCTTAGTCTCCTGAAGAATGACGTGTTTTACAACTGGCAAGTGTTGATCGAAGTCCAGCCCAGCCCAGCCATCTTGCCTGCCCGTCTCAGTGAGGGGAAGCTCCTGAGATGTCTCCCAACAAAAGCTTCAGGCAGGCAAAGGCCATTCTTCATCTGCTCCTGAGTTTTTGAAGCTTTAAGGCCAGCAACCAGCCTTGGTGGCCTCTGCCGCACTCAGCCATGAGAGTGGGAGCTTCAGGGTAAGGCGAACGCCCCACAGGAGTCTCTGGAACATGTGAGTCTGGTCCATGGAGGGTTCTCAGGGAGGGTGCTGCCATTGGGAAGCCGAGCTTGCAAACAGTGTTCTAGAAGCTTGCTACAACAATGGCATCTGCAAAGAACAGCATCGTCGTCTCTTGGGAGCTGGCAGAAATGCAGAAACTTGGCAACAGCCCACACCTATTGAGCCGGAGTTGGCCTCTGTGAAGGATCCCCAGGTCGTTCAGTGCACACTGAAATAGAAACTCTTTCAGAGCAGGTCTTTGAGCAGAGCCCAGGACACAGTAGGTGCTCAGTCCGTTTTGTTTTCCGAATGGTGCATCCATGAAAAGAGTCATGTGTTGCCTTCTTGTTAAACTGTGAGCACTTGCCCTCCTGCTTGCACCCTTGGCTTCCTGGATTTCCACCAAGATGTGGGTTTCAGGACACATTCCCTCCCTTGTATCGCGCTCCCAAGCCCTGTCGCTCAGTGCTGAGGTTGCTCTTCCTCCACTCTGGGTCAGTGCAGGGGCCCAGGGGGACACAACTACTTTGCGCTGTTTTTCTTTTGAAGCTGGGCACCTCCCACACCACTGCTCTTCTTTTCATGTTACAGCTGCTGTCCTCCCTCATGACTGGCTTGCCAATCTTACTCCTTTTTTAAGAAAAAAAAAACAAAGTCTCCTCAGTCAGACCCAGGGATTTGGGGTGACTATACTCTGGCGCTGTCGTGGACCCAGCGCTGAAATTCCAGGGCTGGCCGCACCTCCCCACCGGAGTCAGGAGACCCATGGCTCCAGGAGCTGCGGGGAGAGAGTCTTCTCTATTCAACCCAGCCCCACCCTCGGACGCAGCCACAAGGCTAAAGAGCACTCTAAACCAAGAGTCCATTCTGTAGAACTGTTTAAAGGATGGATGGAAGAAACTCTTCAGTTTTTCTTACCTTTCTAGACAGTTCTGTGGTTGGAAAGTGGTTGTGGAAGAAAATCACATCTAACCTAAGAAAGCTGGGGAGACAAAGTGTTGGGAGGGGCTTTGCTGAGCCAGCAGGCAGCCACTCGAGGTCACAGAGACCATAGGGTGGTAAGCGGGGTCCCCTGTGGGATGGTGAGCCCTGGCCCAACCTTTACTGTCCCATGGACAAGACTGCACCATCCCCTTGAGCTAATCTCCCACCCCATCCGGTTTCATGTTCCCAAGAGCATCGGACTAGGGGGTGGCCCCTGCAGAGGGGCCCCAGAACAGGGGCAGGCTCTGGGAAGGGCACACACCTGCACAGGTACCAGGAGCAGTCCTCATGATGAATGGATAAAGTTACCGAGATGTTTAAAATATTGATGTTATCATTTTGTTTCCATTTTGTATGGAAGTTGAAAATGTGTTCTCTTTCCATTAAAAAACATGAAAAGTTTAGTTATTGGGTGCATTGGTTATGTGTGTGCACATCTATGTAGGAGGGGGACGTCCACCTGATAAACAAGGTGACGCCACATGCAGATAGAGCCACTGGAGTCCTTTCCTTTCCAGATGGCACCTTGGTGGGAAGGGCTGCACCCTCAGGCCGAATCCACACCACATGGGAGGGCAGAGCCACCTGGCTTCCCTGCAGCATGGAGGCCTGTGCGCGAGACGAGTCTGCACCAACTTGCAGAGTGAGGAGCTGGGAAAGTGTGGCTGCTCCTAATGGGTGCACGGGAGCCGCCGTCCCGCACAGGCACTGGCAGGCGAGGGCATCCTGTGACCGTGGGCCCACAAGGATGTGTGTGGCCGGTGAGGGTCCTTCTGATTGGGATGGCACCGGTGCCAAATTCAGGCCCAGCTTTATGACGTGACTAATTGGAGCTTGTTGTGAAGACAATGAAAACTTCCCCAGATGGAGAGTTTTGCCCCAGGATCAAGTCACAGATCTGTAGCAGTGCCTGGGACTCCGCAGGCAGGCCAGTGCGTGCGCTACTCGCATGCCTGTGTGAGTATGGCAAGCCTGGTCCCCAGTGGTGGGTGGAAAATGACTCCTCAGTCCCATGTGTGTAGAGATGCATCTGCCTGTTGAGGCCCTTCGGGTTAGTCCACTCTGGGCTTTCAGAACGAAGACTGACAGGGCAGGAGGAAAGGGGTCCATGGAGAAGCCCCTTGGCTCAGAAGCAGAGATGAGTCAACAGGATACAGCCTAACCCCTCCTCTTCCTGGGAGACCCCTCGGCAGCGGTTCGCCTGCCTGGCTGCTGCAGGGATGCTGGGGATGCTGAAGCTTTGGATGAGGCATTGAGGACTTTCTTCTTTGAGGCAGGAGCTCTTACTTCTCCTGCCGTCTGTTGAAGCTGCCTATCTTGGTGGAAGCTTTTTGCCTTCACTTTCAGCACCGGCCTTCGGCTGGGGTTGCTAAGGCATGAGGGATGCATGCTGTCTCCCCACCCTCACTCTCTGTCTCCGCCGTGAAGGCACAGTGCAGTCACTTGTGAGCAGCCTCTCGGGGACACGTGCTGGTGGCCGCCCAGTGCTCAGTGACCTGTGGCACTGCTGAGGGGCCAGGCACTGTGCTTCTGGCTGCTGTGTCTCCTGATGAGAATAGGGAGCCTGGAAATCCATGCTGACATTCAGATCAGGGCCCCATCTCTTCTGGACTTGCATACAACAACCTGTTGGTGCCTGGATTTCCTGATTTTGAAAACAGTTTTCAGTACCAACTCAAAAGGGTCACAGGAGGACTAAGTGAAACACTCCAGGCCTGTTCCTTTGGGGAGAAGGGAATCATTTGAGCCCAGCCTCAGCATTATTGCTGCCATGATTGCTGTGTAATGATGTCCCAAGTGCAGGCGCGTGGCAGGTGTGTTTAGAACGTGCTCCGATGCCAGTGAGTGAGACGAATGGAGGACTGCGCTCACTGTGCCCTGCTGCTGTGTCTTCCTCTATACCCTGTCAAGTGGGCAGAGAACACTGGGGTCCAGAAAGCTGGCTCCCAGGTATTTGGAGAGCCCCACGGAGGGCTGTGGGAGGGAACAGGCACTGGTTTGTTCTCTGAGTAGCACTTAGGAGGAAGCAAATGAATACAGCCATAAAATAGAGCAAAACAGCTGAGCCTGGTTGGAGGAAACATTTCAAAGGAAATAACCCTAGATTTAGATCACACATGTTGGAGCCCGGAGTGAGGTTTTTCATAACCTCCCTCTGAAAGGCAGATATTCGTAGTGGAAATGCTGACAGCCATGTGCCTGGGCCGGGTCTGAAGGCAGCTGGAACCTGCAGCCACCCTGCTCCTGTGATCTGCTCGGCCTGCACGGAGCAGCCCTGTGATGGGGCCACCCTTTATCATGCCACTTAAACTCAGCAGGGCTTCTGGGTTTTTTGTTTTTGTTTTTTTAACTCATCAAGGTGCTACCAGCTGCAAATGCTAGTTCTGAATCTGGGTGAGACCTGGTGTTTCCCTTCACTGATTGACAGCATTGAGGGGAATCTCCTAGACCAGGCTGACGTCAGACTTGACTCCTGGTAGGTGTGGGGGACAGGCCCCTCCTGGCACCTGCGGGCCTCACATGCAAGGGCTTAGCCTATATCCTTAGCCTATGCCAAGCTTACACCCATGGCTGGCCACAGAGCGGGCGTGACTCTGCCCCAGGTAGCCTGCACTTCCATAGCGGCTCACATGGTCCTTCACTTGCCTGCTGTGGTTCCCACCTTCGTGGATCTCACTGACTCACTGCCTCTCTCCTCTTCCTTTCTGAATCCTGTACGTCCTTCCTGACCACTGCTGAGTCCCGTTTTTCCCATGAAGGCTTCAGAATGCCCCCCGGTGGCCTACCTGCAGTTTTCGGAAAGCCCTTTGGCCACTGGCCTAGGTGCCTCTGTGGTGCCCTACAGCACAGAGCCCAGTTGTGCTGCTGCAGAGACCCTGTAGGCCCCAAACCCAAAACAGTACCCTGGCAGACAGAATGTGCCAGGCCTGCACACAACCACTCCACCCTGCTCAGTTTCCGCTTGGTGAGGAGAAAACTCAGAGACAGCTCCCGCTTCCTCCTGCCCTGAGCTCTGTGCTCCTCCAGGGAGATCTGCCCAGAGGGCAGCTGGCATTTACTCAGTTTTTTTCTGCTACTTCTGGAAAGGTGAGGGAGAAAGAGTGGAAACTCACAGGCATTTACCCAGCCTGATGGCATTTGCCTAACCCAGCTTGTAGCAATCATCCCATGATGATTCTAGTATCATAGTTTCTTCCCAGCCACCTCTGTGTACACAATAAAGAGTTCCCTCTGCTTTATTCTTTCAAATCACTGTGAGCTCCCCATATAGGTGTGCACTTAGGCTGAGCCAAGTACAGCCTAAGAAGGAAGGGGCTCCATTGGGCACCCAAGTGGGAAACTTCCTCCAGGTATAGGATCAGGGGACACTGTCACTCACAGATGGTGAACTGACCTAACTGAGGCCCTGAGGACCAGCCCAGGGAGCCTTTTCTCACAGCTGGTACCTCCCCAGGCTGTGTAATTCACGGACCTTCCCCCAGTGGGTGTGCCTGGGCTGCCCCTCCCAGCCCCTCCAGGTGATGCCGCAGCCCTGAGAGGAAGGATGTGGCTTAGCCGGCCAGGAGGGTTTATTCCCCGGTTGCTCATGGACTTGAACCTTCATGCCACCTTTCCTGATAACCACCACCCAGGATCAGACTTTCGTCAAACTCTTCACTGCGCACAACGCCTGCTATCTTGTAGAACAATGGGAGATGTGGGAAGGAGTCGTGTCCTGAGACCTCGCCAAATCACTCAAGATGACAGATTATTGACACCTCCTGGGGTATGCTCAGGCCAGCTTCTGGGGCTTGACAGCCTGAGTGGAGGCGGTTACTGAAAAGAGCTTCTGTGGTTTATGCTGACCAGAGCAGACTCCCCTGCCACAGCCGGTCACCAGCCATTAGAAAGTGCATTCCAGTCACATGCTTTGAAATCTCCTCCGGGGACCTGCAGTGCTCAGGGCAGGCTGGGAACCTGCTGTCATGGAGCATGCAGGGCCAGCCCACGTCTTCTGATATGGGGCTTCCTTCCCATCTTGTCCCTAGTCCCTCACTGTCTGCAAGGCGGCACCGTGCATCCCAGAAATGGCCAGCAGTTGAAAAGATTGGGGCGACAAGGTAGTGGCCCTTGGAAAACTCTTCTTTCTCTATGAGTCCCCTCTCTCCATCATGGCTCCTGGGGTTTTTGAGCTGCTCCAAAAACCTTTTCAATAAAACCTATGCCACCCCACCAGCCTCTTCTGTGTTTTCCCTGCAGTCTGACGGATTTGAATGCATTGCCAGTTTGTGAATGGAAATGTGGCCTGGAGAGTGCAGAGGGCTGGTGTGGCATGTGACCATGATTTAATGCAGCCTCCCCTCTCCCCTTTCTCACTCAGCTCAATGACTCCGCCAAGCAGCTCATTGAGATGGACAAGCCATGCCCAGCCGCTGCATCCAGCTGCAATGCCTCCCTGCCCTCTGACTCCGGCGCTGTGGCCAGCGTGGCCCCAAGTCCCACTTTAAGCAGCTCAGGGGCGGTCAGTGCCTTTCAGCGGCGTGTGGATGGCAAGAAGAACACCAAGAAACGCCACTCCTTCACCGCGCTCAGTGTGACGCACAGATCCTCCCAGGCTGCCAGCCACAGGCATTCCATGGAAATTAGTGCTCCAGTGTTGATCAGCTCCAGCGATCCCCGAGCCGCGGCCAGGATTGGAGACCTTGCTCATCTGTCGTGCGCTGCTCCCACCCAGGTAACATCCCGCGGGCCAGGGCAGGCATCCCTGGGTTCTCTGGGGTTCTATCCTCAGCTCCGTGTTCAGTGTCCCCCGTTCCTCAACTAGCATGGAGGCCGCCCCAGAACTGCCTTTTGGGGTTGAGTGGGGTTTGCCCTTTGCTGCCTGGCACTGGGGCCCCCCTAGAAGCGTGGAGAATGGTGAGTGTGCCCTCCCTGGTTCAGAAGATGGCCTCGTGGTGTGTGAGCTGATTTTCAGTGGTCCAGGGAATGTCTGAGTAACACCCACCCGCCTCATGACAAGCTTTTCCCCGTGTCAGTCGGCTTCCAGATGTCTGATTATGTCCTGGAAGAGTCTTGGCTTAGTGCTAGCATATTTTTACCATCTCTGCAATGTTTGCTAATTTCCCTTTCAAGAGAAAGAAGGAGTCAGAGCTCAGAATCAGAATCAACTACATTGTTGAGTACTTTCGTTACTGTTGTTTCTACAGATACCTTCTATTTCTAGACTCCATTTCCACTAGTTTTTTTTTTTTGTAAATTGAAGTAACCAAAGCAAAGTATTTAAAGGCTGGGCACAGTGGCTCATGCCTGTAATCCTGGGGCTTTGGGAGGCCGAGGCGGGAGGATTGCTTGAGGCCAAGAGTTCAAGATCAGCTTGGGCAAGACCCTGTCTCTACAAGCAACCAATCAGTCAATCAATAAAATAAAATAAAATGATTAAAAAAATTTTTAAATAATGAACAATATTTAGTAAGTACTTGCCTGTAGCTCTGACAAGACCCCTCACAGTGGCATGCACAGGGCAGGAGTTGGGCAAGTTTCCCCTTTATGAATGCAGAGACTGCAGCAGGAGATGGAAGGGGCTTTCCCAGTGCCCGGCAGGGTGACCCTGCAGCCACACTCCTGTGCCATTGTTGTCTGACCTTCTGCAGGACTGTGGCAGATGTCCATGGGTGAGCCCAAGGTGCCCACACAATGGTGCCCACTCCATTTCTCCCTGCGCTGCAGCCTTCCACCCAGCGGCCCACCCGCCACCACGCTCCACATTCCTTCCAGAGTCCCTCTGGCTGCCCTGGACAGGCCTCAGAGCAAGGGCGCTGATCTGCGGGGAATCATGGGGCAGACACCAATAAGCAACTGGCTGGGAAGAACTGTCTTATTCAAAATCACAATGAACTCAGACAACTTTACACACAGAATTGTCTTAAAAATTGCTGAGCTTCTGGAGAAGGGCCATGTAATCTAGATGTGCCACATCAGCCTAGAAATGCCCCCTACACACACTTGCACACATGCACGCACACACACACATATTACATGGACACTTGAGCACATGCCCGCCCGCACATATGCACTCCCACGCACATGTGCACTCATACACATGGCACACACATATACCTGCACACCCACACATGTGCACTTACATACACCGCCATCCACATGCACACCTACACATATACACATGCACGCACATATACACATATACACCTGTGCACATATGTGCACTTATATGCACCCCTTCCACATGCACACACATACACATGTGCACACACATGCGTACAGGTGCATTTACACATACACCCCTCCAGGTGCACACCTGCAGATACACATGCACACACACGTACGTATACACATACACACCTGTGCGCACACACACACACACTTGTGAACTTATATGCGTCCCTTCCACATACACACCCACACATACACCCGTGCACACATGTAGACATTTATACATGCGCACACACACATTGGTGGATACACACCTGCACGCATATGTGTGCACACACACAAACGCTGGCTCTCATCGGCGGCTGAGGCTGAGGTCTGGAATGGGTGCTGTAGTGTCTGGAGCTGTAACCGTGCAGTCATCTGCCCCCATGGTTACCCCACTGCCTGGATGCTCCCACAGCCTGTGCCTGGGAGCCATATTCCCCAGAGAACAGCCATTGGGGCTGCTAGTGCATTTTCTGTAAGGGGAAAAGCATAACCTTGGTCCCAACCCTAACTCCACTCCTGACCTGGGCTAAATTCTTCTTGAGCACCTCCTATTTGGAAATTCCTGGGAGGGGCATGGTGACCCAGTGGCGGACCAGTGTGGCTGTGCTCCCTGTGTGTGTGCACATCTGGGGGGTAAAGCCACAAGCAGTGGCTCTTGGAATAGTCTTGCTTATTCTTGCTCAAACATCCTTGACACCGGGCAGGTTGTCATGGTGGTGCTAAGACTGGGGGGAGCTCACCCTGTTTGTCACCAATGACAAAGTGTGATAACTTTGGCCCAGAGCTGGGGTCCCTCCTTGGCAACCTGAGCAACTGTTGGCGATGTGAACAGTCGAAAGTTGTGTTGTGAAACAAATTTGGCTCAAAGGGAAGTTGCAGCAGGTTTGAGGGGTACCCCTAAGAAGAGGACTGAGGAGCAGCGGCCTGGCCCTTGTGGACCACTTGGGTAGGTCGTTTGTCTCCTTCCTCCTAGAAGAGCAAAGGCCACTCTCACTGTAGTCAGGGACCCCCATCAACCAGAGGGAGGGCCCTTCTTCCTGATCACCAGCCAGAGATGGCCCTGGAACTGCCAGGCCAGTGCCTATCCTGACAAGTATCTGGCCTGTGTCCTGTAATTTGTGAGTAATATGTCCAAAGCTGCCCTCGGTGTTCCTTGGAGTTCTAAAAAAGGAGCCCACAGGGCCCATGACTTTGCAAAGCTGCTGCTGTGTCCCAAGAGGGCCAGGGGCATCTTCTCTGCCACTTTCCCACAGGCCCCTGAGATGTGGGCTCAGCACACACAGGTACAGGATCCGGTTTCCTCTCCTTCCTGCATCCTCACCTGCACCAGCCTCTCATGTTGCCATGGCCTCCGTGTTAAAACAAGCAGAGGGAACCTTTCTAAGCTCTCTGCAGTCTGATGTCTATTGGGGCTGGAAGGGAACAGATGTTTCTATTAATTTGCATACTACCTGGCTCCACAGGGATTAGAATTAGGGATTGACGGGACTGGGATCCTGGGATCCATTTTCCAGCAGTTCGACTTGAAGCGAAAGTCATGGCCAGGCTACTGACTTTAGTTTGGGTCACCTCAAAGGGCAAGAGGTCAAATAAAGCAGTTGCCGCCTGTCTCCCTGTCCTGATTTAATCGAGCTGCCGGGAGACAGAAGGGGCACCTGGTGCAGGTGTGAGCTGTGTATGCTGCCCCTGCGGGCTCCAGTGTGCTGCTATGGTCTGGATGTGCCCAGAGACCAAGCCCTCCCGGTCTGCCCCTGCTCTGCACTGCCTTCCTGGTTCCTACCACCTTGCTGGCCATGTGCGTCTGACCAGGAAGTGCCTGGCCTGAGGACTGGCCCATGGCAGCCAAGGCGAGCCAGACTCAGGTCCTGCTGTGACCACAGTGCTGCAGGGATTCTCTTCCCCACCATGCTGGCCACAGCCCAGGAGAGGGAGCCCAGGCCCAGGATTCTGTGGTCAGTGGGTGGCACTTCGGCTTTGATCATCGGCTTGGAGAAATTCAGCATTGCTGTGTCATGGGCTCATCCACAAACAGAGGCCCCTCACATGCCAGCACTGCCATCGTGGGAAACGTGGAGTGGACAGAGCAGGAAGGCCCGCAGCCCCAGGCTCCTCGGTGCCTACAGCATGGGGCAGTGCTGGCCCCAGCAAGGGCCACTGCAGCAGCCAGTCCCCTGCCTCTCACAGTCCCCTCGGGACCCAGTGTGTCCATTCAGGCTGTGATAAAGAACATCTTGACTGACAGGATGAATTCTTGGCACCTGGAGACTGGGGCTGTAGGGGAAGACAGGATGGTGAAGTGTACAAGGCTGGTCATCTGGACCAGGACTTCTGGGCCATGGGGGGCAGAGGATTACAGATCGTGGGTTGTGTGTCCCAGTGCATTTACTTTTGGGGTGAGCATGGTATCGTCCCTGGTAGTTATTGAATCCTCATTGAACGTTGCACTGGGTTCTGTAGAAAGGTCCAAACAGCAGGCGTCTGCCCTGGAAAAGCAGCTGGCTGGAGTGGAGATGGGCTGCTTGCTGGGCACTGTGCTGTCCAACGCATCGACTGCAGTTGATACACAGTCAGGGTGGGTGGGGGGATGTGGATGAGGAAGCCCCTTAGCTGGCCGAATTAAGGGGCTCTCGCTGTAATGGACTGGTTTTGCTCTTTCTTTGGTGTTGTCTTAAAATAGAAAGGAAGCGTGCGTCTGTGGTTTCTATAGAAATGCGTCTGAGGCACAGGGGACACTTCCCTGCTTCTCAGAGTGCCCGAGCACCATGAAGCCTGGGAGCACAGCCTGAGAGCCGCGCACTGTCCGAGGCTGGCCTCCTCCCCGCAGCTGTTAGGGGTGCGTCTGTAGTTTGCCTGTCCCCCATCTCTCCTTCGGCTTCTTCTGCTGATCTCACCTCCTCTGTCCTGGCTTGCATCACTTCTCAGCTTCCCCGACTGTGTGGCCCACCTCACCCCACAGTGAGCCAATTGTTCATTGTTTCCACTTCAGAGATGAGGAAGCCGAGGCCCCAGGGGTAGTGGTGACACCTCAGGGCTGTACTTCTGTGCCAGCCCTCCCTGGCCTTCCAGGGCCCCACTCTTGTCAGGACATGGTTATCACTTAACTTTCCAGTTTACTCCATAAAATGCACAGGGCTGACCTCAGGCCAAAGGAGACACGCAGGAGAATGCCAGCAGGTCCCTGCGGTGCTCCATAAAGTGCCCCTGCTTTGCTTTTCTTTTAGGCTGAGGCCAGGCTCAATGCAGGGTGCTGGGGTGGAGGTGCAGGCTCCCTCTCTCTAGCTGTGTCACCCCAGGAGAGTTGCTGAACCTCTTGGAGCCCTGCAGTTAAGAGCCAGCCTCCAGAGCCAGACGGCCAGGTTGAGCACTTATCCTTGCACCTGCAACCTTGGGTAAGCTGCCTGACCTCTTCCCAAAAACTCCCCTACCTGTCTGTGGAATGGAGCCAAGCTGTGCGCCCCCACCATGGCCACTGTGAGGGTGGAGTGAGGGCGTGCGTGCGGGCTGCCCTCCTTGGTAGGTGTACCTTGAGTGTTGGCTGTGGTGGCTCTTTCTGCTGCTCAGGGAATCAGGGAATGAATCACCAGTCCAAGACACCAGGCACCAGACACATCATCTCTAGTCACTGCTTTCTGCTCCAGGAGCCCATCTCTGGCTTGGTGCTGTGCTGGGTCCTGGAGGTTTTGGAAAGCTGGTGGTGGGTAAGAAGTGGGTGTGGCCGAGACCACTGCAGGATGGGAAGGAGGGGAAGTAAAGGAAGGAGAAGAAAAAGTGTCAGAGACTGACACCCACACAGCCTGAAATATCCACTGTCAAGCTCTTTGCAGGAAAGGGCTTTAGGCTGAGGCTTTGTTGATGAGAATGCTGAAAAGGAAGAGCTGTGAAACCGAGGAGAGAGCTGGGAGCTGTGTAAGGTGAGCTCGAGGCCTGGCGGGGAGTGGGGTGCCGATGCAGAACAGGCCAGCGCCTGGCCTCTGAGTAGCCATGTGGGAAATGCTACAAGTTCGAGACTGGGAGTCTCAGCAGCCACTCTGCAGGGGCAGGGACAGGGGACAGAAAGATGGGGGAGTGGGGCCTAGACGGAAGTTTTGCCGGGCCTAGGCTGGCCACAAGCACAGTCAAGGTCGCCAAGGAGCTGCTGGGGCTGGCCACTGGGCACCTCCCAGAGGCTGCCACGGGCACACAGGGCCTGGGCAGGTGGGGTGTGGCCCAGGCTGGCGGCCAAGCAGAGCTGACCCCTCTCCCACCGGGTGCCCCCTCCCAGCACCTTTGCGGAAGGCCCATTCTCATTCTTCTCTCATTGACCTACTGCTTCCTCTTTCCCATGGATGTGCTCGACTCTCTGCAGTCCGATCTTGCCCACCACCCCTGCTGCTGAAGCTGACCCAGCCACAGTTACCAATGCCCTGTCCAGCATCCTCCTTCCTCATCCGCCATCTTGACCTCTTGGCAGCACTTGACGCTGTGGACAGCACCCCTTCCTGAACCTGTCCCCTTTGATCTGTGCCTCTTCTTTCCAGTGGAGCCCCGTCCTGGCCCCTCCTGCCAGACCCTCTTTCTAACCCCTATGTCTACACAAATACCCCCCACCTTCTCTTCCCCTACATCTCTAGCCCCTACATCTACACAAATACCCCCCACCTTCTCTTCCCATCCTGGGCATACTCACCCATGGGGGTTCACCCTCTCCAGAACCCCAGCCAACGTCACCTGCCAGCACCTCTTTTAAACTACAGATTCTCTTCTCCAACTACCTGCTGGCTTCCTGGAGAGACGCCTCAACTTCAGCGCATGCCAGGAGCAACCGATGACACCCCTCTTTCCGCAAACCTGCTTCCCCTTCTGTATTCCATCTGTTCCTCAAGGAGTCACCACTGTCCTTAGGTGCCCTGAGCTAACACTCTTCGTCTTCGCTAATACCCTTCGTCTTCCCCAACACTGACTCCCTGCCCCTGAGTTCCCTCCTGAGTCCCTTGGAAGGTTCTGGGGAGCCTTCAGACTGGCCCTTGGTTGCCTCTCCAGCTCCCGGCAGCACTGTCCATTCCCGTGAGCCTGTGCAGATCTTCTCCCTGCGCACCACGCTGCTCTGGCCCTGGTCCATTTCTCCCCGAAACTGCCGTAGCTAATCCCTTCCCACCTGCCCATGTCCCTTTTGCTGCCCCTCAGCATGGCATTCTACCTACCAGGCAACACACAGACACATACCTGTGCAGAAGGCTCCTGCCCGCCCTTCCAGACCATCTGACATGTTCACCTCTCCGCAGCTTTCTATGGCCCCATGTCACCTTTCCACCACCAAATCAATTCCCCCACTGTCTCTTTGCCTACAGGACTTCCAGTGTGCCCATGATGGAATATTATTTGTGTGTATGGCCATCCCCCCTTCCTCCCTGGGCTTTTAGGTCCTTGAAGGCAGGGCTAGGTGCCACTGGCCCACAGGTGGGGCTCTCACACGCTAGCTTCCTTGTTGGGTGGGCCACAAGACAGCACCGGCAGCATTCCTCACTGGATGGTCTTGTACATAAAGCAGCATGGTACCTGAGAGACTGTGTGGCCTTCCCCAACTCCCGCAGGCCCGGCTGCACATCGATGGCTGGGGAGAGGACACAGCTGCGGGGCTCTGGCTGAAGGTGTCCAGGGCGTGCAGCCGGCTGAGCCTCAGATGGCCCGTCCTGCTCATGTTTGCACCCCTAGGGATTCTTCCTCTGCGACTGGGAGAGGTCAGAGGCTCAGCTGGTGCTCTGGGCATAATGGAGTATCATTCACATGTCAGTGCTCTGCTGGGGGAGGGAGGTTAATCAGAGGAGAGGGAAAGAGGCCATTCAGGCCAACTCCACTATGACACATTTGCTTTTGAGGTTACTGGATCAAATCGGGAAATGATTGCTTACATTTTAGAAAAATTTCCTCATAAACCAAGTATGAAGTCAAGCAGGTGCCCGAGGACCCTAAATGGGCAGTCAGCTCTGGAGTGCCCAGGTCCATCACTGAGAGCAGCTATATCACGTAATAAGCAGCCCACGTTCTCGGAGGCACCAAGCTGTGAATGCTTGCTTCTCACTCATACTATGAGTCACCGGTAGAAGAGGGCTTGGCTCTACCATCCTCACCTGGGACACCAACAAACACCAGGCTGAGTCTAGCCACTACTTGTTTTGGTAAATGAAAGCTTTGCTGGAACAGGGTCACACACGCCCATTTGTATATCATCCGCAGCTGTTTTTAGGCCATAACAGAGATATTGAGGCGTTCTGACAGAGATTTTAAGACCCACACAGCCTGAAATGTTTATTACTGAGCCCATTACAGAAAATGCCTTCTGACTCCTGGTGTAGAATGTCTCCAGGACCATAGCAGGGGCAGAAATGAAGCAACCAGTGCAGAGGCTACATGGAAGCCTCTGCTCATGCGCATTTCAGTGGTCGAAGCCAATCTTACAGCCCCGCCCTGTTGAGGGGTGGGCACATGGAGTCCAGCGGGGCCTTGAGGAGAACCGTCCCCAGGTGCCACTTCCCTGCAACTCAGCAAGTTTGCATTTCTGAGCACAGAAGTTGGGAAGCTTCAAAGGAAGAGACGACACCTTTCCAAAGTAAGGCTAGTGTGGCTCTGACGGCTATGCTTGCACTGCTGTGTGCAAGCATATACCCACTAATACTGCCCATGAGTGTCCTGCCTCTGGGCAGGGGCTCTTGCTGGGTCCAGAGTGTGGTCAGATGCAGGCTGACTCGCCGTCCAGCCAGGACCAGCACCTTCATTGGCCCTTGCCAGCTTCTCTGTTCTGGAGAGCACCATGGCTTACAAATTACCTCCAAATAAGCAACCCTTGGAAATTAGGAACATACCCTTTAAAATCAATGGAAGGGGAAGTGTTTGAAATTCAGCAGGGAGAACATCAAAAGACAGCATTTCTCAAGTCTCTTCGTGTCTGAGAAGTAAATGAGGAGAGTTCCTTATGGAAGCTTCTGGGCAACTTTAAAATGCATCACCACCTGCTATTTGTCTCTATGCAGCTTCCTGTGTTGGCTGGGTCTTATTATCTCTGCCACAGGACAGACAGACAGATGCTTCAAGCAGGAGGAAGTGCTGGGGAAAAGCTGAAGGAGCTGAAGCAGGACCTTCCTGCCTCAGGCCTGGCAGCCCCCAGACTTACTGCTTATAAGCTGTGCAAACTCCGGCTCCAGCTCCAGCTCTCAACTGCAGAGTACAAGCTGCCTGCATAGCAGAGCACCTGGGCTTATTTTTAGCATTTTCAGAAAGTTATAAATTTAATTACATGCCTTATAGGGAGGCAAAACAAAGTACCAAGTGAGCCTGGGATGAATAAAAAAAAAATTGCATTGTGAGAATCTTATACAAGAAAACTTTCTTCTACAAATCTGGAAATAGCTGTACCTCCATGACTTACCAATCCTGGCCTTTAAGTGGGGACAGAGGACACCGTGGCTGCCTGTGACCTGGCGTCCTGATGATTTTTGTCGATTGCAAAGCTTACCAATCACAGTGCAGGGTGCTGGCAGTGTTTCTTTTGCTGCTATGACGAGCTAGGAACCAGATCCACGGGTTTCTGCCTGTGCCTCCAGGCCATCCTTGGGCAGAGTCAGGAAAGATCCTTGGGTCTTCTTGGCATTTGGAGAGCATCCGGGAGCTCTGGGTGGGCACTTGCTGGCTAGCAGCACAGAAGAGTCACTCCCTTGTCCTAGCAGCTGTTGAAGCCACATCCTGCAGGGATCCACAGAGGGTTGTTCATGAATGCCCACCGGTAGGCCCCATGGGACCCACCAGGAGACTAGCACACAGTCCATGCCTCAGAGGGTGGAAAGGAGGAAGGGCCTCGATCAGTACAGGTAAAGCAGGAGGAAACCAGGCCACTGAGGTCGGTGTCCTCAGGGCTGTAATGTGAAGACCCATGATGGCCCTGGACGGGAGGACTGTGAGGAGCTAAGAACCTTCTCCACCCAGATCTCCTGACTGCCTCACCCTCCCTCTGCCAGAGCTCATCTGCCCTCCCGCTCCAGGCTAAACCACCTACCTCCCCACAGGCATTATCTGGATGCAGTGTGGGTTTGGGAGGCGAGAAAAACGGGGTCCCACACGCGCTCACGCCCAGGCCGGGTTCGCTCTCAGGACCTCGTCCTCCCATTCGCTGTCCCCTCTACCAGCCCGTGAGCTTCGCTGCGGCAAGAGAGTGCTTTCCCTCTCTGTACAGGCAATGCCCCGCACTGGCACTCTCAGACAGAAGGATGGATAGACGGACACACTGAATTAGAGCTGAACAAAAGGATTTTTCAAAGTCCACCCCTCCTGCAGCCACCGCCTGTAAAGGAGGCACTTTCTGTTTGAAGACAGAATGGATGCACAGTTGGATGTGGATGAATATTGTGCCTTTTATGCAAAGCTGGATGGAGAAGCCTCTGGCCTGATGGGTGCGCACAGGGAGGGGGGTCCAGGGCCTTCCTACCATCAGAGGCAACAGGCGAGTGAGAGCTGTGAGGAAGGCCATGAGCGGAGGCCATCCACGGCTCTTCCTGATAGAAGAAAGGCTCCAGGGCAAGATAGGTTGCTTCTTAGCTGAGGCTTGGGAAGCCCCGGGTAGGCGAGAAAGGGGTCCTATAACTTCCTTAACAGACCTCCCCTTTCCTTGTTGACGTTTTGAGATTTTCATTCACCAAACTGGAGTCGGGTTGTGGATGTTCTCCTCCCATATTCCACTGTTTTGATCCATTCGCCTTAGTAATATTGTGGGAATTCCTTGTTAAGCTTTTGATCACAACTTTCACTTTTTGGTTCCAGTTATTGGCCCAGTAAGACAAAGGCAGAAAGGGGAAGAGGTTCATCTTCTCATCATAGACACCTAGAGCAGGGGCAGCAAACGTTCTAAAGGAAGCAGCCAGATAGTAAATAATCTAGACTTTGCAGCCAGGTAGTATCTGCCGCAGTGACTCAGCTCCACCCTGCAGTATCAGAGCAGCTGGAGACAGCAGTGGATGGTGGGCATGGCTGGCTGCCAATAAAACTTTATTCACAAAAGCAGAACACTGGGCCAGATCCAACCTGTGGGTGAGAATTAAATATCCAGCAGCAAATTTGGAACTCCTACGGGGGCAGGTGGCTTGTGGGCAGCAGTGGAGGGGAGTTTTGGCCTCCATCTTCAGTGGTGAGCAAGCAGTTCCCCTCACCAGCTGAGAGTGCTGAAGTTATGTGGGCAGAAGGCGTGGCTGCTGCCTCTCCCAGGACAGACTCCCTCACTGGGGCTCCCCGGCCACTGCCCTCCCCGAGAGGGAGATCGAGAGGCACGCGGGGCCTCTGGCTACACAAGCTGCTTGCTCCTCTTTGCAGAATCAAGCAGAAGAATCAGCCATAAATGTTTTATTCTAGAGTTTTCTTTGGGAAGCAAGTTCATGAGGGTCTGATTTACACCCCGTGTAATGGAGTGGTAGCGAGTGATGAATAATGCATGCCCATTTCACTGCTCCTTGGGGTGATGACAGTGTTTTCTGGACTTACATTAAACATTTAAATGAGGAGATGTTTCTTCTTGGGGTCTTCATCTGTTCCATAGTGTCAAAGAAAGAGACTCGGAGCCCCCGTACAGCCTGCCAACGCCCAGACCCTCTTTTTTCCCTTTTAGTAATCCCAGCAGGGAACTAATACGGCCTGGTTCCCAGCCACTGCTTAGGGGCCCCATTAAAATGCAGCGGAGGAGGCTCTAGTGTCTGGTTACAACCTGGCGGTTTAGAATCGGGGAACCGCGGCCACAGCACTGCAGCCATTGCTGACACCAGGCTTCCAACCAGGGGAGGCTGGAATTTGATGAAACACATCGCCGTCACAGATGACAGCCCAATCTTTACTGACTAGCAGCTCCAGCGCTGTGTGCCATTCACCTGTGAGCTCTGTGACAGGGAGAGAGATGCAGGAGCAATGGAGCTTGCCTGGATCCAGGGCACTGCACAGTCAGACTGAGCTCCAGCCCTGACCTCGGTGCGGAGGGCCCCTGCAGCTCCGTGCACCCAGGGGGCAGCATCAGCGTGCACGCTGTCACTTTACTGTTTGCTTGTGCTAAGTTCCATCAGACAGGCCATCCTCTCCTACCTGTAGCCCTGCCAGCCGACCTTGCACTACTGGGCTCATGTGAAATGCTCACAGGCTGTGTTGTTGAGCATCCTGCCCGAGGGAGGGATTGCTGGAGTTGTTCTGTAGGGTCAGTGACTCAGAGAACTGGGCCACTGCATGTCAGCCAGCTCCTTCGGAACATGTGTGTCCACTTGCCTAGGCCAAATCCTGGCAGGTATCCATTATGGAGCCTTTTAAAAAGACCGTGGTGCAAACGTACTTTATTATAGTCAGAGCCCTTTCCTGGGCATGGGCTGCTAGGCGCGACTTCGTGGGAGACAGGGCTGCACTTGGCTTTGAAGTCGGAGCAGAGATTTCCATTGGATGATCTTGGAGATAGGATGAACATCTGTCTGAGGGCTGTGTCCCCAGTTATTTTTACTCAAAGGCACCTGGAGCTCTTTCTCTTTTCTTGTTTTATCACTGGCTGACTCCCTCACTCCTGCCAAGTCTTTACTAATCCCTTAAGGCCTAGAATCATTTAAAATTAAGCCATTAAAAATCAAAGCAGCATCAGAGAGGTGGCTCGTGGTTAGGAGGAAGCCAGGCCTGCGTCCAGGGCCAAGCACCATGGTTGGAGCTGGAGGCAAGGAGCCCTCAAGTCCCTGGTGTCACAGTCAGCAACTCTCAACCTCGTTATGAATACTTCAGGGGAGAGGCGCCATTGGTTGGGGGCTGAAAGTACATCCAGGCAGTGCGCAGCTCAGGCTTTGCAGGATGCTGGCCGTGTGGAAGTCTGTGCCTTTACTCAGGAGTTCCCAATTACAGTCATTTAAAGGAGAGGCCCCTTTCCCTGCAGTTAGTTCCTGCCAGGGTTAGCAGTGGCTGCTCATCTCTGCCCCTCAGCAGGCCTCGTGTTCTTGGGAGTCACATTCTGTACAGCTGGGCCTGTGGCCCCCAGTAGCGTGCTGCTGAGCCTGTCAGTGGGAGGACCCCTGACCCCCTCCCACCTTGGCCACCAGCAAATTGCTGCTCGTTTGCATCCGTAGCAACAGAGACCAGATTCAGAGGATGGACTGACCCCATCAGCATCGGGAAGCCACGACCAGTGTGCCACTCATTTCTTTGTACTTTTAGTTTTCATATCCCTGAGGGCAGAGCCCAGCCCAGCGTTGCCTCCTACACAGCAGGATGTCCCTCGCACCCCTCGCCCTGGGTACCACACCACACACCCATGCTAGGAAGGCCGGCCACACGGGAGCCACGCTCAGCCATGTCAGTTTTAGGCATTCTTCATCTTGACCTTTGGGAAAAAGCATTTCCACACATCTGACCTCTCTCTGCTCTTCATTCCAGCTCTAAGTAATAGCTTACTGTTAAATCCCACATATTTGCTTGGAGCTTTTGCCATATCAAGTGTCAGCTGAAGGCCAGGATTCCAGTGAAGCCGGCAGAATGTCTCCCTCCTGCTGTCTTTAGGGACAGCCTGTGTCAGGGTGGCCAAGGCCCCAGACCCCTGAATGGGCCCTGTGGCAGCTCCCACTGTCCACACCTCAGGTTCCTTGGCTGAGCCCTCCCGAGCCTCCTGACACCGAGCCCTGTGGGTTGCTTTACGTTGGACTCACGCAGGGCAGTCGGTGGATGCCGGCACAGATGGGATGGTGAGCCTTCGGCCGCCGTGGTCCACGATGCGTGTGCTCCGCACAGTGTGCACTCTCAGCCTAGCCTTCAGCCTCTGCCCAGCAGACAAAACACAGTCTCCTTGGTCTCTCCTGGCCAAACACATTGCCCCCCTTTCATTGGAGTATGGCTTGAGCAGCTCCAGGACATTGGGAGGTGGAGATCCAAGTGCCGGGGCAGGCTTCAGGCAGGCCACCCTCCCAGTGTGGCCCCAGCGTGGCTCTGGCTGTGCTTTGCTTGTGCTATGCTGGTTTGGGACAGCTTGGCTGTTTCTGGAGCATTTATCTGAACAGGACAGCAGGCATGGTAACAACAGCAGGACCAGTGCGTGCCTATCATCTTAGGTTCCCACTCTTCCCGCTGCTGCAGAGCAGAGTGCCAGTGCCTGGGAGCACAGAACTGCCAGCCCAGCCCCTGCTGGTGCTGCAGGGTCACCCCTGCCCTTTGTCAGCTCCCAGGATCCCCTGACAAAGATGGCACATGGGGGATCGAGAAAGATACGGGCTTACCGTCAGCCAGACCTCAAGTGTTAACTCTGTTATTCTTCTCATACCACTGTGGAAATGTTTCAGGAAACCATTGTCACTTGATATTAAAGTGTAGATTAAAAAATAATAAAATTATCCCAAAAGGCAACTCCCCAAAGGAGCAAAGTTATGGTTTGGTATGTAAGTTTCCTGACTTCTTGCCATGAAAATACACGTATCACTGTCAGAAATTAGATAAGCCTTCATATGCAATGCTGTCACCTCCATTTCCACTCTGCATACCCTACATGGCCCTCCAGGCCTGTCCATGGAGACCACGGCACAGGCGGCAGTGGGGCATTCTGTGTCCTTGTCAGCCTGCCAGCCCCACACCCTGGAACTTCAGGAGTGCAGGTTTTTCGTATCATAAACAGTGCTGCTGCGAAATCCTTACCTGTACCTCCTTTCTGACTTGTCTGATTATCATTATTTTATATATATATTTTTTGAGATAGAGTCTTGCTCTGTCGCCCAGGCTGGAGTGCAGTGGCGTGATCTCAGCTCACTGCAACCTCCGCCTCATGGGTTCAAACGATTCTCCTGCCTGAGCCTCCCAAGTAACTGGGATTACAGGTGCTTGCCACAATGCCCAGCTAATTTTTGTATTTTAGTAGAGACAGGGTTTCACCATGTTGGCCAGGCTGGTCTCGAACTCCTGACCTCAGGTGATCTGCTTGCCTTGGCCTCCCAAAGTTCTGGGATTACAGGCGTGAGCCACCACCCCAGGCCTGTCTGGTTATTTTAGGATTCATTCTTAACAGGAAACTGCCGGGGCTACAGGCTTTTTTTCCTGCCCTGTCTCTGTCTGTCTGTCTCTTTCTATCTCTGTCTGTCTACCTCTGTCTCTCTCTGTGTCTCTGTGTCTTCCTGTCTGTCTCTCCCGCTCTAGAATGGAGAACAGCTTTGTCTACAAGCCCAAATCACCAGGACCTGGGGCTGTATGAGAACGTCTCTGGCCCCCACATTCCCCTCCCTATTCTGTGCTCTGGGGCAGCACGCCTGCCCCCACCAGCCCTCCACACAGCATAGACATGTCATGAGGGCCATGCCTTGTAGGACCTGAGTTTGCAGACTTCTCTGTTACTAACTATGGCAGAATGGGACAGAAACCAGGGGACTGTGGGTCCACTGGCCCAAGCCAGGAGTGAGGGCTTTCCCTGCAGGGAGCACACTGGGGTCTTCCGCATCCCATGAGTGGGATCAAGAGGTGTAACTCCCCACCAGTGGTCCAGCAGGGGCAGTCACCTGCCCCAGGAAGCGCCTGTGCATGTCAGCATTCCCAAGACCAGTGGGTCCTTCTAGGTCCTTGGCTTCCTTGGCCATTCCACAGCATGCAGCTCAATGGACAATGACATTCCCTCTGAAGCACCATCTCCCCTGGGCTATGGGTCTCCTTCTGTTTATTGGGCTGCCCCATCTTGGCCTCCTTCAGGGCCCTCTTCTGGGTGGTGTCCCGCAGATGGGGCCAGGGCATGCTCCCTCCTCACTGTCTCCCAGGCCACTGCACCGTCTACCCTGTTGGCTTCAGGACAACGATCACGAGCCTTTGTTGAGGGCCTATTCTGTGTACTTAGAGTGACTGCTTTATAGCCTGTGGGTTGTCTGACTTCATACTCCAGCTGTCTAGACCATGCAAGCTGCCACAACCCCATCTTCTCATGTCTTGGGGACTCTGTCCTCCACTGCTTGATTTCTATAGTCTTGGGAGCTATTGATTCAGGTTTCATCTGGTTTTTCAGTTTTTTCAGGCAGGAGGGTAAACCTGGCCCCTGTTACCATCATGGTCAGAGCAGAAGTTCATGACCCTCAATGGACACGAGGAGCAATCAGAGGCTCACAGACGCCATCTTGGCTACGGTCACAAACACAGGTCACACACCTGGGAGCTAAGGGCTTTGCCACAAGACTGCATTGCCTCATAGATCAGCTATACATACATGACCCCAGATCTGCTGCCCAGGCCAGTCCCTTCTGAGCTCCTGATTGGCATTACCAGCACCCTCATCATCCACACTGAGACATCTCCAGGCACACCAAACACTGCGTGTCCAGCACTGAGCCCATGGCCTCTGTGGTCTCTTGTTCCTGTCTCTCCAGCAGCATTTCCATCTGGCCAAGGCTAGAAACTCGGCCCATGCTCCTCCCTCAACGTCCTTCAGACCTAATCTTGTTGGTGGAGAAGGGACTGATGGCCCCCACACATGTCCAAGTGCTGATCCCAGAACCTGAGAATGTGTCACCTCATGTGGCAAACGGGAAAAGACCCTGAGATGGAGATGCTCCTGGATCACCTGGGCCACCGCAGCCACAAAGGCCCTCCCGAGAGGGAAGCAGAGGCCAGAGTCAGGGAAGGGGATGGCGTGGTGGAAGCAGAGGCTAGAGAGAGGAAGACGTGGCACTGCTTGCCTTAAAGTGGAGGGGACCAAGGAACGTGGGCAGCCTCTAGAAGCTGCAAAGGCAGGGAATTGGAGTCTCCTCCAGACTCCCAGAGGGAACACAGCCCTGCCACACCTTGATTTTAGAACTTCTGACTTCAACACCTTCTGAGTGATTGTAAGCCCCTGAGTCTGTGGCTGTTTGTTTCAGCAGCTGTGAGGAACTAACACCACGGTGTGGTGGCTAAGCACGTGGCCTGAGTTCAAAATAATAAGCAGGCTGCCTGAGTTCAAAATACCCATCTGCAGGCTTGCGAAGGTTGAAAGCATTGTTCCAGGGGGAGTGCTCAGAGCTGGGCCCAGCCATGGTAGACTCTGCACAGGGCGAGTGCTACCATCACGGGTGCTACAGTCGCGGCTGCTATTCCTACTAACAGCCCCCTGAGCGTGTCCAGACCCCCTCCTGACTCCCTTGCCCTCTGCCGGTGCAGGCTGGGCTCCCTCGCACTTCCTGATGGGTTCCCTGCAAAGCTGCAGGTCCTGGCTGTGGCTGCCTTCTCCCTGCCTGTCCTCCAGGGACGCCGTGCCCTCAGACTGAAGACCAGAACACTCTCAGGAGGCCCCACGCAGCCTGTCCTCATCCCGTGGGGATACTGCCCCCTTTGCCTCCAAACCGTCACTTCATCTGGCCTCCCACCTTAGCCAGCCTGGGCTCCTCTAGGCCCACCACCCACCCTCACCACCTCCCTGCTGTGGCTTGAATGTCCCCTCTGAAATTCATGTTGAAATTTAATCCCCCAGGCGCAGCACTGAGAGGTGGGGCCTTTAAAAGGCAATTAGGTCACAAGGGCAAGGCTGAATAATCACTCATGGATTCCTGGATTCATGGGAGCAGGGCTGGTGGCTTTCTAAGAAGCAGCAGCAGGACCTGAGCCAGCATGCTCAGCCCCCTCGTCATGTGATGCTCTGCAGAGTCCCCACCAGCAAGAAGGCTGTCACCAGAAGTGGCCATGCAGCATCGCACTTCTCAGTCTCCAGAACTATAAGAAATAAATTCCTTTTTGTTATAAATTACCCAGTTTTAGGTATTCTGTCGTAAGCAACACTAAACAGACTAAGACATTCCCTAACAAGACTGCCTCATGCCTTTCGAAGCCCTCCCAGCCACGCCCAGCCCAGGTTGGGTACCTGTGTAAGGGGCCTGTGCACGCTGAACTTCCTAGGGCTGCTGCATGCTTAGAATTACATGTCCAGGCTGGGTGCAGTGGCTCATGCCTGTAATCCCAGCACTTTGGGAGGCTGAGGAGGGCAGATCACCTGAGGTCAGGAGTTCAAGACTAGCCTGGCCAACATGGCGAAACCCCCCCGTTTCTACTAAAAATACAAAATATCTCGGCTCACTGCAACTTCCGCCTCCTGGGTTCAAGCAATTTTCCTGCCTCAGCCTCCCCAGTAGCTGGGATTACAGGCGTGCGCCATCATGCCTGGCTAATTTTTGTATTTTTAGTAGAGACGGGGTTTCACCATATTGACCAGGCTGGTCTCAAACTCCTGACCACATGATCTGCCCGCCTCAGCCTCCCAAAATGCTGGGATTACAGGTGTGAGCCACTGCACTGGATATTGTGCCACTGTACTCCAGCCTGGGTGACAGAGCAAGACTCTGTCTCAATACAACAACAACAACGAACAAAATATTAGCCGGGGGTGGTATTGTGCAACTGTAATCCCGGCTACTCAGGAGGCTAAGTCGGGAGAATCGCCTGAGCCCAGAAGCAGAGGTTGCAGTGAGCTGAGATCGCGCCACTGCATTCCAGCCTGGGCGACAGAGTGAGACTTCATCTCAAAAAAAAAAAAAAAAAAAAGAATTGTATGTCCAGTGCTTGGCCACCTGGATTGCAAGCCCCACACAGTCACAGGCCATGGTGTTCCCCATGGGGGCCCAGGGCCAGTTCCGACTGCCAGGTCATCGAGTGTCAGTGTGTCGAGCCTGTTGTCCCTGTGTTGGAATTGCTTGGTAACTATTTGAATGGGTGAGTGAATGACCCTAAGATCCTGCCCACACATTTCTTCAGTGGCCACAAGGAGACCTGTGGACAGTGGAGAAAGCATCCTCTGCGCAGATGCCTGGGGCTGGGAGGGCCTGGTGGAGAGTGAGGTGACAGCTTCTCCTTCTCCCTCCCTTGGGGTGTCTCTGCCCTCGTACTTGCCCTCCAGCCCCCACCTACACCTCCATGGATGGTGACTCATGATCCAGACCGGCTCTGGGGAGTTCTCTAGAAGGAAAGTGATCCTGGCATTGTTGGGGACACCTCCTCTTCCCTGTCTCCCTTCATGGAGAGGGCAGGTGTCCCGGGCAGACAGAAGACCCTGGAATCCATCCGTGGGAAGGAATGCCCCCTTCCAGCCCTGTTCTCACACGGTGCTCAGCCTTTCCTGCTTCCGCATGTGGCATGAGGCAGGCACAGGACCCTCCACAGGACCCTCAGCCAGGCACAGGACCCCGACAGCCTCTGGACACCTGGCTCTCTCAGGATCCTTTGAAAATCAAAGGTTTTTCTCACAGTGTCTGCATTGCAATGGAAGTCATTTGAGACTTGGAGTTACCCTAGAGACACCAAGGGAGTCTCTCGGTTGCACCCGCTCATTCTGCCAGGCGCACTGGGTTTAAACAGGAGGAAGAAATCGTTTCTGACTTTGTAGACACTGCCCATGTAGCATGGTTTCAGGCTCTGCTATGATTGCTGGTCAGGGAGGGCTGTAACCACTCAGGGAGGGGCAGGTAGGTGGCCGGCGGCATGCAGAGGTTATCAGCTAAGCAAGGCCAGAACTGGTCAGTGAGTAATGAGAAAGCTAAGCTTCTTGCTCCTAAGCTAAGAAGGTGGTGTGAGGCCAGTCTGGGGGCAGGGCTGGCCACCTACCTGGGGCAACTTCCAGGTGGCTCTCCCTCCCATCTGTGTGGTCTCTGCTTGTAGTGCCTTTCGCTCACCTGAGGACACACACTGGGGACACAGGCACCTTCCCCATTCAGAGCCAGGCAGCCTCTGCACCCCACCAAACCTGCCTTTGGCCGAGGTACCTGCAGCCTGGCCCCGTCCTGTGCTCCAGTTTCTGCTGGGACCCCTATTCTGCCCCTCGTCAGGCCTACACGGGATCCTAGAGGAAGGGAGGAGACCCCTGTCTCCCTCCTTGAAGGGAGGTGGACCCCTTCCTCCTCCAGGCTCCCTGACAGCCCCTCTAATGGAGTGTCCTGAGGCTTCCAGAGCAGTACCACAAACTAGGTGGCTAAAAGCAACAGAAAGCTGTTCTCTCACAGCTCTAGAGGTCGGAAGCCCCAAGTCAAGGTGTGGACAGGTTTGGTTCCTCCTGAGGCTGAGGGGAGTCTGTTCCGGGGCTCCCTCCTGGCTTTGGTGGCTGCCGGCATCCTCAGCACCCCTCGGCTTGTGGATGCATCACTCCTGTCACTGCTCCGTCCTCACATGGGCTTCCTTCCCCTCCACATCCCGGTCCTCCTTCTCTGTGTTGTAAGGATACTCATCATTGGATTTGGTGCCCACTCTAATCAAGGATGATCTATTCTCAGGATCCTTACCTCATATCTGCAAAGACCCCTATTCCAGATAAGACCACAAGCACTGGTGCCAGGGCTGGGACTTGGACAGATCTTTGAGAGGTACACAGGTCAGACCCTTCTGCCATTGAATGCCTCTGAACAGGAAGACAGGACACTGTCCTAGGGAAGGCCAGGGCAGGGCGAGCAAGCTGGGTCGTAGGGGGACCTGGGGGCAGTGCTGCCCTGCATGGGCTGGGACTAAGGATTCTCTATGTAGGAATTCCCTTGGCAAGACCATGGTGCCACCCAGATTCCTCCCTCGGCCCCCCCACTGTCCCCAGAGAGCACAGCGCACCCCTGATGCTGACCGTTCCTCGGGTCATCTCCTTGCTTAAAAAACCCTTGAAGCTTGGAGCACTTTGGGGTCTTGGGGGGAGGGGGGCACCCTGTGACTCCCGGTCCTCTTGGCCTGCTGCTCTGTCTGCTGTCATGGGACCAATTTTCTTTAGGGATTAATCTCCAGTTCCTGGGGACGCTCTTTTTAAATAAGCTCTGTTTCATAGCATGAAAGATTTTGTGTGGGTTTTTTTTAAACAAACACAATAATAATTAATTCAAGGTCTAAGAATAAAGCCAGGTCTGGAACACGGCCTGACTACAGTGTGATGCTGACCAGCCTAGATGCAGGCCGTAGAAGGCTCCCTGAGCTGCTGGGAAGGGGCTCTTGAAAATCACCTCAGGGCAGGGGTCCCGGGCTGCCAGGCTCCCTCCCATGACAGTCCAGGTAGGCACAGCACGTTGGAGGCCAAACAGCCAGGCAGCTGGCGAAGCACAGGCACCTGTGGATGCAGCCTCATTTTGCTTTTCTCTTTCCCTTGGATGGAGTCTCTGTCTCCTCACTCCTGTCCCCTCTTGTCTGTTTCCAGGATGTCTCCTCCTCGGCGGGATCTACCCCCACGGCTGTCCCACGGGCTGCCTCGGTGTCTGGAGAGCAGGGCACGCCTCCCAAGGTCCAGCTGCCCCTCAACGTGTGAGCTGCCCTTTGTGTCTGTCGGGGTCCTGTGCCTGCAGCCCTCCCTCCTGCCTGGGCTGACCTGTCCACGTGTGGTTTCCGCAGGGTTTTCCCATGTGTTACTAGTTGGCCAGTATAGTTATGTGCGTCTAATAACACCGCTGAAGGGAGAGTGTGGAAGACAAAAGTCTAGCGGTTCCTTCTGATGTCGTTGTTTCTAGGACATTTCTTCTAAGCAGGGAGGATATTCAGAGTATTCACAGTGCAGTTCCCAGTCAACAGGAGAGGAGCCAGCCATAGTGTGGAGCAAGCTCTCCATAGCATGGAAGGTCCGAGATTGAGGGGAGAGGCGGGAGGGAAGCAGGTGCGCAGAGCAGCGGGTAGTCTAGGAGCTTGGGTAGCCACTAGTCACCAACTGCTTGGAAGTGGTTCTGTGTTTCAGCCCCCGTCCCAGGGCCACACCAGCGCATGCCAGCTGCATCTCATCCCCAAATATAACCAGATGAATCAGTGCTAGGAAGTGAGATGTTTATCTTGTTTAGAAAATCTGCCCAGTTAAATTACAGCTCTTAACAGATAAGTGCAATTTTAAAATTCCCCATTTAAATCATGCTCTGAAGAATTAGACTCCCTTTTGCTCTTGTGTTTGGCAGAGCTCAGTCACTTGAATGACTGTGTTAGGGTGAAGTCTATGAACTTGGCAAACAAGATGACATAATACAGAAAGTTCTGTGAATGCAGGGTGGGTAGACGTCAGAGGGACACTCAGAACCTGTGTTGTTACAGAACAGGATTTTTTGTTGTTGTTGTTGTTTTTGTTTTGTTTTGTTTTGTTTTTTGAGATGGAGTCTTGCTCTGTCTCCCAGGCTGGAGTGCAATGGCGCGATCCCGGCTCACTGCAAGCTCCGCCCCCCAGGTTCACGCAATTCTCCTGCCTCAGCCTCCCAAGTAGCTGGGACTACAGGTGCCAGCCACCACGCCTGGCTAAATTTTTGTATTTTTAGTAGAGATGGGGTTTCACCGTGTTAGCCAGGATGGTCTCGATCTCCTGATCTCGTGATCCGCCCGCCTTGGCCTCCCTAAATGCTGGGATTACAGGCATGAGCCACCGCGCCCGGCCAAACAGGATGTATTTCAAGCAAAAAAGTATTTTGAAGAGCAACTTGCCAAGCTTCAAAAGGTCTAGAAGTAGCTCAGCTGCTGGCACACACTCACCCACCTCTAAGCCCAGTGGAAACACCAGCCTTTCTTAAGTGGTGGGCAGGAAAGCTCCCAATATCCTCCTACTATAATTAACCAATGTAATGAAAGGTATTTGAAATGTACCTATTTTTTACCTAGCTTCCTGAGCAGGCTACTTCCAGATGCCTTGAGACTGATATTCAAGTTTTCACCAGCACTGGACAAAAGATACTACCTCCATCTCCTGCCATGCTCCTAGCTCAGTTCTGGCAGCTTCAGGCAAAGCTGGTGCCAAGGAGGCACATGGAAAAGTGGGGGGTGATGGGGCTGCTCTTCTTGAAGAATTGGATGCAGGATGCTATCTGAGGAAAGAAACCTGCACCCACAGTGGGATAGCCCTGATGGAGTTTCCCAAATGAGAGGCAGGATGCAGGTCAGGTTGCTGAGGCCATGAGTGCTTCAAGGGCAAAGCCCAGATGTGTTTGTTTTGGAGTCCCCGTGACCAGCTGAATGCCTGTACACAGGCTCTCAGTAGCTGCCACTTGTTCTATGAGAGCAAAGGCCTCCCCTTCCTGGGTGCAGAGGGCTCCCCAGCTTGAGGCGAGCTCAAGGCTTAGCCACCCAAGAAGGCTTCTCTGTCCTGGAGACCCAAAACGTAACAGTTCCAGGCATGTCACCCCTCAAGAGTTGTGAATATTCTGGAGGCCTCAACCATGGACAAACCTCCATGTCCTGGATGGCTTCTAAATTTGGTGCAGATGTGGAGGGACCTCTTCTTCACCCAGTTCGCCTGCCCTGGGGGACAGGGTTGCTGTGACCTCTAGCTCTCCACCTTCTCCCTCTGGGCTTCTCCCCCAGGGGAGGGCACTTTCCACTCAGCTTGAGATTTGGGTAAGAGGGAAGGGAAACTTATGTGTCGGACAACATCCTTCTAAGGATGACAAGGATTTAGGTAGGAATGTGTCTGCAGGTGACACAGTGGCCCTCCATGCAGGAGCTGGATCATGGTCAGCATGACCTGTGACTGGTGATGGTCCGTTCCATGTGTGTTCATGGCTGTTATACTGAGTAGCAGTCACATGCCAGGCAACATTACATACGTTACAGCAGTATGCATGATGCATTCTGAAAACATGACATCCTTTATTTTATCCCCAGAGAGGAAAAGATCAGACTGACCTCATCAGTTTATGAGGAAGGGGATTAGCCTGACTGCTCACCTATCCTCTTTAACTCTAAGAAGCTAGTATTCCCACACATACCCTACCAGTGGCAAGTACCCGGGGTGGGGGTCTGATCTAACCATTCTTCCCAAAATAGCCTCTGTAAGTCACGTTCAGAAGTCTGAAATTGAACATGAGATGTGCTGTCGTTGCAAAAACAACCACAGCAAACAACAGTGCACTGCTGCCCATTGCGGGTCTGCAGAGAATGATGGCTTGGGGACTCCAGCCAGGGCCCAGATGGGGCTGATGTGAAAGTCAGCCATGGAATGACTTCAGGAGACCTCATTCCTGATCTTCATGATTGCATAGCTTTGACCTCTCCAGGCCACATCATGTGCACTGAAACATGAGCCCTTGAGATTAAGAGGCCTAATCCTGTACGGTCAGTGTGTCGATGGCTGGATGTTCTTGCCCCTTCTTCCAGCATGTGAAAGGCTTCCCTGGCATGGATTCCCTAAGGGCTCAGTTGCCCGGAAACACAAGAAGGGTCTCAGTTTGCTCACCCAGTGCATGGAGGCGACTGTGAGTCTGCAGAGACGTCTCTCATTCCTGCACCCCCTTTCCACCCCCTGCTGTGTTGGGCTGGGGCTTGTCCGCCATTCCTCTGGCAGACCTGCTGTGATTTGGGAAAGCAGAAATATGATTGTCTGCTCCTAGAGGCCATGCTCCTGGGCACAGCCAACCCACCCAGAGGGTCTCAAGGTTGATGAAATGCTGTGAGTAGGTTGCCCCTGATTTTGAAGGGTTGATTCTCACCTCCACTTCTTCGTGGGCATCTTAGAGCCACTGCCTGATGTGAAGGACCGGAGGAGGCAGGGAGAGGGCATAGGGCTACCCTGCAGGAGCCATCCGAGATGTCCTGTCATCACCTACAGCAATGGAGGAGGTGGAGGAGGAGGACGAAACAGGCATCAGACCGACACGCCTGGGTCTGACTCGGTCCACGTACCTGCAATCTGAGAGCAACGGAACTCTTGGCACAGAGCCTTGGTCTGGGACTGCATGTCAGCTTGCCATCAGAGAAGGAAACTTCCACAGTCGATGGGTGCAGTTCATTACCTGCAGGGAAAACTAGGTACCCTGTGAGGTGCATGACCACCCAGATGGCACCTGAGGGACCTGGGAGTCCTATCCAGGAGCCCAGAGAAAGACTTAGGGAGATGGGGGGTTGGCCTGCAACAGGGAAAGGGAAGCCCAGGGGAATCGTGGCCAGCGGTTTTCATCCTCCCCTGCTGAGGTGCAGACCAGGGTCCCTGGATCTGGTGGTTGACACTGGTCATGTGAGACGTGCTCTCTGTCATGGCAGGGATGACCTCGCAGACCTTGCTGTGATCAGGAGTGACCCCCTCATGACCCCGCTGCCATTTGTGCGTGTGGTCAAAAGGCCACCAAACCATCCTCAATAACAACAGTCCCCACATTCTGGGACACAGGAAAAGGACTGCTGACCAAACCATGCCAACACAAGACAGGGGCACCTTCCATTCCAAATTCACAGAACAGGCTGGTGCTGCACTCAGCCTGCAATGAACTGGATCAGCGTGAGTTCAAGACAATAAGACTCGGTAAAATAAGTCCCTGCCAGGCTTGGAACGAAGGCCTGGATCAGCGAAATCACCGGGTACTGCCCCCAAGAGGTGTCTCAGAGGCCAGCCGCCCAGCCTCCTTTGACAGTGCCCAGCCTTGTGGTCAGCCTGGCCCCATGGTCACCCCTTCCAGGCATGGCGGCACCGTCCTCAGGATATTACAGACAGATGCGACCAAGAATATGAGAGTGAGCCTGAGAACCAGTGGAGGGGTGAGTACTCTTCATCCCCACCCCTGCCGCCTGCACCTCTAGAGAGGGCACAGCTGGGACCCCAAGCAGGTGGGGAAATGGAGGAGATGCAAGTGGGAAGAGCAGAGAATTTTATTGAGAGAGTCTCTGGATGACATAGACCCTGGCGGGCAAAGGTCGGAGACGTCTGGGCCGCTGCAGGGCCGGTTGCAGTGGAGGGAAGGAGCTGCAGGCCCTGGTGGTGGCAGCACATCCCCACCGGTACCGGCATTGTCTAGGCTGGGTTTCCTGGAGGCAGGCCCTGAGATGGGGAGGTTTGTGGGGAGTGCTCTCAGGACACACCTGCGCTGTGGCTGAAGGGAAGCCTGTCTGATCCTCGGGGCTCTGGAGCTGAGACAGCCCTGCGGAGTTTCCCCATTGGAAGTGAGCCAGCGCTGGCTTCAGGCTGCCCTTTGAAGGGGCAGTCATGGGTGATGCTGCACCCTGAGGGAGATTCCCAGTGCAGCCACCACAGTGAGTGATCAGCCACTCATCGCCCTTCAGAGGGGACCCAGGCTGGGCATCCCTGGACCCTGTCCAGTGGTGGGGCTTCAGCCTCAGAATGCAGCAGAAACACAGGCAAACCTCATTTCATCGCACTTCACTTTGTTGTGCCTCACAGATACTGCATTTTTTTTACAAATTGAAGCTTCGGGGCAACCCAGCATCCACCAAGTCTAGTGGTGCCATTTTCCAACAGCATGTGCTCACTTCGAGTCTCTGTGTCACATTTCGGTAATTCTTATAATATTTCAAACTTTTTCATTATATCTTTATGGTGATGTGATCAGTGATTTTTGGCGTTACTGTTATGGAGTTGTTTTGGGCACCATGGACCATGCCCACATAAGACAGCGAACTTACTCGATAAGTGATGTGTATGTTCTGACGGCTCCACGGACCCACCGTTTCCCCCATCTCTCTTTCTCTCCCCAGGCCTACCTTTTCCCTTAGACACAACAATACTGAAATCAGGCCTTTTAGTAACGCTAAGTGACCTCTAAGTGGTCAAGTGAAAGCTAGAGTCGAACATCTCTCACTTTAAGTCAAAAGTTAGAAATGATTAAGCTTGGCGAGGAAGTCATGTCAAAAGCTGAGATAGGCTGAAACTTGTGCCAAACAGTTATCTAAGTTGTCAATGAAAAGAAAAGTTATTGAAGGAAATTAAAAGTGCTACTCCAGGGAACACACGAATTATAAGAAAGTGAAACAGCCTAATTGCTGATACGGAGAATGTTTGAGTGGCCTGGATAGAAGATCAAACCAACTGCAACATTCCCTTAAGCCAAAGCCTAATCCAAAGCAAGGCCCTAACTCTCTTCAACTCCGTGAATGCTGAGAGAGGTGAGGAAGCTAAAGGAGGAAAGTTTGAAGCTAGCAGAGGTTGGTTCGTGAGGTTTAAAGAAAGAAGCCATCTCTGCAACATAAAAGTACAAGGTAAAGCAGCAAGTGCTGATGGAAAAGCTGTAGCAAGTTATCCAGAAGATCTAGCTAAAATCACTGATGAAGGTGGCGACACTAAACAACAGATTTTCAGTGTAGACAAAACAGCCCTATATTGGACAATGATGCCATCTAGGACTTTCATAGCTAGAGAGGAGATATCAAGGCCTGGCTTCAAAGCTTTAAAGGACAGGCAGACTCTCTTGTTAGGGGCTAATGCAGCTGGTGACTCTAAGTGAAGCCAGTGTTCATTTGCCATTCCGAGAACCCTAGGGCTCTTAAGAATTATGCTAAATCTACTCTGCCTGTGCTGTGTAAATGGGACAACCACGCCTGCATGATAGCACACGTGTTTACAGCATGGTTTCCTGAATATTGTAAGTCCATTGTCAAGACCTACTGCTCAGAAAAAAAAGATTCCTTTTAAAATATTACTGCTCATTGCCAGTGTACTTGGTTATTCAAGAGCTCTGATGGAGATGTACAAGGAGATGAATGTTGTTTTCATGCCTGCTGACACAGCATCCATTCTTCAGCTCATGGATCGAGGATAGTTTAGATTGTCAAGTGTTCTTATTTTAAAAGTACATCTTTTTCTTTCTTTCTTTCTTTCTTTTTTTTCTTGAGATGGAGTTTCACTCTGTCGTCCAGGCTGGAGTGCAGTGGCATGATCTTGGCTCACTGCAACCTCCGCCTCCTGGGTTCAAGCCATTCTCCTGCCTCAGCCTTCCCGGTAGCTGGGATTACAGGCGCATGCCACCACGCCCAGCTAATTTTTGTATATTGTATATTTTTTTAGTAGAGACAGGTTTTCGCCATGTTGGCCAGGCTGGTGTCTAACTCCTGACCTCAAGTGATCCGTCCGCCTTGGCCTCCCAAAGCGCTGGGATTACAATCGTGAGCCACTGCGCCCGGCCAAGCAGTACATTTCAAAGGTTATAGCTGCCATAGATGGTGATTCCTCTCATGGATCTGGGCAAAGTAAATTGAAAACCTTTTGGAAAGGATTCACCATTCTAGGGCCATTATGAACATTTGTGATTCATGGGAGGAGGTCAAAATATCAACATTAACAGGAGTGTTGAAGAAGGTTCTTCCAATCCTCATGGATGACTTTGAGTGGTTGGTTCAAGACTTCAGTGTAGGAAGTCACCGCAGATGTGGTAGAAACAGCAAGAGAACTAGAATTAGAAATTGAACCTGAAGATGTAACTGAATTGCTGCAATCTTATGAGAAAACTTGAACAGATGAGGAGTTGCTCCTTCTAGATGGGCAAGAAAGTAGTTTCTTGAGATAAAAATCTCCTCCTGGTGAAGATGGTGGGAACATCATTGAAATGACAACAAAGAGTTTAGAATAGCACATAAACAGTTGATGAAGCAGCAGCAGGGTTTAAGAGGATTGCCTCCAATTTTGAAAGAAATTCTACTGTGGGTAAAATGCTGTCAAACAGCATCAAATGCTATAGAGAAATCTATCATGAAAGAAAGAGTCAATGTAGCAAACCTCATTGCTGTCTTATTTTAAGAAGTTGCCACAGCCACCCCCACCTTTAGCCACCACCACCCTGAGTAGTCAGCAACTATTCACATCAAGACAAGACCCTCTACCAGCAAATAAATTATAACTCCCTGAAGGCTCAGATGATCATTAACATTTTAGGGCAATAAAATATATATATATATATTTTTTTTTGAGACGAGTCTCGCTCTGTCACCTAGGCTGGAGTGCAGTGGCATGATCTCAGCTCACTGGAACCTTCGCCTCCTGGGTTCAAGCGATTCTCTGGCCCTAGCCTCCCTAGTAGCTGGGGTTGCAGGTGCCTGCCACCACACTGGGCTAATTTTCGTCTTTTTAGTAGAGACGGGGTTTCACCATTTTGTCCCAGCTGGTCTCAAACTCCTGACCTCAGGTGATCCACCTGCCTCAGGCTACCAAAGTGCTGGGATTACAGGCGTGAGTCACCGTGCCTGGACAAAGAAAATATTTCTTAATTAAGGTACTTACATTTTTTTAGACATAATGCTATCGCATACTTAATACGCTACTGTATAGTATAAATATAATTTTTACATATATTGGTAAACCAAAAATTCGGGTGACAGTTTATTGCAATATTTGCTCTATTGGGGCAGTCTGGAACCAAACCCACGAGTATCCCACAGGTATGCCTGTACCTGGAGGGCTGTTGAAACACAGATTGCTGGGCCTTACACCAGGAGCTCCAGGGTGAGGCCCCAGAATCTCTAACAAGTTCCAGGTGAGGCCAGTACCACTGGCCCAGGTTCACACTTCGGGAGTCCCTGCACACTAGCCCCACACACAAGTGTCAAAGGTGCTCAGTTGGGAAAGACATCAGCTCCTAAGCTGGCCTCACAGCCGTGCCACCCCAGCTCCTTCCTTCCATGAACTCTGTGACACTTGGTTCTACCTGGGAGAACCCCATCTCAACCCGCGTAACTGCCTGTGGGATCCCAGGAAATCAGAAGGCCCCAGGGAGAACCGAGCAGTTTCTGCTGGCTGGGCTGAGCCAGACCATGATGTCAGCCCTCAGGGAAGAGGCGAAGGCAGCAGTGCTCCCGGAGCTGGCCATCCTGAGGCCATACCTGCAGCTCCCCAGGTGCTCGCGCACGCTCCTCTGAGCATCTGCACTCATCCTCGCCCTGCCTGCAGCTCCTGGTCGCCTCTGAGCTCCTGAGCCTGCTTCAGCCCTTCCACAGGACTTACCCAGCCCTCCCCAGCCCCCTGGCCTCCAGTGCAGCCCCTGACAGCACTCCTGCTGTGGGTCTTCCCTGCAGAGTGGGTGCTGCACCTAGATGGAAGAGGTGAGGAGGAAGCACACGCCTCCCTAATTCGAGCCAGCGTGGCCCTGGGAGAAAAGTAGAAGTGGGACTTCTGGTAGGAGAACTGGGAATCATTTACTTATTTTAGAAGACGTATGAGCAAGCCACCATCTAGAGGAGAAAGGGGATGAAATTAGCGAAGGCACTAAAATACTTTGGTTTACTCTGATTAGAGCGGAAGAGAAATCTGCAGACAATTAGCAGCAAGTAAAGATCTTGCTATAGAAATAAGGAAGTAGTATGGGTAAGCGAAGGCTGTGCTGTTAGTTTCAACAGGCTGCACGTGAAAGCAGACACATGCCATGCCCAGCTGGGTCAGCCGAGTCGGCCCAGCCGCCAGCCTATCTTGTCTGTGCACCGTCCCGGGTGTGGTGAGCCCCTGGCCCCATGCCTGACTGCACACCTGCCGCGGCCACTTCTGCCTGGAGGAGGCTGTACTTGTCCTCAGCAACCTGCCCTCAAGAGGCGCTTTTTCTCATTGGCATGAAAGCCCTATACACGCTACCAGGTGGTGGTGAGGAAGGCTCTCTGATCCTAAAATCCCATGATTGCCTTAAATAAGTATTTGAAGTACCAACCTGTGAGAATCCGCAGAGGTGATGTCTGAGCATGCAGGGTGGCCTTGGCTGGTCTCGAGTGTTATGGAGATGCCCTGAGCACTCCGCAGGGCCTGTGTTGAGCTGCCAAGGTGTTTTCAAGCAAATGGAAGGTGAGAGTTGGGCTCAGGAGCCAGGAGGTTGTGAGCCCTGCTACCTGCAGGTGCTGCCCGGTTCTCCCTGCCATGCCAGACCCAGGTGCATGTGTCTACGAAGACTGGCTCGCCACTGAGTGCAGGGGACGCCATCCAGCTCAGCCAGGAGACTCTGAACTGGCAGTCCTGACAGGACTCAACTCACAGACGTTGGTGAGAAACAGGGTAACAGGCGATGCCACTGTGGCTGCAGGGGGCAGCGGCAGAGACCCTGAGAGGTGGGAGGGAGGCAGGTTGGGAAGGGCCGGTCTCGGCACAAATTGCTCTTCAGTGTGGTCCCTCCAAGGCCTCCTCTTGAGTACCTCAGAGAGGACAGCAGATGCAGTTGACCCCCACCCGGGCCAAGGCCCACCCAACACGAGCCGCATGCCAGAAAACAGACCCAGCACATCCATCTGCTTTTGGTGTCCCCTACGAGGCACCCAGAGGAAAAAAAGTAGGCAGAGAAGAGATTTTTCAAAGTGAAGCTAGGCTTATTTACATTCCAGTTCCCCCAGCAACCTACACCTAGAGGCCGAACTTAAAATAGAGATCAGAGTGAAGGATTACTCATCAACAGAACGAACTTAAAATTTAAGATGAAGAGGCCAAGTGCACTAGTGCCCTGGTGCACGTCAGGGCAGCATCTCCCTACGCGTTGGCCACACCGGGCCTGTGCTTGGAGTGAGGAGCCAACATACCCCATTCAGGACCCCAGCCTCCCCGGGCCACACCTCTGTGCAACTGCAGCTCTCATCTTGCCCAAGCCCTGCCCCAGCTGTGCCCCAGGCCGCGCTGACAGCTCCAGCAGCCCAGCCCTGGCCCTACCCCTGAACATGCGTGACCATGGACAGAAGCTCCATCCCCTCGAGCTTTTGTGTCCGCAGCTGTGAAACATGTGCAAGAAGGCCACAGACAGCCCTGGGGAGGAAGCACGTTGCACAGGGCCACCCGAGCAGAGGTAGCCCTGCTAGGGGTTCCATGCTCCCAGGCCACCAAGCTCCACGCTGTGCAGGGAGCCTGCAGTAGCCTGGAGGGAGAAGTGGCCCAGCCCCAGTCAGCGGGTGTAGCCGCAGCCAATCCACGGAACAAGGCCTCCACAGAGCACAGCCCACCCCACACAGGCCACTGAGCCCCTAGCTCTGCACCTTGCCTACCAGCCCAGGAGCAGGAGGGAGAGGAGTCCGTGAGCTGTGGTCAGCAGCTAGGGCGTGTTCTGAGCCTGCCTTGGCAGCTGATGAGCCCCCCACTCCAGAGGAAAGGCAGCCCCGGACCCCAGAACCAACTAAAAGGAGCTGTTGGTGCGGCCTGAGTTGCATACTGTTGCCCATGGCCAGGAGCCAACCCGGCTGCGCATTCTGCATGTGGCCACTGAAGCAAACTGTTTTGACACCATAAAGCAACAGATGAGGCTAACTTAAGCAGGATTTACACTCAATTGTATTTCTCTGAGAGCAGGCACATCAATTTGTGCGTCATTGTTACTGATTCACAAGCCTTCCACGGATCCAAGTCCTCCCTGCACTCTTCCTCTCCTCTTCTGCCTTCCTTTGCCTCAGCCCAGGCTGTGTGGAAGCCACCCTCCTCTCCTCTCCCCTTCTCTTTCTTCCTCTGTCCTCTCCCCGTCCTCTCCCATCCTCTCCCCATCTCCTCCTCCTCCCTCCTCCTCCCTCCATCTCTCTCATCCCCTTTCTTTCACCTCTCCCCGTTCTCCTCTCCTCCCCTCCAGCTTCCCTGCACAATACACAGGTACGTGTTGGCTGCAGTTGTTTGTCATTTTCACTGGACTTTTCCCTTAGTGGTATTTCCTCTATGGTGATGGGAACAGAATCACACCCTGGTTTCTCTCCATTTGTCACCTAGACATAGCATTGAAACTGTGAACGTGGTGGGGTGGCGGGGTCCTCTCCTGATGATTTTGTGTATCCTCCTGAAGCCCAGAGTTGGTCCTAATTTCACTGTCAGTGTTCACCATTTCAAACAGGGAAAGAAACAAAGATGCCAGCCACAGTTGGAGCCCACAGCATGTCCCTAGGAGGAGGGCATGAGGGACACCTATCAACAAAGGAAATAGCCAAGGTCATTGAATGAGGGCAGAGGGCCTTGCTATGTAGGATTAGGATGTTCGAAAAGGGGGGCAGATTTCATATTAAGGCCAAGAAACTTTTAATCTCTACAAGGTTCTCCTGCTATTCCAGAATATTCCACACTGGTTCTTTTTTCCTGCTTGAGCCCTCGTGAGCTGCATTCTGTTTCTGTTTTCACTTCTAAGTGGGGTTCCTCCAGCATCAGGAGGGTGCAATGGTGGGGTCTATGAGCTTCCCTCATATCCCCAGAGATGCACTGTGTGCACAAGCCGCTGGATAGGGTCAGCATCCCCACCCAGCAGCCTGCACTGGTGTGAGGTCCACCAGATCACTCTTCATTAACATTCATCTTTGGTCTCTTAGTGAACTGAGGCCTCCACCAGCTTCCGTGGCTGAATCTTGTGAGCAAATAAAATAATCTGGTATGTTCTCTCCCTCCGTTCAAAACCAACCTTCCCCAAATCCCAAAAGTAGCAGAGCACTTTTGTAAGTATTATCCAATCTTTACAAGGAAAAGATATAGGTATAGTTAAGTATTTTATGAGAGTAGCTTGGCCCATGGGCTGAGTTAGAGGCACAGCATCTAAACCCTAAGCTGGGATTTTCACCACTAAATTTGCTCTTTCCTTATTTGCAAATAAGACTTAAAATTAAGGCTGGTGTAATCCCAGCACTTTGGGAGGCTGAAATGGGAGGATTGCTTGAGACTAGGAGCTCAAGACCAGTCTGGGCAACATAGTGGGACCCCATCTTTACAAAAAATAAAAAACTTAGCCAGCATGGCGGTGCACACCTGTGGTCCCAGCTGCTTAGGAGGCTGAGGTGGGAGGATCACTTGAGCCCAGGCCATTGAGGCTGCAGTGAGCTATGCTTGTACCACTGCACTCCAGCCTGGGTGACAGGGTGAGATGCTGTTTCAAAAAAAAAAAGGTCAAGTAATTAACCATAGCACAATTACTGCAAGGAAGTGTGCAACCACAGTTTTCTAACTTAACCACCTTTCCCTTAAAAAGGGCCTCTGAGGTCTCTTCCACCTCTGGTTGATTGGATAAGCCAGGCAGGAAAACCAGGCCAGGTTATATTAAGTGAGGAAAACCCAGCCCAAGAATAGCTTAGCTCACCCTCAGTTTTCCCTAAGGTTTCCCTTGCTCAGAGCATCAGACTTTAGAAGAGGAAAACACTGGAAATCCAAAGAGCTGGCCCTGGGATGCAGTTCAGAGAGTCCTTGAGGGCTTTGGGGTCACTGGGCCTTAGGGAGCTGCCTTCCTATCTGTCAGATGGGCAGGTGGAATCCTCCTAAGGCTGTGGGTGACAGGCACACCCCTCCCCTGCAGGCAGCTCCCCGAAGGCTCCCTGCCTCGTGGGTTTGTTATGAGGAGTGAGCTGGGGAGGGTGTGTGAGGCCTCTGTAAACTGCAGAGCCCCCATAGACTCTAGTGGGTCTTTTTAGGTTGGGTTCCTCCAAAGACAACCTCCCCCCAGGAATGCCGGCCGGTCCCCTATCCCCAGGAGGGCTCCCACTGACACTGGCCCCATGCTTTGCCCGCAGGTACCTGGCGCTCTACGCCTACAAGCCCCAGAAGAGTGACGAGCTGGAGCTGCACAAGGGAGAGATGTACCGGGTCCTCGAGAAGTGTCAGGATGGCTGGTTCAAGGGGGCGTCTCTGAGGACCGGGGTCTCTGGGGTGTTCCCCGGAAACTACGTGACACCCGTTTCCAGGTGAGGGCATGGTGGTGGCAGCCTGGGCAAGGAGAGGGCAAGGGCCTGCACGCCTTACCGCTGTTGTTACTGCTGGAGGCTACTCTGTCAGCCGGGCCCAGAAGGCAGCAAGGCCACCAGTGCCCAGGGTTCAGCCCCCACTGGCGTCCCCAGGCCCACATTTCACCTTCTGAGCTGGGTTTGCACTCAACTCCTTGGCTGTCCTCAGCAGACATTGGCCACCAAGGGGAGAAGAATGGGATCAGGAGGAGCAGGGACAGGAAAGTCACCAGAATGAGGTCTCAAGTGTGAATGTGTGTTTGTGTGAGGACAGTGTGTGCACATATATACAGTGTGTTCAGCGTGTATGCTATGCGTGTGCAGTGTGTGCACGCTTCTGTGTGCTTGTGTGCATGGTATTTGTGCATGTGTGCAGAGTATGTGCAGTGTGCGTGCCTGTGCACGTGCGTATGCATACTGTAAGCACAAGGTGTGTGCGTGTGTGCATAATGTAGGTACAGCATGTGTGTATGCAGTGTGTATGCATGTGTGTGCAGTGTGTGTCATCATATATAGACGTGTGATATGTAAAACACTATATACATATATGCAAAGGAAAAATGATATCTTCCCAAAGGTCAACGATTGTTGAGTGGTCGCATTGTGGTAATATATTTTTTTCTTTGTGTTGTCAGTGTTTAATAAGTTCTCAGTTCTACTACTTTTATCAAATAGAATATGTAATTTTAGAGTCACTGAAGAGACAAGGGGGTTGTCTGGGAATTTTTCGCTGAGATGAGGATCCACAGCTTGGTGATATCAGTCAGCCTCACTCACAGAAGCCCCTCGTGGGCACGGCCCTGTGTTGACACTGCAGGACACACACACAGAAGCGAAAGACGTGGCCTTGGGTTTCTCCTGTCTTTGGAACAAGGCTACAGTGGAAATAAATAACCTGTAGACCCTGCATTGATTGCTGGGCTGATTGCTACTTGCAGAGTGGTCTCGGGACACATGCGGTGTTGACTTGAGCAGCTCTAGTTCGCAAGGCAATCTTCAGCCAGGGCCTCTCTCGAGGTGCCCAGAAGCGGGGGCTAAGGGATGATGGAGTTGCCCAAAGCCTGAAAGGTCTGCAGGCACAAGGCTGAAGGGGCAGTTAGAGATCCTTCGCTCAGGTGATGCTCAGCAGGGAAAAGCTTGAGAAGCAAACTGCAGAGGGGCTTCAGGAAATGCACCCCCTCAAACCCAGCCACCTGGTCAGAGGGGTGGCTACTTAGAGGGTGAGCTGCCCACAGCCTCCTGCGGCTTCTTCAGTGGTGTGGGGTGACTTGCCCAGTGTGCGCAGCCCCGAAGAAGGTCTCTGGTCTGGATTTCCCATGCCAGTAGGAACAGGTTGGCTCTCTCAGCCTGCAACCGGCCTGTGCTTGAAGCCCCTGGCCTGGAGTTGGGCTCACCTGTCGTGTCATCAGATGGCTCTTCCAGGAAAGCACAGGTCACCCCTCTAGGTTAGGGGACTCCCTGACCAGCTGGCACCCTCCAGGAAGGCGCAGCCTGAGATGGCGGGTGTCCACACCTCTGGGCTCGCCCGCCCTGCTGGGGGACATCACTCTGTCACACGCCCTACTGTTATATGAGGAGGCAGGTTCTTCCTCCATGCAGCAGGTTAGAGCAGCAGCTTCTGAGGGAGGCCATCGGCTTCCCAGTTTCCAGTTTCTCTCCTCTGATTCTTCCTTTATCTTTACCTGAGAACTTCCGCAGACCTTCAGAGATGTAAAGCCTGCGGTTGAAATCCAGCTTCCTTGCGTAGCATTGGGACATCGCCTGGCCGGGCAACTCCTGACGTGTGTCAGTCAGTGTCACCACAGGGAGCTCTCTTAGGCGCCTCCCACCCCCACAACACTGGACTGCCTTCCACCCTCTTCCTGCTTCTGAGTTAAATCCCTGAATATCCTTCAAGAGCTGGGTCCTAAGTCCACTTGCTATATGAAGCCTTGCCTGGAGGCCCTCATCCTTGCCTGTGCTGTAGTCGGGATGGACAGCTCTGCCCACGGTGTCATCCCAAGCAGCCCACTGGCAAGTTCTACAGGCATTCAGGATCCCCCCTCACAGGCCAGTCCCTGGGCCGCAATAGCCATCTCCAGCCTTGTTTACCTGGCTCCTTGCATACCATGTTCATATACGAGGTGCTCAATAAATGCAGATCGAATCAATAAAAGAAATCTAGTTGTTCTGATCAAAATGTCTCCTCAAGAACTGTCTTCTCCTGCTGCCAGGGAGTTTGTTATGGGAAGATCCTCCAGCTCCTGACACTGGAGCACTTAGAGTGGCCCGGTCCCCTCCCTCTACCTCTGCTGTGCACCTCATGGTTGCTCACTCTCCTCAAGCCCTCTTGGTCTGTGTTTTCCAAAGAATGGCAGAGCCAGGAATAAACATTAAGGAAAAGCCACTCCAAATCTAGCCCCGGTAACTGCAGTGTCAGGAGGTCATTGAGTGTCCTCTCCGGTTCCTTAGAGAAGGAACTGCGCCCGGGTCGGCTGCCCCCAGGTCAGTATGTTGAAGGCCATGGGTCCCTCAGTCCAATCCATAGCTCAGCACAAAACAGGAAATCTGGCCTCGGTCTTTATCCCCAGAAGTGGAAGACACCTGTCCCCCTCCAAAGCTGTGCCCCCAGGACTTATACTTTCTTGATCCCTACTGGGTTCAGGACAATTGCCAAAGCCACACAGCAGAAGGCTTATCTGGCAGTGATTGGAGGGTAGGCGAAGGCCTACTCCTTCCTGCATAGACCTGGATCCACCACCTGTGTTTGCCCCCATCGTGCTAGGAGGCCCTGAAGTGCTGGTGGGCTCTCGGGGCTGGGAGTATAGTGCTCAGAGCTGAGCATTGTGAGTCCATTTAAAAACCTGGTGTGGGAGCAGGTATGTGGCTCTTCCCGTGAGGGCACGCACTAAGGAAGTAGGACTAGCCAAGGGTATCTCTGCCATCCTGCCATGAGGGCAGAGGGAAAGGGTTTTCTGCTGTCATGAGAGGCAGATGTGTGTCTGTATCTGTTGTGTTCAGACTTGTCAATATCACCTTGCAAATTAGTGACTCATCATTTGTGAGCCCACTTTATTTAGTTTTTAAAAATGATTTCCTCGGGGAAAAGTGAGCTCAACAGATGATAGAAAATGGGATTTTTAAATTCATGGTTTTGGCTGACCTGCTAACAAGCTTGATTGCTGGGTGAAGTTCAGCACAGCTCTGAGGGCTGGGGAAGGAGGACACCACCCAGGGTCCCCTAGCAGGTGAGTCCTTTTCCAAGAGGCCCCTCTCCTCTCAGCTGCTGTGCAGAAACCCTCACTCTGTGTTGCCGGGAGCTTCCCTGCTAGAGGTCGTGCCCAGTGATACCAGCCACAGGGAGATGGCTGGACCAGGCACAGGAGACGGGGCAGGCAGCCTGTTCTCCCACCTGTGGCTTCTTGGTGTGTCTTGAAATAAGATCCTGAAGGGACAGAAACAGGAATTTACCCAGCTCTTGGACAAATGGAAGACATTTAATTCCCCTGAAACTGAATCCACAGAAGCTTCCAAACCCCTAACTCTGCCATATTTCACATCGCTGCCTCCAGGACATGGATTAATTGCAAATACACAGAGGGAAAGCGTGAAAAGCCCCATTTCCAGAGTGTTCCTCTTGTGTGAGCTGATGTCATCTGGAAACTTCGGAGTGAAAGGGCATCTATTTCTGGTATGGAACTGCAAGCTCCCAGACATTCTCAGAAGGATGTCGTGCTGTGTGTGCCCTTTCCCAGCAGCCAGCAGATGCGAGGTGGCAGTCGTGCCCAGAGGGGGCCCGCGTCCTTGCCATCCTTTCCCCAATGTGCTGGATGTGTCAAGGCCTCGCGGGACATGACTGAGTCATCTGTTCTTTCTGGATGTATCTGGAGACACACAGCTGTTTGTAAGAACAAATTAAGGCAGTAGCTGTGGTATAAAAGATTTCGTTCAGCTCATTCCTCTGTTTCTCAGGGCGGCTTTGCTATCTCTTAAATATTTCACACTGACAGTTTGCACCCCATGAAGGTTTTGTAAACAGGGCCCTTCTGCCCAGTGACGGGCATTGTTTTAGGACCTCGTCCCCAGATCAGTTGGCCTTCATCTCTTAAAGCCAGCAGGTCAGAGCGAGGCTCTGCCAGAGGCCCACATGGCACGAATGCCTCTGAGCCTCTCATCAGAATTCCTTCTGCTTTCTCTCCACAGGGTGCCTGCAGGAGGGGCAGGGCCGCCCCGGAATAATGTAGTCGGAGGGTCTCCACTGGCCAAAGGGATAACCACAACCATGCACCCAGGCAGTGGGAGTCTGAGCAGCCTGGCCACTGCCACCAGGCCCGCCCTGCCCATCACCACTCCCCAGGCCCACGCCCAGCACCCCACAGCCTCGCCCCCAACAGGCAGCTGTCTACGGCACTCAGCCCAGCCAACGGCCAGCCAAGCCCGGAGCACCATTTCAACAGGTACCTTCACAGGGGCCTCACCCTGCAGGGCATCAACAAGGGGGCTTCCTGGGACATGCTTGTGAGACACATCTTGGCCCAAGGCTCCAGCAGTGCATGTGTGGCTGGTGGCAGCTTCATGGCAGCTGGAGAAACTTAAGGAAAACCGGTTTGGCCCCAGAATGTTGTGAGATGAAAAGAAATTATGGGGTGGGCCTTAAAGGCATAAAGAAGGTAAGCACATCTTGTCATGCTCGTGAACGTCTGATCTCCAGGAAGTTCACTTGCCTTATCATGTTACCCATCCTGGCAGCTGAAGTAAATTTACAAATATTTACACATTTCATTGTGGCAAGAGGGCCTCATAGACTAATAAGATTAACACCGGCACTTTCAAATGCCTCCCCCATGAATGATTGTGGGCCGGCCACGTGGGTCTTCCATCTGCCGGGCCCTGCAGGGCTTCCCAGCTAGGCGGCATCTCACAGGACAGGGCTGGGGTGAGACTCGGGCCCAGGCTCTTCCCTTTCTGAAGTGCTCTGAGGCAGGAGGAATGACAGCTGTTGATCCTTCGCCTTCATGGCAGCTGGAGAAACTTAAGGAAAACCGGTTTGGCCCCAGGATGTTGTGAGATGAAAAGAAATTATGGGGTGGGCCTTAAAGGCATAAAGAAGGTAAGCACATCTTGGTTGGTGGCTTAGTGTTGAGCTAATAAGAACTGCTGATGCTGGATTCGCAGGATGATCTGGGAGCCCATGCCACGGCGTCTTCCACCACGGTGGAGCCAGTGATGCTGACATGATGCCAAGTACCCCAGGACAAGAGGGGATAACACAGAATCTCTCTTCCCACCCCAACCCTGTCCTCTCAGAAATCATCTGTTTTTCTCAAAGTGAGGCTTAAAGGGCAAAAATAATGTAAATTCATGGAAGCAATAAAATATACTATTTCTTAGACTAACGAACACGATGACCCATTAGAAGTGTCCAGAAAGCAGCTTCTCAAGTGTGGAAAGAGGAGACAACACTTAGGTCAGCAGAGGCCATATTTCCTTCCTTATCTTAGCTGATGGGACAAGGGGTGGGAGGTAAGTGTCTGTCATCCACTTGCCCACCCAAGTGGGTGCAGGGTAGACTTCAGGTATCCAGTGCCCAGCATCGTCACTGGGTGCAGGTGGACTTTGAGTGCCTGGTGTCTGGCACCATCAGCAGGTATAGGGTGAACTTTGGGTGCCCAATGTCTGGCACCATCAGTGGGTGCAGGTGGACTTCAGGTGCCCAGTGTTCAGCCTTGTGCTGGTGGTGTACCTGTCAAGCAGTGGGTAATTTAGCACTAGGAAAGCTTCATGGGTGGTCTGAGGACTACCCTGGTGTCAGAGCCTTCAAGACCTACTCTGCCATCTCAGATTCTGTAAGTCTCTACTAGTATCTTTTTTACTTAAATCAGCTAAGAATGATTCTTGGTTTTCACACCCCTGGCTCCAGGGCCCTGGGAAAGAATCTGCAGCAATATTACCTGGTGCCCAAGCCCACCCTGCAACCCATGACCTTCTGATCAGCCGTCCTTCAGCATGGTTTACGTGGATCTGTGTTTTCTGGTAGCCTCTAGCTGGGGATACAGTCATTGCAGTTGGCAAGTGATCTGGTGATCTGAAGTTGTGCTCCCTGACTGGTCAGAGGCAGCCAATATGCTGATCTGTTTGGCCACTGGAGCACCCAGGCAGGACCAGGGGAGCAAAAGTCCCAGGCCAGGTCCCTTCTGGTTATAAACATCTCATCCAATCAGCCCGGTGTTCTGTACAAATGTTTCCACATGCACCAGCACTAGAAAGGGTGAGTGGCCCCACTCATCACGGTGAGTCAGCATCCCAGTGCAGTGGCCCTGGGTTGTCTGCCCAGAATAGCCAGTATAATGGTCTTTCCACACCAAGCCTTGCTAGAAACGTTCCCAATTCAAAGAAGAAATGGAGCCCTGCCAGTCACTTCTCCCTCTGTGGAATAACAAGCAGGATCAAAAGAAATTGGCAAGGCTGTGGGGCAGTGCAACATTGTGTCTCAGTCCTCCATCACCATAGTAACCATGAGGGTGCCACGAGCATTCTCTTCCATCAGTTTAATGTTACACACGGGGAGAGTGAGGCACGGGATGGTTAAACGGCTCCCCAGTGCATCCCAGCCCAGCACTTGTCCCCACGCTATTGCTGTCACAGCCAGGTTAAAGAATGACTCCTACTGAGCCATATCAGTAAATTAAATGCCACTGAGTTCCTGCGGCATTTTCCACTTCATTCTGCATTTAGAGAGAGAAAAAACACTGTTGACAGTCCAAGTAATGGATTGTTCCCTGCAGTAATTGCCCATTTCAGCAGACCCCAACCCCGATGGGTGGGAGGCATTTCATCAATGTTCTCATCTCGAGCCAAAGTCAGGCAGTTTGACAAAGGCTTAATTGCATTGGCCATAGCATCCAATATGATTTGTTCTACTTGATTAATGTAACTCCTTTCCCAAAGGCAGAGCACCCCCTGTAAAGTGCCAGTGTTCCTTGCACACTCCTGTCTGTGCTTAGCAGGAGTAAGAGCCCAGCATAGCCATGAATTCATCAGCAAAAAAGCACCGAGAAGGAGCTAGATACAGGCAAGGCACCCTGCAGGGGTCTGGAAACAGAGGAAAACCAGACAAGCCCCATTTCCACCCCGGTTAGAGAGAATGACTAGAAAACAAAGTTCTGTGGTGGGTTTGCTAAAGGGCTGCAAAAGAGGCCTGCTTAGGTATTAAGAGAGTGTGGAGGAGGGAATTCATTCCGACTGGGGAGGAAAATAGGAGGGGGATTGGGAGTAGGGCATATGGAAAGTTTTCAAGAGGAGGTGATAATGCCTTGAATCTTAAAGGACAAATAGGAAGTGTCTGAGCAGACAAAAGAGAAAGGAGGTTCAGAGCAGAGGAACCAGCATGAGCAATGGCCTGGCAATGAGGAATAGCATAACTCTTGTTTTGGGGAACTTTATTTAGTTGTGACATGACTGAAGCAAAGCTATGGAAGAAGGAGAAGTCCAGTGTGTAGATGACAGTTCCCTGCAGAGGCATACTGTCCTTTAAATCTGAAAGGTGGGTAGAGCTCAGCATGCAGCAGTAGGAGAGTGTGGGAAGCACTCAGGAAGGGGAAGCATGGGGAGCTCTTGGGCCGCCGAGGCCAGGGGCCCATGGACGCTGGAATACGGATAGGGTGCGGGAGCAAAGAAAGACCCGCAGTGAAGCCGAAAAGCTAAGCAGAGCAGAGCATGGAGGTTCTTCTAGACCACGTAAGGAATTTAGATGTTTATCCTAAGGGGGCACATCAAAGGGTGTTGAATAATAGACATAGTCATATTTTTGTATTTAAAAGATTGAGCTAGACTTCTGCTTATGGCCAATCTGAAGTGATGAGGACAGGAATTACTCTCCCACATGAAACAAATTTAAAAAGCCAAGTATATAAAACAACAGTTTTCAAGACACCAGACAACCAAGGACTGATTCATGAGAGAAGTTGCAGGCAGTGGCAAAAGGAGGCAGGTAACCAGGTGGAGGAGCCCCGAGGATGTGGAGATCAGAGTTTGTGTGACAGAGAGGGCTTGAGTTTCCAGGGCAGTGACCAGAGAGGAGAGAACAGCACAGAGAGGCTGCAGAGCACGCCCTGAGATCTTCAGGTGACAACTCATCTGCATATGAACATGAGAAACGTACCCAAAGCCAGGAAAAGAATCAAAGAAAGAAAGGATTAGTGCTAACAGTGCCCAGAATACACACCAGCTGGAAATAGTGCCTGTTCCCACCAGCCAGACGGAAAAATTGCAGAAATCACCAGGCATTGAGTAATCTACACAGGACCTTGCCTCTGTAGTGGTCAGACTGAGCACTGTTCCAATTTCACCCAACAGAGCTCAAAAACAACACTCAAGAGTCAAACTATTTCTGATTAATTTATCTTTGTCCCAGAACAAAGCTTAAGAATATTTATAGGAATACAAAAAAAAAAAAAATTCCAGCTCTCAACAACATAAAAATCACAATGTCTGATGTCCAATAAAAAATTATGAGGCATGCAAAGGAGCAGGAAAATATGACTTATAATGAAGGGATCAGTCAATCAATCAAAACTGACCCCAAATTGACATAGATGTTGCAAAGACATTTAAAAATGATATTACAGTTGCCTTTCACATACTCAGAAAGTTAAGTAGAGACATAATAGACCCAAATCACACTTCTAGAAATAAAAACTACAGTGTGTGAGATCAAGAATATACTAGATGGAATTAATGGCAGATTAAACATTGCTGAAGAAAAAATATTTGTAAACTTGAAGATATAGTAATAGAAGCCGTGGAAAGTGGAACACAGAGATAAAAGACAATTTTGAAAAATGAATGGAATCCGTGAGCAATGGGACAACTTTAAGTGGCCTAATATACGTGTAATTGGAGGTCTCCAATGTAGAGGAGAGAGGTAGGACAGAAAAATGATTTGAAGAAATAATGACCAAAATTGTTCCAAATTTGATGAAAACCACAAACACAGTTTCAAAGACAGTTGGTGAACACCAAGCACAAGAAACATGAAGAAAACTGTAACAAGGCAAATCACAATCAAACTGTTCAAAATCTCTCATAAAGAAAACACTGAAAACAGCCAGAGGACAAAAAGATACATTACATGAAATAGAAAAAAAGATAAGGGTAAGGATGATGTCAAGAACAGTTCAAGTGAGATGACAGAATAACCAAAAAACATACTGAAAGAAATATAGCTGTCAATCTAGTACTCTACTCCCAGCAAAAATATCTTTCAAAAAAAAAGCAAAATAAAGAATTATTCAGAAATAGTAAAACTAAAAGATTTTGTCTCTAATAAATCCACACTATTGGCCAGGCACAGTGGCTCACGCCTGTAATCCCAGCACTTTGGGAGGCTGAGACGGGTGGATCACGAGGTCAGGAGATTGAGACCATCCTGGCTAACACAGTGAAACCCCGTCTCTACTAAAAACACAAAAAATTAGCCAGGCGTGTTGGCGGGCGCCTGTAGTCCCAGCTGCTCAGGAGGCTGAGGCAGGTGAATGACATGAACCTGGGAGGCAGAGCTTACAGTGAGCCGAGATCGTGCCACTGCACTCCAGCCTGGGCAACGGAGTGAGACTCCACCTCAAAAAAAAAAAAAAAAGAAAAAATCCACACTATTAGAAAGGTAAAAATGAAATTATTTAGAAAGAAGGCAGATGATACCAGATGAAAATGAAGATCTATACAAAGGAATGAAAAGCACTGGAAATGGTAACTACATAGATAAATATATAAGATGTTTTCTTATTATTTGAATATCTTTAAAATATAATTGACTGTTTAAACAAAAGTGAAAGCAATCTAGTTTGGGATTTAAAACTCAAAAGCAAAATGTACAATAAACAAAAACACAAAGTTTGGGAAGGGAGAAGTGGAAGTTTGGTATACTACTGTAACATTCTTATACTATGAATCTTTATGTTATGAAATCATTTGTAAATGACTATAATAAAATAAAGATGTAAGCAGTCACTAAATATGAAACAAAAAGTTACAGCAAATAAGCTAAAAGGGAATAAAAAGGAATCATGAAAACATCCAAAAGAAAGCATTAACAGAAGGGAAAAGAAACAATACATGGGTCAAAGAGAAAACATATAGTAGGATGGTAGGTTTAAACCTAATCATGTAAGTAATCACACTAAATGTAAATGGCCTAAATAACCCTAAATATAATTCAGAGATTGTCACATATTACTAAAAACAAACAAAAAACCAACGATATGCTGTGAGTAAGAAACATACTTTAATACTTCAAGTCTAAAGACATAAATAAGCTAAAAGTGAAGGGATGGAACAAGTTATACACATTCTCATTATTCATGGTAGTTACATTCTATGAAGTTATCATGAACACTGAATTTGTGAATACTGAACTATTGCTTCTAGGTGAAATTGTGTGTGGCATGCGTGCATGGGTGTGTACACATATCTCACATAAATTATCATCTTATTCTAGTAGATTCTATTTTATTTATTTGACAAAAGAGAAAATGAGGTTCAGAAGGATTAAGTGGCTGACCTGAGGCTGCCCTATTAACAGGTGCCAGAGCTGGGATTCAAATACTGTCCAACTGGCCTCAGAGCCAAAACTTTCTGCATTGTACTGTGTTGCCCCCTATCGGCTCTATCCTCCTGTCATCTCTGTGTGACGCTGAAACAAAAATCGCCTTGTTCAACCTCAGCTGGGAATATGAGTGTCAGGCAACTCAAATTTTTGCCATTCCATGAATGTCTGAAAATAACTGAAAGCACCACAGATAATGACTTGGGGGTTACAAATCGTTTTTCACTAGTAGAAGAATTTGCAAATACAGAATCTGCCAATAATGAGAATAGATTATATGATGCTAATATTAATCAAAAGAAAGCTGGAGTGGTTATCTTAATCAGATAGAGCAGAATTTATAAAAATTATTAGAGATAAAAAGGCAATTTCGTAACAATAAAGGGGTCAGTTCATTTAGAGGACATAACAGTTCTAAATATTTATACACCAAGTAACAGAACTTCAAAATACATAAGCAATATGGATAAAGGTACAAGGAGAAATAAACAAATCTACAATTATGGTCAGAGACTTTCATGTCTCAATAATTGATAGAACAGTTAGATATAAAATGGTAAAAATTTAAAACATTAGAACAACAGTATAATCAACTTGACTTAGTTGACGTTTGTGAAACATTCTACCCAACAACAGCAAAATGCACCTTCTTTTCAAGTGCACACAGAACATTTACTGAGATAGATTATGTACTGGGCCATGATATTTTTAAGTTTCAGCACATTTAAAGGGATTCAAGTCATGGAAACTACATTCCCTGACCACAGTGGCATTGAATTAGAATTCATTAATACAAATAATAACAAATATTTGATATACTCAAATATTTGAAAACTAAACAGTTTACTTCAAAATAACCCATATATTAAAGAACAAATCAAAAGGGATATTATAACGCATTTTGAGCTGAATGAAATGAAAAAGAACAGTGAACTTGGGAAGCTAACACTGATTTAGAGACTTCTTAAAAAATACAGTAATTAAGTTTATGTGATGTTGTTGTAAAGATGTTTGTTTTTAATATTTAAAAAGTCAACTCTGTGGGTCTATATAAAATGGAACACACAATAGCCAAGTGCTGAAGCACTGGCCTACTGGCTGTAGGATAAAAAGCAGGCCTTGTTGGGTGACTTTCAACTCCTGCAGGAGAATATGGACAGGAAGCCCCTGTGAGAATCAGGGGACCAGAGCTAGGTGTGCCAGTTCTAAAAATTCCATCATTTTCCAGGGGATGGGCCATACTAAGCCTCCACCTGGGGTGTGAGAGAAAGAAGAGAGAGCCCCAACCCTGGTCATGGTGCTGAGTTTGAGGATGGCTCTGGCCTGAGGACTAGGACTAGCTCAGCACCCTCTCTGCAGGACCAGAACTCCAAGAAGCCCATTAAACCTAGTTCTAAGGGAGGGTCCTAGAGGCCAAGCAGCACTAACAACAGAACTGCCAGACCCAGAAAAGTAGACAAAGAGCCGCAAGCTCAGGGTGAGCTGGCACATTAAGATTTCAAAACACAAAAGGGAAACTCACACATAAGTTAGCCAATAAACTCAAGAGATAGGAGGAAAATAAGGGAGAAATCTGAGAGCATCTTTGAAATCAGTATGTTTAAGATCTAAGAGGAAAAGAAGGAATAACATATACACACACAAAAAAGAAAAACAGGAAGCTATGAAAAAATAGGTGGATGGCTATGAATCAGAAACAACTGGATATGAAAAAGAACCAATTTGAAATTTTGGAGAGGAAAAATATATATTTAAATACAAAACCTCTGTAGGTAGCATAAACTCTAGACACAGTTGAAAGTGGAATTAGTGAAATTGGAAAGCCATACAGAGGAATTTATCCAGAATACAGAGCAGAGATGAAAAATGTGAAAGAGATGTATAAACATGGAGGATAGATTGAGGAGCTCCAAACTACTTCTAACAGGATTTTCATAACTAGAAAATAGAAGAGATGGGACAGAGAGAAGATTCAAAGGAGTAGTCCCTGAGAATTCTCCAAAATTGAAGAGGGGCTCAAGTCCTCACACAGAAAGCACAAAGAGTGCTGAGTAGGAAAAATAACCAAAAATCCAAGCCTAAACATGCTGAACTTAAACTTAAAGCATCAAAGGATAAGGAAAATACTACAAAACCTGCCAGAGGGCAGATACAGATTACTTACATAGAAATGAATAAAAATATAAGAAAGAGCCAGTGTACACACTATTTCAAAAATATTAAGTGTAAAGAAAAATGGGAAAAGGAGGTACTAGCTAAAAGAGGACAAGGTATAGAAGGAAGATTATTTATTAAATGGGAGAGACAACTGGTTAATAAATTATGGGGGAAAGCTAATAAAGAGGCTAAATATATGAGAGAAGGGATGAGCCAGAGAAGGTATCAAGGATGTGGGTGAAGGCGTTGACCTGGTGGGACCCAGAGTCCTTGTGACTGGAAGGGAGGGGTGTGGGGAAGTAGAGAGGGGGGTTGGCTTGGAGTTGTGGGAGTTCCATTTCATCCCTGAAGTGGGAAGCGATACCCCTGAAAATAAGGAAAGGACAAAGCTGGTGATGCAATAGATCATTTATTCATTCCCCTATCATTTATAAAGCACCTACAGATACTAGGGACATAGAATGAACTGAGTGAGGGCTCACAGTCCTTGGAAGCTGCAGCGGGACTGAAACACACCAAAAGTTTAAAGAAGAGAGGAAAGGGAAAAGCAGGGACCATGGGTGGTGCTTTCCTAAGCAGCCTTCATCTGTCAGCTTGACTTCAAAGAAGATGTGGGCTACTTTGGCATCACTAACGAGTAGTCCCAGCCAGCTCGGGGTTGGGGCACCCGGGGTGGGTGAAAATAAGGGTAAATCCTACCAGAGATGAGCACACTCTTCACCAGCCAGTGTCATGACCTGAGCTGTGCCTTGCTTTCTCACGCTACAGTTTTTCTTCTCCAGTGGTTCCATTCTGTGAAATCGGAAGTGACATGGCTGGGGTTCTTTTTTCCTCAGAGACTCACTCTTTTATTCAAAAAATGTACAGAGCACCTTCTACATGCCAGGGACCATTGCGGGCGTTATCGTGAATTAAGCAGCCATGTCCCCACCTCATGGAGCTCCGTTGCACAGTGGGGACAGGCAATGAATAATCAGCCTCCAGCGAACATGTAAATTACACAACTGTGAGGAGCTAAGAGCCTTGGGAGCAAAGGAAAGCTGGAGCTAGAGCAGGAGCAGGGGAGGCTGAGGCTGCAGGGTCAGGCAGCACCGTGAAGGTGGTAGGCAGGTCTCTAGAAGGTGGTATCTGAGCCTTCCAGGCACCCGAGGGTCCCACCTTGCAGCTATGAGGGAGGTGAGGTCTATGGGCAGGGGTGCTGGCACTGTGCCTCTGAGGTGACCAGGAGCCAGTCCTATTGGCAGAGTGGCCAGGAGGCCAGTGTGGCTGAGGGGAGAGTATTAGGAGGTGAGGTTGGAGCTTGCTGGAACACACTCCCTCTCTTCTTTGGTGCCTGGGATGAGCAAAGTAGTGCGGCAGGCGAGGGGAAGCCGGCCAGGAGGTAGAGGCCAGCCACGCACAGCCCAGGGGCACAGACCCTGGTGCAGTCCCAACGCCGAGGGCCACAGCGCTTCCCTGGCAGGCTGTCACCCCCCTTCCAGGGACCCTGGACCGAGAGAAGGGGAGTCAGACAGCTGAGGGGAGAGACGAATAAATCTCGAGGAGCGGCCTCTGAGTCAGGGTTTCCAGGGTGATTAAATGACCCGAGGCCCCTGGATCTGCGTGATTGCCTGACCTGCTCTCCTTGTAAATGTGGAGCTGTGTTGGGTTAGGATCAAATGTTTCAAGTTTCCAACCCAGCTGAAGCCCTGAATATTTAAAAAAAAAAAAAAAAAAAAAGAAAAGAAAAAGAAAAAGAAAACAGAAAAAAAAAACCCACATAAATCAGCCTTTCTGTATTTCACCTCGTAGAAACAGCAGGCTGCCTAAGTCCCGGAGAATCTGGGATCACATAATTAGATCTCACCAGCGCTTCACACACGGCTGTGTCAGAAGAAGGCCTGACTCCCAGATGGAGAGCTTTGTATGTCTCACGGTGCTACTTCCCGTGGCCTCCAAACGCTGTTAGGATTAACGAGTGCATAGTTGGGGGCTGAGAAGATTGTTTTTATTGCATGTATTTTCTTTCATGCTCTGAAGCCATGAATGCCACAAAGTCTGCTGGTAGAAAATGATTACAGTATGACATAATTTTTCTCTGCCTTAAGAATGCACAGCAGCTGGATGTGAGCTGCGTGGTGCTGCCCGGGCCACTTGGTATAAAGCAGTGTCTGATGCTCAGCCCAGGTCTCCACTTGGGCCAGAACAACCCAGGACACAAGTCACCATTCCCCTGGGGCCGTTCATTCTCTCCCAGCATTTGTTTCATCCATATTTATTAAGGAGATAATTCCCTGAAATTACTAACACACATAGTAGCAGGATTACTATTAATGTGGTGCTGTGTTTAAAGGGAGCTGTATCTTTTCATATGGGAGATTTTTGCAAATGTTACAACTTGCAATCCCTAACATCTTTAAGAATTGTTTTTGCTGGCAGCAAGGTGGTGGATCCACAGTTGTAAGGTTCCAGTTTTGTAAACCTGGAAGCCCGGTGCTTCGACATGCAGGCAGAGCAGCAAATGCAGGCAGATGGCAGCAGGGTGGTGGGCGGCTTCTCCTCCAGGCTGCTGCTGGGAGAAACGTCTGCTGCTTTCTTCCTGCAATTGTCCCCAGCCAAGGCAGCTCTCACATGCTCAGCCCTCACTCTTGCTGAGTGACATACCCAGTGTGGAAACCAAGGACCAGCCAGGCCAGTTCGGGATCAAGAGTAACTAGAGTCAAGCTTGGTCGGCTTGCATGCAGTGGTGCTTAATAATTCAGGGGACATCTTGAGGCTTCACTGAGATGCTTTCACAGGCTTTATGTTTATGAGCATTTTACAACCATATTTCAAAACCATATTTTCAAAATTTTTCTGAGTGCTTCAGCTCATCACAGCAGAGAAAATTATTTAGAGCAGGAGTCCCCAGCCTCCAAGCCACAGACCAATTCCGGTCCATGGTCTGTTAGGAACTGGGCTGCACAGCAGGTTGTGAGTGGTGGGTGAGCAAGGAAAACTTCATCTGTATTTACAGCCCCTCCTCAACGCTTGCATTACCACCTGAGCTCCACCACCCATCACATTAGCAGCGGCATTAGGTTCTCATAGGAGAGCAAACCTTACTCCACTTACTTGGGATCTAGGTTGCACGCTCCTTATGAGAATCTAATGGCTGATGATCTGTCACTGTCTCCCATCATCTCTAGATGGGCCTGTCTAGTTGCAGGAAAATAAGCTCAGGGGTCCTACTGATTCTATGTTATGGTGAGTTGTATACTTATTTCACTATATATTACAATGTAGTAATAATAGAAATAAAGTACATAACAAATGTAATGCACTTGAATCATCCCGAAACCATCCCCTGCCTCAGTCTGTGGAAAAATTGTCTTCCACAAAACGGGTCCTTGGTGCCAAAATGGTTGGGGACCGCTGAGTTAAAGGACTTCATAGAACTGGGAATGTGCCCATGTTCATGGCAACCTTGGCAAAGCTGTTTTAGCTCCACCTGAGGAAAGGGGTGTTTTGAGCCGTGGCAGGGCCCCCTGATCCCTTGGGCTTTGGAAGATAGGAATGCATTTTCAGGGTTTCTTGGCCTGTTTCTCCATCTGTGAAGAGGCCAGGTCTGTCTGGAGAAACTTCAGAGAGAGGCTGTGAGTGCTCGAGAAGGGAGCCTGAGTGTGCATTGCAGCTGCCTGGCAGGCATGGCAAGTTGCAAACTAACCTTTCAACCTGCTGTCTCTCCAACCCCGTCTCCAGCTGCCCACTCTGCAGCCCAGGCTCAGGACCGGCCAACTGCCACCGTGTCACCCCTGCGCACCCAGAACTCTCCATCCCGCCTGCCTGCCACCAGCCTCAGGCCCCACTCGGTGGTGTCCCCGCAGCACAGCCACCAGCCCCCGGTGCAGATGTGCCCACGGCCGGCCATCCCCCTCACATCAGCAGCATCAGCCATCACACCTCCCAACGTCAGTGCCGCAAACCTCAACGGGGAGGCTGGAGGGGGGCCCATCGGTGTTCTGTCCACATCCAGCCCCACCAACACGGGATGCAAACTAGACGAGAAGAAAAGTGAAAAGGTAAGAGGCCCATCCTGGACGAGCCCTGGGCTCGAGGCCAGCTGCTTACTGTAACTTTTTGGCACTAGATGGCAGTGGCATTTGTGCAATTGAAGCTAGAATGTGGGCTCCAAGTGCCTGCCCCTAGATGAACCAGGCGTGTGACAGAGAGGGAGCCAAACCACCAGAGCAGCTGGTTGGAGAGGAATCAGGCAGGCCTTGGGTGCTGGCAGGGCCATGCAAGTCCAGCTACATTTCTCATGCAAATCAGAAAAAGGTGTCCCCTCTTGAAAATGCCTTAGTTCCATCTGTTGTAAAATCATTGTAATATACTCATTTTGTTAGAACAGGATATTTATTGCCATGTGCTGGGATATTGTAATAATAAATATACAAATCTACGTGTGCAGTGTGAACAGCACCCACTCCCTTCAATATGTCATCCTTGTGCAGTCCACAACCTGTTCAACCATATGGGACAGGCCTGTTTCCTGAGGAGCAATGAGAAGGAACAGGAGAATGCTGACCTGATGGCTGGTGTGTTTTTTAGCTATTCTTTTAGCCATGAAGTGCTGATTTCATAAAAGAAAATCTGGGCCAGGCGTGGTGGCTCAAGCCTGTAATCTCAGCACTTTGGGAGGCTGAGGCGGGCGGATCACCTGAGGTCAGGAGTTTGAAACCAGCCTGGCCAACATGGCAAAACCCCATCTCTACTAAAAATACAAAAATTAGCCAGGCATGGTGGCGTGCGCCTGTAATCCCAGCTACCTAGGAGGCTGAGGCAGGAGAATCACTGGAAACCGGGGGGCAGAGCCTGCAGTGAGCCAAGATTGTGCCACTGCACTCCAGCCTGGGCAACAGAGCAAGACTGCATCTCAAAAAAAAAAAAAGAAAAAGAAAGAAAATCTGAGTCCAAGAAACTTGTTCCGGTTGCCACCCTGCTAGACGTTAGATTAACCAGGATGAGAATCCAGACTTCTAAATCAGTGCTGTCCAGCAGAAACATAATGCAAACCTCAAATCTAATTTTAAATTTTCTAGTAGCCACATTTTTAAAAAGTAAAATTAATTTTAAAGTAAATTTAAAAGGTGAAATTCATTTTAACAGCTTATTCCATTAAACCCAATATCCAGAATATTATTGTTTCAACATGTAACCTATGTTTTAAAATTGTTGATGAGATATTTTAGTATTTTTTTTTTACGTGAAGTTTTTGGAAGCCCATGTGAAATCCAATAAGCAATTCTCCAGGGCTCAGGGCCCATGCACTGCCTGAGGCTGTATCCCTAGGGCGTTGGGCTGGGTGCTGGGCAAGGAGCCACTCTGTGTATTGGCCTTGCTGCCTGAACGGTTTAGGGATTGTTCTCTCTTGGCTTGACTGATTCTGCAGATCTTTTGACATCTTTCCATATAAAATTAGTCTTTGGATCACCCTGGACACTAGATGGTGTGTTCCAGGCAAGGACAGCCTCTCTCTCTTTCTCGAGGACATTGCCAAACCCAGCGCTGACTCGGCGGGCTCTCTGCCCATCACCCTGGAGGCAGGCCCTGCTCCCCTGTCCTCAACATGAGCCGGGAACGCTGCAGACATGGGCCACACCAGGTTCCGCAGGGCCTCAGCACCTCCTGTGTTGTTCAGTCCAGAGCAATGGTTGTTCCCGTGCTGACTGGTGTGGCAGAGCCAATGCAGCTAGCAAAGCTCAGGTCTGCTCCAGCCTAACAGGGCGCCTGGCATGAAGGGCAACAGCTGCTCTGTGTTTTGTGTGTCTGTTTGAAGATCAGTTCAGTCTTGAATCTGTTCCCTTCTACCCTGCAGCCCTTGTTATGAGATGTGGCTGGGTCTCATCAGGAGGGAGAGGTGGGATTCACAGTCCTACCCTCTCACTTAAGCATTCTTCCTTCTTCTGAGCTGCTCAGAAACAACCAGGGGCAGACTTGGAAAGTGGGGGCTGTAATAGTTCCTTAAGCATTTCTAGTTCTTTGCCCAAGAATTCCCTCTCTCTAGTTTGTGAAGCAAATGGGACTGGCTTCAATAATACCATTGCTGAGTGGGTTTCTATGACATTACGTCCTGTACGAATCTACACGGAGGATGATGCTGTTCCCCATCACCCACCTAAGTGTGAAGCTAATGAACACCAGCTGAGTCTGTTCCTAGCCTGCCTGTTAGACACTTTGTAAATATTTCGCTTTCTCTTAAGGTTTATGCCCTCTAACAGTTGTGCTATATCAGCAAAGAACAGTTGAGTCCAGAAGACACCCCAACATCCCTCTTGATGAAAGGCGACATGCAGGGACGCCCTGCCATGCAAGCTGCACATACAGTGGCTCAGCCTCCTCCTCCCCTGATAGCTCCCGAGCCTCTGTGGGCAGCAGAAGTGCGTAGGCCACGCTTGGGGCTGGACACATGCTGTGGGAGCAGTCCACGCTGCACTCCAGGCAGGAGGGGAAGTGGTTTTTGTGAGGCCCTCTGAGCTTATGTCCAGAGGTTCAGCAAACCCCAGCAGAGAAGCACATTGCCCTCCCACACATTGTGTGTGCTTTTCATTCCCACCTCTCATAAACAACAAAGACAAGCACTGGTCTACAAAACCACCTGTGAACATTTTGCCCATCTGTGTTCCCACTTGAATTTCTCCTAATTTGCAGCAGGGCCCAAGGCATTTACAGCTGCCATTTGCAGCAGAAGAGCAGAAATGATGGTCATTTTAGTCCACTGCTCAGAAGCAAGTGAGCCAGTGTGACCTGCACCAGCAGACTGTGCTGGGCTAGGGGGCTGCAGCCAGCACACTCCCTGCAGGCCGCTTCCTGAGCCCCACCCCTCCATGACTACACTAAACAGGCTTCCTAACTTTGGGCAACTTGATCATAGATGTACACATGTCTAATTATGGCAAAGGTTTTTTAAAGCATTTGGCAGTATTCTCCAGTCTGTTTCTGTTAAATTTTCTTTGGGAAAAGACAGTGAGCTCCTCACTCCCACATCCACTGATGCATATACCTCAGTGCAGCGCAGTTTCCTAGCGCTAGTGCTGCTAAATTCCACCCAGGCCCTTCCATGCATGTACCAGAGAGAAGGCAGGGTGGATACAGCTCCTGGGCGCCGTAGAGTAGGGAGTAATTTTCTCCTAGGAGCGTGGGAGATTTACGCGCCATATCCCTGTGTGTGGAGAAGGAAGAAGCCCCAAAACCAGCTCTGTGTTGTGTGGTGTCAGTGGCTATGGTCAAGGTCCCAGGAGGCTGGTTCCCGGGAGGCTTGTGCCAGGAGGCTTGTCCCCAGGAGGCTGGTGCTGGCAGGCTGGTCCCAGGAGGCTGGTCCCTGGGAGGCTGGTGCTGGGAGGCTGGTTCTGGGAGGCTGGTGCCAGGAGGCTGGTCCCTGGGAGGCTGGTCCCGGGAGGCTGGTGCCAGGAGGCTGGTCCCAGGAGGCTGGTCCCGGGAGGCTGGTGCCAGGAGGCTGGTCCCGGGAGGCTGGTGCCGGGAGGCTGGTCCCTGGGAGGCTGGTCCCTGGGAGGCTATTCCCGGGAGGCTGGTCCCCGGGAAACTGGTCCCCGGGAGGCTGGTGCTCTGCTGCTATATCCAGGGGGATTGGGCCTTTGAGCTCTGTTCCCTGCGTGGCCCGATGTGGTGTGCAGGCCTCTGGGGATAATACAAGTGCAGACAGAGTGGCAGTTCTTTCTCCAGACCCATTCCTGAACCAGAGCTCCTCTCTGGGCCCAGGCATCTGCCAGCCTATGCAGGAACCTCTCCAGCCTACTCTCCCAGGTCTCTTCCTGCCCACCTGCCTGATCATATTGCTCCCTGCAGGGGCTGCCCTGTGGCCAGGCCCCCAACACCCACAAGTTACACAGTAGAACTCAAATCTGGTTTTAAAAGGTGGTCTTCAGGATTTAAGTTATCCTTTTGCACTTAAAAATGAATTTTGTGCTTGAAACAACCATGGAACACTGCCTATTGTGTCCATCCGTGACAGTTTTCTGGTTTTGAAACTGTGTGAGCACATCAGCACCAGGTGATACGAACCCTCAGGGTACCTAAGTCCAGGGGAGAGTCACCCAGAAGAGAAGGGTGCAATGGGCTGCGTGCAGTTGGCATCCCTAACCACCCGACCGGCCATCACTCACTCTCTTACTTGTGCCCCAATCCCTGACTCATCTGTGTATTGCAAAGAGCATGAGGATGTACCTGGCAGAGCGCAGGCACACGGTTCATAATGATGGAAAGGTCAACCCTGGCCTGGAGGAGCCAGAGTATAGTACAGGTCACTGTACAGGTAAACAGGCGATTGATTGCAGGAGAGGGTGGGTGATTGACCTGCGTGTGGGAACAGAGGGTCACCGACAAAGGCGCCTGGTCAGCCCAGGTCAGGGGAGACTTCCCGGGGCACAGATGGGAGGATCCTTGGCTGAGGGTCAGCCTGAGCAGAGGCCAGGGGACATGGCCCGAAGATGAGGGCCAGGGACGGGAGAGGTAGCAGGCAGCCCTGGGAGGGCCTCGTTGCCAACTGCTCAGCACTGCAAAATCTGCAGATGCTGGGCAGGAGGGTGCCATCCTGTAACTTAACTACTTAAATATCCTGTAACTTAAATACTATCGTATAATAATCATATCATATAAAAGTCAGTGCAACTTACATTACATGGTGAGATAAGAGAGAGAAGAAAACAAAGGTACTGCTTAATATACACATTCACACAGACATATTCATAATAAAATAGGAGGAAATACTTACAACAATTACAATCCTCATTTCTGTAGCTGTTCACATGGTCGTGGCTGGTATTTATAATTACTTTGTCTACTATCCAATCTGTATTCCCCTTCCCTTCAGAAAGCGCCTCAGCTGGGCATGGACCCTTACCTGGTGGGGTGACCCGAACCTTCACTCCTGAAGGGTCTGGGCCATTTTTAGTCCTGTCTGGATTGGGTGGTTATAGTTTTCCATTGACCTCAGGAAGGCTTGAGCACAGGCCATGAGTGGTGCTCCTTGCCTCCTCGGGGTTCTGAGCCTCTTGCTGTCCCTGTGCAGTTGACCAAGTCCACACGGTGAGAGCGCTCCCGCCGGCTGCCTGACTTCTGTGGAGCCCTCTCCTTGGTGCTGAGGTTCCCCAAGGCTCTGGCCTGGCCATGAGTTCCACAGCAGCATTCTTCAAATGATCAATCCAGTGGATTGGGACCCACATTTTTATTTAGATTGGATGGGATAAACAGAATGAAACAGGGTAGGATAGATCTTCATGGTGAGCATACAGTAGGGACGGTACACTGGGGAGCTTCTGTGTTGCTGTGTGCGAGTCCTGACATAAAACTTAATTCAAAAACATCTCGAAGCCTTAGGTCGACAACCCCAGCCCATAGAAGGCACCTGGTGATGATTGTAGACTAAAGAGAATTGGAAAAACTGCTGCCAGTAAGTTTTCACTCTCACGACTTATGGGAAATTCTTTATGGGCCAGAAAAAAAAAAAGTTAACTCTCTCTTTATGGGTGTGGTAGTTTTAGTTTCAGTGAGTAATAGAATATTGAAACTTGAAAGAGCCTCTAAAGATGTTTTATATTAAACTCTCCATTTTCCATGATGTTCCTGAGGCTCAGAGACCTTCAGAGACTTGCCTGGGGCCACACAGCATCGGCAGTGGAGCTGGCATGGGAATGCTGGCCTCCTGCCTCCTGTGTTGGGTCCAAGTGCTGACTGTGGTGGCCTCCTAGTCCCTGGGAGGTCATGGCCCGTCCAGGAGTCCCACAGTGAGACATCCAGGGTAGCGGCTGGCAGGAGACCATGAGGCTGGCCTTGGGGGGAGAAAGGGCCCTAGGTGTCTGCCTTCTGGGTCCACATTGGACCCAGCCACAGCCAGAACCCATGCAACAATGAATCACTTACCAGTCCATGTGGATGACCGACATAATCAAGACTGCAAACCCAATTTGGTCTGAAAGGAACAGAGGACCTGACAGAATGACCCATAATGACAGCAGCAAGGCCTGGTCTGGGGCGTGGAGTCTGTGGGACACATGTGTGCACCCACCCATTAAATATATGTATATCTCATATATGTGTGTTACTATGGCATATACACTCATGATATTATATAGGAGTGTGATTATATTTTTCATGAAACCCCAGGAACATCCAATCTGAAGAAATCTTGAGGATGAAGCTCTTTTGAGTGGCCAGGCAGCTCTCTCTAAAGTGAAGAATCGCTGGCTTATAAATGTATTTCCTCTCGAGTGGAGGCACCCTGCAATAGGTAGACCCTTACTCGTCCATCCCAGTTCTGTCGACAGGCAGCCGGGGAAGCCAGCTGCTGCCAGCGCTCATCCCAGCTTCTCCAGGTTTACCAGTGCCATTCACTTCCGAAGTGACAGCTACACTCTGCTGGCACAGGCTGGCTGCATGCTCCCACCAACCAGGGTGGGGAGGGGCCTGCTGTCACCTGCACACACTGGCATGAGAGGTAGAAGGGGCTGGATCTGACCTCACCCAGAACTGATTCACCCACGTGGGAACCATCATGCAGGTCTTAGGGGAGACCTGCCCTGCAGCCTGCTCACGGAGCCCCTTGGCCCATGCTCTGTCATCAGGTGCAGCCACAGTCTGATGCATCGCTGGGCTCCCAGGCCCACTGGGGGCTTGGGAACCTCAGGTCTGCCGCACAGCAAAGTCACTGAAGAGTCTCATGGTCAGCCATGGGCCATGGAAACCACCTCTGCCCTGGCCACTTGTGCCTGGCAGCTCTGCTGGTTAGTGGCACTGGCGTTGGCTGGGCAGAAGGGGTCGCAGAGTCAGCCCCGTGTGGCTGGGAGCACCGGCGACTCCAGGTCCTCTTCCTGTTCCCCTATTGTCAGGCTGCCTTCCGAGGGATAAGGGGAGCCAGCATGTGCGGCTGAAAATGAACCCATCCTGAAAGCGTGAATCCCAGCTGCCAAAAAACATTTTGAAGTTTTCCAGACAGCCTTTTTTGGAAGGCATAAACTGCTGGAGCATCGCTTCACTGGTGACAGGAGTGGCAACCTTTCTCTAAGTTAGGAATGTCCCGTCAGAGCACAGGCCCTCAGTGGGGCAGGGCAGTGGCCCAGCCTGGTCTGAGCAGAGGTCAGTGGTGGCCTGGAGGCTTCTCTTGTTATCTGCGCCCTCCCAGGACAGCAAGTGAAGCTGGCTGTCCCCAGTTCTCCTGTAGAAACTCCGTGGCCTCTGCATTGGGATGAGACTTCTGGATCTCAGCGTGGTTGTGAGTGCTGGTGACCCTTTCAGGGTACAAATGTGGACATGAAGTCCAGAGAGGCAAGGTGACCTGCCCAAGGCCACACAACGAGTAGGGCACTGGGAATGAAACCAGGCTCCATGGTACCCACAAGTGCCCACTCCCCATTCTCTGCTACTGCTAGTCAGCTTCTCTTCTGGGGAGAATAGCCTAGGGCTCATGCCGCTGAGCCTTCAGAAAGTGGCAGGGACGAGGGAAGGAGCACAGTCATCTCAACAGCGAGTGAAGCTTGAATTTGGAGGAGGAAGACACAGTGGATTAATCAGCATGGAGGGTGGACCTGGGGTCGGCTGCCTAGTGTGAATCAATCTCCTGTTTACCAATTATGTGACTTCGAGCAAGCTTCTCCACCTTCCATGCCTCAGTTTCCACATCTGTGAAATGGGGACGATAGCACCTACCACCCTGAGTTGTTGGGAGTAGTAAATTTAGTTAGTTTGACGAATGCATAACATAGTATTTAGAACAAAAGTATTAGAAATTATTATTAAGAATTTGATAGTTAATTGAAGTCTGGATCCTAGAATTAAATGATCCATACAGATGTAAAACTTATATCCCCGAGGCTTCTCTAAAAGATCAAAGGAGGGGTTAATTTTGTTATATGAACAATGAAGGGAACTCAAGTAAACTATTATTCAGAAGTAGGGTTTCAACTGCAAAGCATTAAACCAAAATGCATTTTTAAAATAGTAATACACTTTAGAAAATGAAAAGGATTTGTAAGTCATGTGTAATAGTTGTGAGGGTTCTGCCACCCTCCCCAAAGGGCACTGACTAATAACGAGTAACTAATCAGGATTACTGTGAAATCCTACACTCTAGTGCCACACGAGCTGAACAAGCAAGCGATGCGTGTGACAGTGTGGCTGGGGCGAGCGATGCACACACTGCATGGCCGGGAGCCCCGGCACAACTCAATTCCCACATCAAGTCTAGATTCTGTTCTGCAAAATTCTACTGCTGTGACTGCCTTCTTTTTCAACTGATATATTCTCACAGTGCTTTCAAAGACATGGGATTTTTTTCCAGCCGTCCATGCCCAGAAAAACTCAGTGATGGCATTAGTTCAGAAGAAAAACAAGCGCACACCCCATAAACTACATCAGAAGGTAATGCCCACACATCAGACCCAGCCGTCTGTCCCTCCCAGAAGGCAACAAAGTCAGCATGGCGGGGCATCTCTGAACATTCCACAGCACTTGCCAGCACTCTCCATTTTGGTCCCATAACTGAGGGAAATGTCGAGAAAGAACAGAGAGTGCTGGGTTCGGCATTCTATTTGTTGTGGTTTTATTTTGTTTTTTCAGGCACTCAGGCCATGTGGTGCAGGAGCCGGGGAGGGCACTCTGTAACCTCAAGGGAATAAGACGGCTTCATACCATCATCTCCCTCTAGGGGAAGTCACTCCTGGGACAGTTTGGTTTTTATTCACCTGATAAGCTATGTGCTTGCTTATTAAATTCCTTCCAGGCCGCATCTTACTACATTATAGGACACATTTGTATATAGCATGAGAATGAAACTCATTAATCTTTTCAGAGGATTCACACTCTGTCTGGATCTCAAATAGAACCAATAGGTCAACTTCATGAAAATGTTATTGCTATAGGATTTCTTTGTAAGACCAGCAGAAATGGCTAGATTTATGGCTTCATCACCTGCCTTCTAACTCTTATTTATTCTCTCTTTCACTTTAAGGTCACCTTACAACTCCCCTAGACTTCAGTTTATTTAGTGTGAAAATGGGAATAATGTCTTTTTGTACTCATGGGAATACTATAAAAATTAATTATTGGTTTGTATCAGTCAGGGATCTCCAGAGAAACAGAACCAGCAGGAGACAGAGAGAGAGAGAGAGAGAGAGAGAGAGAATTTATTTATTTTAAGGAATTATGTGACTGTGGAGGCTGGCAAGCCTGAATTCTGTGGGGCAGCCCAGCAGGCTGGACCCTCAGTCAGGAGTTGCTGTGCAGTCTTGAGGCAGAAAATCATTGTCCACAGGATGCCTGTGATTGCTCTTAAGGCCTTCAGCTGATTGGGCGAGGCCCACCCACATTATCAAGGTATGTACTTTCAGTAATCTCTTTTACTTAAGGTAAACTGGCTGTAGATATTAACACATTTGCCAAATGCCTTCATAGCAACATCTAGATTAGTGTTTGCTCAAACAACTGGGTACCTGCCTAGCCACACTGACATAAAACTCACCATCACCGTCCATCCTTTGTCAGCTTGACATCTCCCTAAACTATACTTAGTTTCCACATAAAGACAAAAGCAAAGTCATACTTCTGCCTAATATGATACAACAAGCCTGACTACACCAAGAGTGCATGCGCCCTTCCCAGAAGAGGATTCAGAGTCTTTGAGTGGTGCTTCGTCTTCTTCTTGATATCTTGTAACTTAAATACTATCATATAATAATCATATCATATAAAGTCAGTGCAACTTATATTACATGGTGAGATAAGAGAGAGAAGAAAACAAAGGTACTGCTTAATATACACATTCACACAGACATATTCTTAACAAAATAGGAGGAAATACTTACAACAGTTACAATCCTCATTTCTGTAGCTGTTCACATGGTCATGGCTGGTATTTATAATTACTTTGTCTACTATCCAATCTGTATTCCCCTTCCCTTCAGAAAGCGCCTCATCTGGGCATGGACCCTTACCTGGTGGGGTGATCCAAACCTTCATTCCTGAAGGGACTGGGCCATTTTTAGTCCTGTCTGGATTGGGTGGTTATAGTTTTCCATTGACCTCAGTCACGGGGCATTGTGATTGAGAGCGTGCTAGGAGACACCCCAAGGGATCTCCTGTATCCCAGACATGCTCTTGCCCATGTCCACTATGGAGTGCAGTCCAGTTTCCCACGGTGGTCAGGATCAGTCACCCGAGCCAGCACAGTAGTTCCCGTTCCTGCCTTTGATTCTAAGCCACAAGGATCCCAAAGCGGCTGAGTGGCAGTCTTGAATTCCAGCTCAATGGAATCATTGTCATGTTTCCTGGTGGCAACATTCCTCCCCCTGGAACCAAGACCTCTAGACTAGTAGAACATAATGTTGTGAGAACAAGAAGCAGACATTTTGCTAGTGGGTTACTAGGGGTCATAATAAGTGGTGCTTCTCCCATTTCTGCCCCATGATTCCTGGGCCCATGAGTCCTGGCTGTAGGAGAAATAGCACCATATATTTGATGCTGATTCAGAGCATACCCAGCCTTCTGGAGAATATTGTCCCAGCCCTGCAAGGGACTGTCACCCAGCTGGTGCTGTAACTGAGTCTTCAAAAGGTCATTCTACATTCTGTCAAGCCAGCTGCCAGCATAATGGGGAACATGGTAGAGCCAGTGAGTTCCATGCACACGAGCCCATTGCTGCACTTCATTTGCTATGGAGTGAGCTCCTCAGTCAGAAGCAGTGCTGTGTGGAATACCGTGATGGTGGTTAAGGCATTCTGAAGTCCATGGATATTCACTTTGGCAGAAGCATTGTGTGTAGGGAAGACAAATCCATATCTAGAGTGAATAGTATCCATTCCAGGAAGGACAAAACACCATTGCCCCTTCCTTGATGGAGGTGGTCCAAGGTAGTCACCTTGCCCCCAGGTGGATGCTGACCATCTCAGGGAGTGGTGACATGCTGGGGACTCACTGTTGTTCTCTGCTGCTGGTGGATTGGACACAGTGGTAGTCGTAGCCAGGTTGGCCATGGTGAGTGGAAATCCATGATGCTGAGCCCATGCATCACCTCCATCCACAGTGGCCACTCTGTTCATGGGTCCACTGGGCAATGACAGGAATGGCTGAGGAAAGAGGCTCAGTCATTGACTGTGCTCCACAGAATCCCATCTGTGGAATTACTAAAGTCCTCCTCTGCTGAGGTCACCCTTTGGTGAGCATTTAAATGGCACACAAATTTCACCACATGTTTTCCCATTGAAAGAGGTCTTTTCACATGTGCTTTTCCAATTTCCTTGTCACCAATTTTCCAATTATGTTTCTTGCAAGTCCCTGACCAACCAGCCAAATCATCGGCCACAGCCTATGAATCATTAAACAATCACACTTCTAGCCACTTCTCCTTCCAAGCAAAGTGCACAACCAGGTGCATTCCTCAAAGTTCTGCCCACTGAGAGGCTTTCCCTTCACTGCTGTCCCTCAGGGATGTCCCAGAGAGGGGCTGCAGTGCTGCAGCTGCCCACTTTCAGGTGGTGCCTGCATATGGTGCAGAACCATCTGTGAACCAGGCTCAAGTCTTATCTTCCTGTGTGATCCTATGGAACTGCCCAGGAGGCCACAGGTGCAGGCTGGGAGAGAGAAGGCAGCATAGCAGGAGTGGTGACCATAGGCATTTTAGGCCACTTCCTCATGTAACTTACTGGTGCCTTCGGGACCTGCTCTAACCCGATCATGTGTCCACCCTTCCATTTGGTCATGGAATGCTGCTGTGCACGCCCAGCTTTATGCTTGGTGGGTCAGATAACACCAGTTCACAGTGGGCAGCTCTAGTTGCATGGTAATTGGTGGCTCATGGTCAAGCATTTAGTCTCTACCAAGGCCCAGTGGCAGACCAAGAACTATCTCTCAGAAAGAGAGCAGTTGTCCTTGGAAGACAGCAGAGGCTTGCTCCAAAATCCTAAAGACCTGCGCGGTGATCCACCTGCCAAAGGCCCCACGTAGCATCCCTGTCTGTCCTAAAGACCTGCGCGGTGATCCACCTGCCAGAGGCCCCACGTAGCATCCCTGTCTGTCCTAAAGACCTGCGCGGTGATCCACCTGCCAGAGGCCCCACGTAGCATCCCTGTCTGTCCTAAAGACCTGCGCGGTGATCCACCTGCCAGAGGCCCCACGTAGCATCCCTGTCTGTCCTAAAGACCTGCGCGGTGATCCACCTGCCAGAGGCCCCACGTAGCATCCCTGTCTGTCCTAAAGACCTGCGCGGTGATCCACCTGCCAGAGGCCCCACGTAGCATCCCTGTCTGCCACAATAGTGCCTCAGGCACCACTGGATCTCCTGGGTCATGTGGCCCAAGTGGTAGAGCATCTTTCACAGCAGCCTGGACCTGTTGCAGAGCCTTTTTTTGTTCTAGGTCCTACTCAAAACTATCAATTTTGGGGGTCACTTAATAAATAGGCCAAATTAATACACCCATCTGAGGAGGATGTTGTCTCTAAAAATTCAAAGAGCCCCACTCACCTTTTTAACTCTGGCTATAGGAGGGGCTAGACGTAACCACTTTTTCTCCACCTTACGAGGGATGTCTCAGTGTGCCCCCACACCACCAAACCCCTAGAAATTTCACTGAGGTAGAAGGCCTTTGAATTTTAATTCAATTTATTTCCCATCCTCTGACATGCAGGTGTCTTACCAACAAATCTAGAGTAGTTGCTGCTTCTTGCTCACTAGGTCCAGTCAGCACAAGGCCATCAATGTCATGGGCCATCTCGTATGACATCTTGAGGAAGGCAAAGGTGATCACCATCCCTGCAAACTATTTTGTGACACAGAGTTGGAGAATTGATCTACCCCTGAGTTTCATTGCTGGCCTTGCCTGCTGAAAGCAAACTGCTTCAGTCTTTACTAACAAAAAAAGCATTTGCCGAATTAATCACTGCATATCAGATACCAAGAGGTGTGGTGGATTAATTTGCTTAAACAACGAAACCATACTGGTATGGCATCTGCAGTTGGAGTCACCACCTGGTTAAGCTTATGATAATCCTCTGTCATTCTCCATGATCCATCTCTCTTCTGCACCGGCCAAACAGGAGAGTTGAATAGGGATGTGGTGAGAATCACCACCCCTGTATCCTTCAAGTCTTTGATGGTGGCACTAATCTCTGCAGTACCTCTAGGAATGCATATTGCTTTTATTTTACCATTTTCTGAAATAGAGGCAGGTTAGTGGCTTCCACTGGCCTTTCTTGCATAACAGCCCTCTCTCCACAGGTCAGGAAACCAATGTGAGGATTCTGCCTGCTGCTGAGTACGTCTAGGCTAATGATGCATTTCAGAACTGGAGAAAACCCACAGGATGGGTTCAGGGCCATACTTGAACTGTTGTGAGAAGGACATGAGATAAAACTCCACTGATCACCTGTGCTCCATAAGCCCGTCCCTGACTGGCAGACCATAGTGACATTTGGCTCTCGTCAACTTAGGGTCAGTTCAGATCCAGTGTCCAGCTGTCCCTGAAAAGTCTGATTATTTTCTTTCCCCTAATGCGCAGTCACCCTGTTAAGGTAGATCCCTTTGGGGAAGCCTGGGAGAAAGATTAACAGTGTAAGATTTTGGTATGGCCCTGGGGTCTTTCCTCAAGAAGACCTAACCTGTAAATTCAAGGGATTCTGAGTCTGTAAAGTAGCTCAAGCCTGGGAATTGATTGAAGGGTTGTGACTCTGTTTTGTGATTCAAGTTATACTTCTGTTCACTAGACCTAGAACTCTTCTGTTTACACAGCTCAAGTAAGAATTTAGTAGACAGCCCATCTATTTCTCTTCCAGGAATATAATGGACTGCCAGTTGCCAGTTGATTACTGCCTTGACTGTGCTGTCTGTTTTGGTAACTTGTCTCACGGTATTACCACCTGGTCGGCCTTGTCTTTGGTAATTATGTGCCACCATGTGGGCCCTGCCCCCCTTGCTCTGGGACCCAGTCACTTCCAGGTTTCCCAGTTCCATGGCCATAGTTCCCACTGTAAGGTCCGGCCTGTGGAGAAGTGTGACTCCAGAGCTTTTCAAGGGTGCGAGGACTCCCCTCACACATCTGTTTCTCATAGTCGTGGTGAAAGGCGTGTCCTCTGGACCCTCCTGGGGTGGGAGGAAATATTAGTTACTTCCAATTTCTGATTATTGTGCAACTTGGTAACAAACAGGGACTCTGGAAGCAATGGGGAAGAAGCCATCAGACCCTGAGGCTCACAAAAGAGGAGATGTTCATGTTTGTTTCCGCTGCAGTCAAGCTACCCAAAGTTTTTAACACCTTGGAGAGACCTGGCTGCAAATGTTTGTTTTAGGAACATGCTAAGACCATGGAGAATGATGCCTCTGTGACATGGAGAGATGCAAGGGAATTGTCCCTCAGTGGAGGCCCCTTTCTCCCTGTCACAACTGATTCCCTCAGCTGGGCTTTGAGGACTCTGCCAGAGGTGGTATAGACAGGGTAGGGGTGAACATTTAGAGTCTTCTCTTAGAAAGAGGCACCCGTACAAAGTGTGCCTGGCAAGAGGTCACCAGGAGAGGAAGGATAGACCCTCGCTCGGGAGGGTCCCCAATTCACAGAACATAGCTCTAGAAAGGAGAACAGATGGCATCTGTGCTGGTAGACCTGCCAGCCCCCACACTGCCAGCAGGCCGGGCTGCAGCATTTTTACAGGGGATCATTCAGTTTCTTCTAAAATACTTCCAGGGACAAGAGCTCACCACTTAATGAGGGGGCTTGTTTTATGGCTGGACTGACCTATTAAAAGATTCATCCTCTTGTCGGGCAAAATCTACAGAGTCTACACACACAGATACACATCCACACACAAATATACACACATTCATACATATACATACACATGTACAACATGAACTCACGTACAATGTGAACACATACAAATAACATTCACATGCAATAAGCATATTTATGTATATACATCTACATGAATACATAACAAAAATACACATACAAACATGACTACATGTACACACATTCGCGTACATATAAAATACATGTGCACACATGTAAACATCTGTACACATATACAGATGCATACACAAATACATACATGCATACATAGCCTTGCATACATACACATCCTGCAGAGTTGATCCACTTCTGCCAATTCTGCTCCCTCACAATCGATTTCCTCTTCTAAAAATAGCCCTTCTGATATTGGAAGTCATCCTTCCAAGACTTTTTTTAAAGAGACTTTATTTTTTAGAACAAATTTAGGTTCAGAGAAAAACTGAGCAGAAAATGCAGAAAGTCCTCATATACTCCCTGCTCCCACACATGCACAATCTCTTCTACTATCAATGGCCTACACCAAAGTGGTACATGTGTCAGGACTGATGAACCTACCTTGACACATCATTACCCAATGTCCATAGTTTACGTTAGGATTTACTCTTGGTGTTGTCCAAAATCTATGGATTTTGACAAATGTATAATGACATGTGTCCAGCATTATAGTATCATACAGGATAGTTTGACTGCCCTAAAAATCCTCTGTGCTCTGCCTGTTGATCACTCTTTCACATCTAACTCCTGGCAACCACTGACCTTTTTACTGCCTTCATAGATTTGCCTTTTCTAGATTGTTATACAATTGGAATCATACACAATGTTGTAGCCTTTTTGCATTGGCTTATTTTATTTAGTGATGTGCATTTACGTTTCCTCCATGTCTTCTCATAGATTAGTAGCTCAGTTCTTTTTAGCACTGAATAATATTCCATTGTCCAGATGTACCACAGTTTATTTATCCATTTACTTACCAAAGGACATCTTAGTTGCTTCTCAGTTTTGGCAGTTATGAATACAGCCGCTATAAACATCTTGTGTGGGTTTTTATATGGACATAAATTCGGATAAATACCAAGAAAGGAGATTTTAGGAGTATGTAAGAGTATGTGCTGAGGTCGGTAAAAGTACATTTAGTTTTGTAAGAAACTGCCAACTCTCTTCCAAAGTGGCTGCACCATTTTGCTTTCCTACCAGCAATGAATGAGAGTTCTCATTGCTTCATATCCTCACCAGCATTCAGTGTTGTCACTGTTTTGGATTTTGCCATCCTAATAGTTATGTAGTGGTCTCTCATTGTTATTATACTTTGCAGTTCCCTAATGACATCTGTATTAGGCCATTCTTGCACTGCTATAAAGAAATACCTGAGACTGGGTAGTTTATAAAGAAAAGAGGTTTAATTGGTTATGGTTCTGCAGGCTCTACAGGAAGCATAGCAGCTTTTACTTCTGGGGAGACCTCAGGAAGCTTCCAATCATGGCGGAAGACAAAGAGGGAACAAAGAGTCTCACATGGCAGGAGCAGGAGCAAGAGGGGAGGGAGGAGGTGCTATACACCTTTAAACAATCAGGTCTCATGAGAACTCACTCACTGTCACAGGGAGGGCACCAAGGAGACGGTGTTAAACCATTCGTGAGAAATCTGCTTCCACGACCATTCACCAAGGATCCGTCCCCACGATCCAGTCACCTCCCACCAGACCCCACCTCTAACACCGGGGATTACAATTCAGCATGAGCTATGGTGGGGACACAGGTTCAAACCATATCAACATATAATGCTGAGCATCTTTTCATATGCTTATCTGCTACCTGTACATCTTTTTTTTTTTTTTTTTTTTTTTTTGAGATGGAGTCTCGCTCCGTCGCCCAGGCTGGAGTGCAGCAGTGCTATCTCGGCTCACTGCTGCAACCTCTGCCTCCCAGGTTCAAGCGATTCTCCTGCCTCAGCCTCCCGAGTAGCTGGGACTACAGGCGCGTGCCACCACACCCAGCTAATTTTTGTATTTTTAGTAGAGACGGGGTTTCACTGTGTTAGCCAGGATGGTCTTGATCTCCTGACCTCGTGACCTGCCCGCCTCGGCCTCCCAAAGTGCTGGGATTATAGGCGTGAGTCCTGCGCCCAGCCTGTACATCTTTTTTAATGAGATGTCTGTTTAGATCTTTGCTGAGTTTTTAATTGGGTTGTTTGTTTTCTTATAAAGTTTTAAGAGTTCTTTGTACATTTTAGATATACCACAGTGGTCTTTTGCAAATATTGTCTCTCAGTCTGTGACTTGTTTTCTCATTCTCTTGACAGTATCTGTTTCAGAGCACAAGTTGTTAATTTTCATGGAGCCCAATTTATTAACTATTTCATGATTGTGTCTTTGGTGTTTTATCTAAAAAGGCACCACTAAGCCTAAGGTCCTCTAGATTTTTCCATATGTTATCTTCTAGGAGTTTCATAGTTTTGCATTTTACATTTGGGTCCACAATTCATTCTGAGTGTGTGCATTTGTGTGTCTATATCTGTGTGCATGTCTATACTTGTGCATGTGTGTATCTATATGTGTGTATGTCTATATGTGTGTATGTGTATGTATATGTGTGCATGTCTATACATGTGCATGTGTGTATATGTTTGTGTGTATATGTGTGCATGTGTTTGTGTATGTGTGTCTATATGTGTATGTATGCATGTATGTGTGTGTCTATATATCTGTGTGCATGTGTGTGTATGTCTTCATACTCTGTGAAAGAGAGAAAGAGGCTGCATATTTAAAGGGTTAGGCTGAGAACCCTCCTGCTCTGCTGGTGGAAATGTAAAATGGCACAACTACTTGGGAAAATGGTTCAGCAATTTTTTAAGAAGTTAAACATGCCACCTGTCACTCAGCCATTCCACTCCTAGGAGAAGCAGACACACAGGCCTACACAAAGGCTCCTGCATGAGGGATCCGTAGCAGCTTTATTTGTGACAGCCTCAGACTGGAAATGGCCCAGATGCCAATCAGCTGATGAATGCATGCACAGACAGTGGCTCAACCCTGCAAAGGGGCACCACCCAGCAAGAAAAAGAAACCAGCTGCTGATACACACAGCAATGGAAGGGAAGCGCAAAATCGGCCAAGAGCCAGACAGAAAGCAGAATAGCCACTGGAGGGTCCCGTGTCTATAAAACTTTGGAAAATGCACACCCATGTTTAGTGACAGAAAGCAGCTCGGGGGTTTCCTGGGGACTGGAAGAAGCCCTGGAAGGACAGCAGGACTGGGGGGCTTGGGCCCACCGTGAGGGCAGCGGCAATGCACATCGCCCAGATGGTGGGGCTGCTGCAGGGGGATCTGCTAAGTCAAAACTTGTCAAATAGATATTTTTAAAAGTTAAGACAGCACTTTATTTTTAAAAAGAACATCATGTATTTTTGTGAGTATATAGATTTTAGAGCCAGAAGAGAGGACGAGCATGATTTCCATATCTATTTGAGGATGAGCGTTTGAAGCAGCTCCTCTCTGATTTAATCCCACTGGGCACCTTTTGCCTGATCTGACCGTTCTGCAGTCCCCTGGCAGCAGTCAGGACAGGCTGCACACGCAGAGGAACAGAGCCAGGCTGAGCACCCTCCGCCGTCATTCACATCCCTCACAGACCTCAGATGCCTGTAGCCAGCTGCACCAACACCCCAGGGCGCAGTCCTGTGAACATGCTCCACCTCCATGCGGGCTGCTGGGTCAGAGGCAGAGAGACCCTGGAGGACCTCCTCAGAGCGGAAAACATTTCAGCCCAGAAGTGACACACATCACATTTGCCCACAAAGATTCCCACAACTCACTAATCAAAACTAGCTAGATACGGTCATGTGTCACTTAAAGGGAATACGTTCTGAAAAACGCGTCGTTTGGTGATTTTGTCTTGTGAACATCACAGAGTGGACTCACACAAACCTAGATGGCACAGCCTGTGACACACCTAGGCTGTGTGGTGTAGTCTCTGGCTCCTAGGCTAAAACCTGCACAGCATGTGACTGTGTTGAACACCATAGGCAACTGTAACACAGCGGCAAGTACCGTGTGTCTAAATATAGCTAAACATAGGAAGGGGAATGCGTTGCACTGTGATGTTATGACAGCTGCGACATCAGTAGGCAACATGAATTTTTCAGTTTCATTATCATCTTATAAGACCCCCATTGTGATCTGTCATTGACCAAAACGTCCTTATGTAACACATCATGCTGCTTGGTCCCACTGGATCTCAGAGAGGGCAGGAAGCAAAATGTTTCCATGCGCCTGGCAAGAAGCGAGCACAAACGATGACCAGTCAGGATAAGAAGGAAGTTAGGCCCGGTGTGGTAGCTCACGCCTGTAATCCCAGCACTTTGGGAGGCCGAGGCAGGTGGATCATTTGAGGTCAGGAGTTTGAGACCAGCCTGGCCAACATGGTGAAACCCTGTCTCTATTAAAAATAAAAAAATGAGCCAGGCATGGTGGCGGGCACCTGTAATCCCAGCTACTCAGGAGGCTGAGGCAGGTTAATCGCTTGAGCCTGGGAGGTGGAGTTTGCAGTGAGCCAAGATCGCGGCAGTGCACTCCAGCCTGGGCAACAAAGCAAGACTCTGTCTCAGAAAAAAAAAAAAAAAAAAAAAGTTAAATTCAGAGCTGCTTCTCATGGTGACGTTTTCAACCCTCTACGGCTTTGATACTGGAACTGCCTTCCCAGTTAGTGGTGGTCTCCCGGGGGCTACTAGATGCATGTCAAGCTCAAGGTCTTCTAAAGGGCTCCAGCCACCAGTCTTGGCTCAGGAGGCTGTGGGAGCAGGGCCAGGCATGTAAGCTGAGAACACAGGCTGTGCAGGGCCTGAGGTGTGGCTTTGCACCTTGTGGCCCATGCCATGCCTTTCTTCTCCACCCCAAGAATGCGGGCCCCCTGCAGCATTCCACAGCCCGTGCTTACACAGCGTATTTCTTCTGTGCATTGTGCGCTATCCCAGAATATTCCTGGATGAGTGAGAATTTATCAGGAGGGAAGGGCCTGGATCTAACAGCCCTAAAGACACCACCTCACTGTGTCCTCCACTCTGTATCCTGGGGTGTGTGGCATGCGGCTGGGCCCCTGTGGCCCTTTACTAGCCCCCGTGCTTTGCTTTGGGGCCAGAACTGCCTGCCTGGTCTGTTGGTTTTCCATGCATGCATCCGCTGCTCTGTCGAGGAAGGGTTTGACAGTAATGCCTGTTGTGCAGGGGTCACACTATGTGTGCAGTGGGATGGTCTTCTGTGGCCTAATTTCATCAAAGCACAAAACTTAGGCTGCCTAGAAAATAACAGTTAATGTGTCCTCTGTGTGTGACTTCTCCTAGGTGGGCTGGCAATGGGAGCTGGGCCCCAGTGGCTCAGAGTGACTGAGCACTGGTCTTGTGTACTTCTGATTAAGGACAAATCCACAAGCTCCAGAAACCCAACAAGCAAATAGTAATAAGTCTGGCAGAACGCTGAAAAGCTTAACCATTATGTTTTTGCTGAACAAAAGAACCCCCAGATCTCATGAAGAAAAGCCAGAAAACCGTGCTTTTCCTCAGAAGGTAGATCCGAATTTTTCCAGCCGTTGGTTATGTGTGCAGCTTGGGGCCAGGCGTTTGTCCACTGCAACCACAACCTCAGACATTCTTCTGTGGGGGTCTGAGCCTGGACAGCAGTGTTCTCAGAGCACTTTCCAGGACATGCGAGCTATAAGATGAACCCATGAGCAGATACGCTTGATCCTGCAAGCTGGAGTTACTTAGTGTTGATCATTTCACTCTTCGTGCGTCCTGTCTGAGGGTTAGCTGAGCCCGTTCTGGTGGTGGGCAACCACAGAGCTGTCTTCTGGCTAATGAAGACAAAGCCACCTTCTCAACTACAAGGATTCCTTGTCCCTTCTGGGGTGGCTGGGGTGGCCCTGTCTCCTCACCAAAGGCTCCTGGGACCTCACTACGTAAAGAGATGAGATTACTTTGGAATGACTTATTTCCTCATCAATAAGTGATGGGAGTTAGAAGGATGACCCACAGCACCCAGCAGCTCTAGCCACATGTGAAATCCATGCTTGCATTTCGGGTAGACTCCTGCTCCATCTGGAAAAGATCATCTTTTCCAGAGTTTTGCTGGATCTCAACAAGTCCCTGGAAGCGCCTTGTCAATCTTTGGTTCTCAGAATTTGCTCTTCCTTATTGCACGTCTGGGGAGACACCACCCACTTGAGTGTAGTTGCCCTCTGGTCATTCACTTATTTTTCATCTATTGACTTAACAAAATATTTGTGGAGCACCCACTTTGGGACAAGCCCTGGCTCAGTACTCTACGTGCAGAGCTGAACAAGGCAGTCTGGAGGAGGACAGGCAGTTACACCAAGCTCCCTGGACTGGCTCTGACAGTGCCACGCATGGGGTGCCTAGAAACTGCTGTGGCCGGGGCTGGTGGAGGATGGGTCATCACAGAAATAGCAGAGCCAGAGGTGCAGATGTGCAGGAAGTAGAGGCCTCGGCTCAGCCACCCCTGTTCCACAGGCCACAGCTTAGAGAGACCCTTTGCAGGGAAGTCAGCTCACAGCAAACAAAGGGTGCTGACATTTCATTCCTTCTTCCTCATGATAAGAAATCTCTTCTGTTGCCTGAGGCAGAGTCAGTGTATTAGTCAATTTTCACACTGCTGTAAAGAAATACCAGAGACTAGGCTGGGTGCGGTGGCTCACGCCTGTAATCCCAGCACTTTGAGAGGCCGAGGAGGGCAGATCACTTGAGGTCAGGAGTTCGAGACCAGCCCAGCCAACATGGTGAAACCCCATCTCCACTAAAAACACAAAAATTAGTTGGGTGTGTTGGCAGGTGCCTCTAATCCCAGCTACTTGGGAGGCTGAGAATCACTTGAACCCAGGGGGCAGAGTTTGCAATGAGCCGAGATCGTGCCATTGCACTCCAGCCTGGGCGACAGACTCTGTCTCAAAAAAAAAAAAAAAAAAAAAAAAAGAAATTAATACCTGAGACTGAGTAATGTATAAAGGAAAGAGGTTTGATTGACTCTCAGTTTCAGCTGGGGGTGCCACAGGAAACTTACAATCATGGCGGAAGGCAAAGGGGAAGCAAGCACCTTCTTCACAAGGCGGCAGGAGAGAGAAGAGAAAGTGAAGGGGGAAGAATCCTCATAAAACCATTGGATCTCATGAGAACTCACTCACTATCACAAGAACAGCATGGGAGAAACTGCCCCCGTGATCTAGTCCCCTCCCTCCAGGTCCCTCTTTGACACATGGGGATTACAATTCTAGATGAGATTTGAGTGGGGACACAGAGCCAAACCATATCAGTCAGTGGCAAAATTCATCATTGGAACAGCTCATGTAGGCCCAGACACTGTTGTATTCCATGGGTGAGGAGGTTGCTGTCCAAGCCACCTGCTCCAGGACACATGCTGGGGCGGGGTCTAAGTCTCTTTCTTTTCCACTCACCCCCTTGCTGTCTCAGCCTCACATACCTAATAAGACGGTCCCAAGAGCTTAGCCATAGGAGATAGACTAATGCACAGTCCTGGATAGCTTGTCCTGCCTTTTTGCATGGGGCACGTCTTGTTAAACTTTTTCCACACTCTATTTGCTGAGACTATGCAGACACAGGGAGAGCAGATGCCTGGCAGTTCTCTAGAAGGCAGGGGCTGTGTGAACAGCAGTTCATGTAACTTGGTCTGAAGCAGGCCATTTTCCTCCATGGTTATATTGCCAATTCAGGGAGAAGCAGAGTCCTGGGCCCCCTGCACTGTGTGGCCCTGTAGCACAGTGTGCACCTGGATTCTGACATCTCAGCTTCTTTCAAATTCCCATCCTTTTCTAATTATTAATTAGATTGTTAATTATTATTAATTAGTTAATATGATTAACAACCACCTGTGACCTCATGGTAGCAGCTCCTTATAGAAATGTAGGAGCAGTCCCCAGTTAAAAATTAGATAGGGATAAAAGCCCAAATCAGGGCACTTATTCAGGGAGGTGCCACCTGGCCAGGGTCTGGGCTGCTCCAGGAAGACGGTGGCAGGAGAGGACCCGGCCAGGGGCCTCCCGGGCCCTCCTCACCTGCACTCTCGGTGGTCTCGGGCCGGTGTGCATGCAGGGTGTCCTGGAAGCAATCTTCCTTAAGAAGCACAGAAAGAGGAAATCCAAACCATCCTGCAGAGCTTGCGGGGCTTCCCGACGGGGCTTCCCGTCAGGGCTTGGCAAGCTGGCAGCCATCAGGAAGGACTTGTGGAAAGAAGAGCTTTGATTTACGGTTGCTGCCTCAGAAACCCCGATCCAATTGATGAACCGACCTGCGGCTGCCTTCTGGTTGGATGAAGTGATTTCCATCCATCTGTTTCATTTAAAAACAAAATTCAGGAAGTGAGCTTGCCATACCTGACTAAATAATAGTGTGTTTAATTTTTCCTGTTTCATTCCAGACATCCTTCAGAAGGAGGCCAGATTTTACAGAGATTTCATCTGAATGCATTCCATTTGATCTAATAATTTATGGCTGTGTTGTATTTGTCCTACAGAAAGCCAGCCAGACGCCCGTTGGAAATCCAACACACAGCAAAGTTATCCTAATGGACAGGGTCGTGACACACTCAGACATATCCCAGGGCAGACAGCCCTGCTCCAGCCTCTTATTTCTGTCTGTCCTACCTTTGGCCTAATCTCCTTTGAAGCAATTTTAAATGAATGAATGTGGTGCTATAAATTCTACCCGACTCGTGGGGCCTTTCCTACCTTAGTGAAAAGATAATGTGTTGGCTGAGATGGCAAGGAGACAGGGTCACATGGTGTTGCAGCCTTTCAGATGCGAGTCCCAAGAATCTAAAGAGAACTGACAGCCTGGCATTTAATCGCCCCTCATTTAACAGCATTAACTCAAGTTAACTCTTGCAAAGCTCTGTGATGGATTTTCCCAGGGAAGCGGCTTCCTGCCTAGACATACGAGCGCCTCACACAGGCCTGGGCTGGCCCCATTCGACGCCTGGGCACCACTGGGAGCCTGGAGCTGGGGTTGGGCCCTGCAGAGCCAGAGCCTCTTGGCCATGGGCAGCTGTGCCTGGGCTTGTGGCTGGTTACCAAGCACAAGTTGACATCGTGTTCAGAATAGGGCGTGCTCTGAGGCCCCCATCAGCATTTGGCACCAAATTGGGACAAATACAATGAGGTCTGAGCCCCTATTTTATTTGGGGAGGCTGTGGGGGATGTAAAATAGCAGATATAGGTGATAAAGAAGGCCTGAGCAACAGAGCCATGCCAGGGTTAGAGCGACAGAGAGGAGAGAGAAATAAACCCTCTGTAACTGCTCATCTGGGATTCAAAGAAGATGGTTTCTGAATGGGACCTAAAGCACAAACAAGGTTCAAGGGGGAGGGATGAGGGAGCATATGTGTCCTAGGTGGAGGGAGGAAGCAGCGTGCCATGTCCTGCTGCCGTGCCCAGCTCACTCAGCCACCCACCCACCCCACCCACTCCTGCCTGCCTCAGGCTACCTCCTCCCCTGTAACACTGAGCCTGAGAGGCCTCTGAGCCCCCCGTGCACAGCCAGCACCTTAGCCGCAGGCTGTCTCTTTTTTGGGGTGTCCCTGAACCGCTCTCCTTGTGCCCCTGAACCGCTCTCCTTGTGCCCCTTGATCATCAGCAGTGCTGTCATTACCCCTAGGGTAATGCTGCCCTCCCACAGGGGCAGAAAGTCTTTATAGACTCTGTCCTGGAAGGTGCTGGAGGCCAATGAGGTTATGACAGGGGCTTTGATGCTGGAGACTTTCTGTGCCTCTGTGTGGCCTCCTCACCTTTGGTTTGGGGGTTCGTGGCTTCCATTTGATGCACAGTCTGGGCCGGGCTGAGGAAGGTGGCAGGTGTTCAGAAGACGCAGGTGGCCAGGGAAGCTTGGCCGCACCTGCGTAAGAGCACACACCTGTGTGTGGGCAGGTGTAAGCCATGCAGTGGCTCTCTAGGGAGGTGGGTGTGGGCACATTTGTCTGCAGCAGTCCTTTTAGCAGTGGGAGAAAGAGCTGAAGTTTTGAGCCGGACAGTTAGTTATGTGTCAGGCTGTTTGAGAGGAGAAACCCCTGTGGGTTTCTGTGAGCCATTTGGGCTGTAAGTGTGAGCTAGCTGCGTCTAACAAAGCTCTCCCCCTAACAGAGAAGGAGGGGCTGTTTCCACTGTGGATGCAGCTCGCTACTGATGGGAACCTAGGTGGTCCAGAGCAGGCCATGATCCCTGGGGACAGGCGGCAGCAGTGGGAGGCCCTCAGTTGGCCTGAGGCTGGGATTACAGTCCGAACCGCACGGGGCTTATAGCCATGGGCACAGTGTCCCTGCTTCAGACTTACCCAGGTTTGGGCAGGGGGGGAGAACGCAGGTGAAATTCCAGAAGCTTCCCGCTGGTCTGCCCTGGACAGCATCGGGCCAGCCCCTTACTTTTCTCCAAAGCATCGCAGATACTTCACCACCATCACAGGAAACAGTGGGGCAGAGCCAGATGGATCCAGTGATCCGAGGCCCTGCACACCCTGGGACAGGAAGCACAGCAGGACTGACAGCAAGTGCCCAGGGCCAGTGCCCTGTGTGCGCCAAAGTCTACACTCACTCATAGTCCAGCAACCCTCCAGAGCCAGCAGGGAAGGGCAGCACCCCTCCCTGAATCACAGACATTAAAATAGCACCTTTCAGTGTTTTTTGTCTTTTGTTTTGTTTGGGTTTTTTTTGTTTGTTTGTTTGTTTGTTTTTTTGAGACGGAGTCTCGCTGTGTCACCAGGCTGGAGTGCAGTGGTGCGATCTCTGCTCACTGCAACCTCCACCTCCCAGGTTCGAGCGATCCTCCTGCCTCAGCCTCTTGAGTGGCTGGGACTACAGGTGCGCACCACCACGCCCAGCTAATTTTTTGTATTTTTAGTAGAGACTTGGTTTCACCATGTTGGCTAGGATGGTCTTGATCTCTTGACCTCGTGATCCACCCGCCTCGGCCTCCCAAAGTGCTAGGATTACAGGCGTGAGCCACCACGCCCGGCTTCAGTATTATCTTAAATCTCCGAGGGCTACAGGACTATTGTGTCTGCCAAATGGATTCTTCATTTCTCCACCTCCTCATGCTCCAAAGCAAACCCACGCAAAGTGGCTACCAGTCCCCCTGCCTTCCAGGAGCTGTTCAGAATTTAGTACCTGCAGCTTCTTGGGTCTTAAAGCAAAAGCTGGGAGAGGAATGGGTCGAGAGGCAGCCTGGGGCGCTGAAGCCACCCACCTACTTCTGCCTCATACAGTTGGCTGTGGGTGGGGACAGGGACATATGCCACAGAGGCTGACACCTGCCCTGTAGCCAGGGCTTCTCAACCTTGGCACTATCAGAGCCAGATAATCCTCTGTTTTGAGGACTGTGCTCTGCATTGTAGGATGTCGAGCAGCATCCCAATTTCTACTTTGTGGATGCCAGTAGCACGCTGCTGCACCCCAGCTGTGACAGCTGAAAATATCTCCAAATGTTGCCAAATGGCTCCTCGGGGGCAGAATCACCCTGGTTGAATTCCTGGTTCCTCTGAAACAGTGACTGAGTGTCAGCACTCTGGGGCCTGGCTGCCTCTACCTTGGGCTATGCTGATATTGATTACCTTAAGCAACTCATTTCTCTTTCCACATCTTCACGAGCTTCACCTTCATCAACAAAAGAGCCCTAGGCCAACCAAAAACTTCCTGTGGTGAAATTTAGCTTGTTGGAGCTGACTCTTCTTGCTCAGCTGAAACTGTGCCTGCTGATGAGTAAGTCCTGGAGATCGGCTGTGCCCAGAGTTAGCAGTACTGTACGGTATGCTTAGAAACTTGTAAGAGGGCAGATCTCAGGTTAAGTGTTCTTACCAAACTAAGAGGAAATTATTTAAAATTTGCTTATTAGCACAGCAAAGGCTGGAGAAGGCTCTATAAGGGATAAGCTGTTACCTGAGTCCTCCACTCAGCCCTGCCCCCACCAGGCCTGCTAGCACCCACAGCACAAAGTTCTCCAGACACAGTGGGGTTGTGGGCACAGTACCCCAAGGGGGTCAAGTGAAGATCAAATGAGATCATGTATGTGTCAGTCCTTTGACAACTGTGCCTAACCCCAAGGGGAGGTACTGGGTAGCCCCTGGGTGAGGTACTGAGTAGCCCCTAGGGGAGGTACTGGGTAGCCCCAGGGGAGGTAGTAGTACTCAAATCCCATCAGACTCTTCAGACAGTTCATACAAGGAGGTCTAGAACCCAAGATATTTGGACCTTCAGGTGAAGCCTGGCTCTAGCATGTCAAAGGCTAAAAGATACTGGACTTTCCTCTAAAGCTCTCGGGCTCTCCATGAGCCTCAAACACATGGTTATGAAGTGATTGTGTTACAGGAAAGGGGTCCCAATCCAGATCCCAAGAGAGGGTTCTTGGATCTCCCGCAAGAAAGAATTCAGGGTGAGTCTGTAAAGTGAAAGCAAGTTTGTTAGGAAAGTAAAGGAATACAAGAATAGCTGTTCCATAGACAGCAGCCCTGAGGGCTGCTGGTTGCCCTTTTTTATGGTTGTTTCTTGATGATAAGCTAAACAAGGGGTGGATTATTCACACCTCCCCTTATTAAACCATATCGGGTAACTTCCTGACATTGCTGTGGCATTTGTAGATTGTCATGGCGCTAATGGGAGTGTAGCAGTGAGGACAACCAGAGGTCACCCTCATCACCACCTTGGTTTTGGTGGGATTTAGCTAGCTTCTTTACTCCAAGCTGTTTTATCAGCAGGGTCTTTATGATCTGTGCCTTGTGCTGACCTTCTGTGACTTAGAATGCCTTAACTGTCTGGGAATGCACCCCAGTAGGTCTCAGCCTCATGTTACCTAGCCCCTACTCAAGATGGAGTTGCTGTGGTTCAAACGCCTCTGACAATTGGCCTGAATGACCGTTGGCCTAGGAGAACTGGAAATCCTTGAAGCTTACTGCACTGCCCCGGGTTGCACACCCTCACGTGGTGACTGTCAGGAACTGGCCCAGAGTGGGGGAAGTCACTCCCCGTTCCTGCACAGGCACAGCCTTCACGCCCAAAGACCATGCCGCTCCCTGCCCTCCATGAAAAAAGTGACAGGTATATGGGCCCACCACAATCATTCATTCCCCACAGCCACTGTCCTTGGAGGCTCCTTCATTCTTACCTCCCCAACCCAACCTCAAAGTCCCGAAACGGGCATAGAGTTCTCCCAGCTGTGGGCTGAGAGGCCCCCTCCCGCCAGACACATGCTGAGGTGAGACCAGGAGAGCCTCTCCCAGCAGGAAGAGGGCAGTTAAAGGGACTGGGGTCACAGCGCCTGTTGTAGTCCCTTGAGTTGCTGTAACAAAATGCCACAGATGGGTGTGTGTGTGTGTGTGTGTGTGTGTGTGTTGGTGAGGGGTGTCAGCAACAGGAGTGATTTCCCACAGTTTTGCGGGCTGGAAGTCTGAGATCCAGACACCACAGATTCGGTGTCTGGTGAGGACTGGCTTCCTGGTTCATAGACGGCGCCTTCTCACCGTGTCCTCACGTGGTCAATAGGGCAAGGGAGCTCTCACGACCCGATCATCTCCCAGAGACCCCACCTCCTAAGGCTATCACACTGGGAGCTGGGGTTGACATGACTTTGGGGAACATGTGCATTCAAGTGCAGCAGCCCCACACCCTTGGCATGGACCTGCAGGAAAGATCCTGCCCTGCCTTTGCTGGAGGGTTCCCGCAAGGGCCTCCTCCTCACCTCTCCCCACTGCTCATGAAATATTACTGGAATGATTAGAAAGCTGAGAGAGACCCTGGGGAGGAGGTCCCTGAGTGTCCCATCCACCACAGTGAAGAAGGGGCCCTGCCAAGGGCTTTGAGCTCTGCAGCCGGAGAGGAGCTGCCTGATTGGAGGCCGCCTTTGGGGCAGGCGATTCTAGTGCATTCTATGACCTAACGGCCTTGTTAAGTTTCACACTTCACGCTGGCTCCCAGTGTATTTTTCATTCCTTCTCTCTCTCAGTTCCCATAAAGCCGTCTAGCTGTCCCTGTGATACATTCAAACTTGCACTGTTTGGATTCCCTAGGCTGTCTGAAAATGTGTCCTTTGAGTAAAATCCTTCTCCCTCAATTCCCAGTTACGTCTTTAAATCAAGATGGGCCCTCCAGTCTCTAAACACCCCATCAGTGTGAGATGGCACCTTGTTTGCTTTTAAGACCTGCGATTTGGTTTGAATGTATTCAGTTATCTAGATGTCTTCATGCTTTCCATGAAAATGTACTGAGGTTCAGTCCTTGGCATTTTTCCTTGCAGAATTCTTCTCTATTATTTGGATGTCTGGTATCCCTACAATTATACATGCTTCCAACATTTCTGTCAACTTTTCCTAAGAAGTTTGTTGGAATGCGCTTTCATTTTTCCATCCCACACTTGTTTATCAAAAATACGGTGTGGTGGGGAAGGGAGAGAGGGGGAGAGTCTGAGCTCGTAGGTAAGATCTTCTTGCTCAGAGGCCATGCGACGGGCTTATCATACAGGTTGGGTCTAGCCCTGGGAAGCTCATGACAGGTGAGAATGAAACCCGCTCCAGTTACTTTTGCTGCATAACAAATCATCTCAAAACTCAGTGGCTTAAAACCATAGTTTCTTTGTGAAACTCAGGGATGCTGTGGGTTGGGAATTGGGGCAGGGCATGACAGGAAGGCTGTCTCTTGTCCACCATGTTTAGGCCTTAGCTGAGAGAACCTGCAGGTTTCGAGATTTGCTGGCGGGAGCTGCAGCCTCCTGGAGGTGGGCTGGCTTATGTGTCTGGCGGGTGGTGTTGACTGCTGGCTGGAACCTTGGCCGGGCTGCAGGTCAGAGCACCAGCACACACTTCTCAACGTGGACAGCATGAGCTTCCTCACAATGTGGCGACTGGGTTCCGAGAGTGAGTGCACGGCCTGCCCTTGACCTTGCCTCAGGGTCACGCAGTGGCATCTCCCCTGAGCCCTGCTTGTGGAGGATGTCACAAGAGGTCTGCCCAGCACACAGGGTGGGGACACGGTCCTGTGACTTAGTTAGGGGAGTGCCAAAGGCTTTTTGTAGAGGGGGGCTAGTGAGTAGAGACACAGTGTTGTGGCTGTATTTAGAAAATACAATTTGCCACATGATCTAAGGTTCACTTTTAGCTCTGTGACCTATCATTCTTTCCTTGAGTTCAGTAGGAACATTTCTTGTCTGGCACAGCTGCCTCCGGTTTGGTACTTTTTAATTAAGTGCGAAAATAAGTTCCACCGTATCTGTTCTCCCTGGGGTGTCGGGATGTCCAGCTTCCACCGGCCTCATGGGCAGAGGAAGCAGCAGCCAGGGCAGGGCCAGGTGTGCCCGTACAGGACTGGCAGCCCAAGGCAAGGGGTCAGGGCTCTACTCCCACAGACAGAGCCCTGCACTTTTGTCTCCTCATTTTTAAAAAATGAATTAAATGATCATTTTCTTAATGTTAGAAAGGAGGGAATGAACCCCCTTGTGAACCTGCTAAAAGCCAATTATCCACACTGCTCTTAACTTTGCAATTCTACGGGTTTCGCAGACCCCCAAAACCATCCACAGACCACTGATGAAGACCCCGGGACTCACTGCCCTCAGAGCCTTCATACGGCAGCACCTAACCCACCTGCAGCACGAGGATCTCCCTGGAGCTCTTGCTCCAGCCCAGCCCGGTTTTGCTGACAGCCCCTCTGCAGCCCAGTGGTATGCAGGTGACATGTCCCCTGAGGCCACGCGTCATCACAGCCTGAGGGAAGCAGTGGTTTCAACCCTGCTGTGGGTTGAGGACAATTGTCTAGAGGAAAGGACCCCATCCTGGCACTTCTCCTTTAGCTGAGAGGTGATACTTTCTTTTCCAACATAGTGAGAAAGCAACACTTGCATATCAACCACATTAAGACATCTGCTTTCAGAAAAGAAGGCGTTGTGCCCAACATCTGCATGGCACCAAACATCTGTACTGTAGCCTTGTTGATGACCAGAGCAGGCAAGGCGGCATCTCCCAGGTGCCCAGCACTTGAGCCCCATGTTTGATCCCCACAGCCACCCTCTATGACAGGTGCTGTCGCTATCCCCAGTTTACAGATGGGAGAACTGAACAGAAGACATAAGGCATTTGTTCAAGGGTGCATGGCTGGTGAGTAGTGAAGCCAGCTAAGATGGCCATGAGGCTGAGAAAAAGAGAGTAATAAGGAGAGGAGTCCAGATGCCAGCCCCTGTTAGTCCTGAGGGTGCCAAGGTCATAGGGAGGTGACATCAGACTGGCTGAATTAGTGTCTCAGGGGGCAGCCAACACTTGTCACTCAGGAAGTCTCGCAGGGTAGAGGTCATCCCGAGCAGCCATGGGGTGCTCTCTGCTGCCCTGTGGGAGGAGGAGGAGGAGGATGGAGACGAACAATGCTGTACTGGCATGTGGAGGGGTGGAGCACACTGGGTACAGGCTCCTAACCTCTGTCTTGGCCTCATTCCCCTCCTCTCCTCCTGGATCCCCTGGGCTCACCTGGCTGCTTGCCTGGGCACAGGGACCTGGGACATTATGACCTCCGGCTCTCTCTAGCTGGGACCTCATGGAGGGCGGTTCGCTGTTCTCTAGCTTGGAGCTTGGGGCATCTGTGGATGGTTTGATTTGTGTGGTTTCTGTCTTAAAAGAATGTCTAGAAGAAGCGGCAGATAAAAGGCCTGGAGCTCACTGGAGAGTTGGGTTTGAGATACTTCAGCCATGGAAGGGAGAACTGAAGAGCCAAGCTGTGTCATTGCTTCAGGCAAGAGGACACCGATAGGGAAACAGAGGGACAGGCAGCCTGAGGGCATTTCTCACCTGCTGCTGCCAAAAAGAATCTGACAGCTGTTCAGAAAGGCAGGAGAAGAAACCCTAAGACGTGTCAAGAAATCCATGAGAGGGGAACATCTCAATGGAGAGGTGAGGGGGAGGCCGGGGCCCTGCAGACGTCAGGTTGGGTGGCGAGGGTCCCCCCACACAGGTCTCTCTGTGCTCAAGCTCCAGTCACCATGCTGTCACCACAGTTGCTGTGTCTGCTGGCAGCTGGAGGGTGCACCTGTGCCTTCCACTCAGCAAACTGAGTTTGAGCAAATACGGAAAAACAAGTTTATTGCGGCTATGCTTCTGGCAGCGTTCCTGCCCACAGGCCAGAGACTGGTGTATTTCCTCCAGTTTGGAGCTTCTGGTATGTTCTCGGTGACTGGTCAAGGCTGGGCTATTTCAGGACTTGGAGAACCTCCTCGGCCTGTTATTGCTCGGGAAGTTTCCAGAAGGCTGTAGATGCGTAGCTGGCTGTCCAGTCCCATTGCATCTTCCCTCTTGAGCAAATAGCTAAACGTGCGCTTCATCCCTCCACTCAGGCTGTGCTAATAGGAAACCAAAGCGGCCAAGGGGCTGGACATGTGGATGGAGGGCTCTGCCTCGCAGCACCTCCAAAACAGTTGCCACTTACAGAGAGCACACTAAGTGCAGACGCTGTGCTGTGTGCTCTGCAAATGTCACTCCTCGGCCTCCCCTCTGCACCGAGACAACTGCTACCATGAGAATCCTGTCTTGAGGAAGCCCAGAGGGGCAAGGTGCCTGCCCAGGTCACAAGGTTGATGAGCAATTGGCCAAGTCACTGTTTTATCACCACGGAATCACTGCTGGAGTTTGGTAATGGTCGTTGTATGTGAATGCCTCTGTGCTCCCCTACAAAATGACTGAAGCAGACTCAGACCTCAACGGTGCATTCTAGGGATGCCTTCCAGTTACTGAATGGCGTACTGGGGTTATGTGCATTGCCTTGCTTAATTTTCACGATAAGGCAGTAGAGCCACAGTTAAAATTTGGCCTCAGCAAGTCCCGGGTTCGAATGCGGCTTGTGCAGCTTTTGAGTTGATTACCCTGTGTCTCTTGTTCAGCATCTCAGAGCCTGTTTTTTCTTCAGGGCTGCTTTGAGAATTCAGTGAATGAATGTATGGGCAAGACTTAGGACAGTGCCCGGCTCATAGTCAGCTCTCAAGAAATAGGTCTCAGCATAGTAATAATTATCATTATATTTAGATAATTATGTAGTCCGTTTTACACATGAGGGAAGTGGGGCTAAGAGCAGTTCAGGAACTTGTTCAAGATCAGCCAACTAATAAATACCAGGGACACCCAGCTCCATCTGTTGCCAAAGCTGTCGCAGCATCACGCACTTCCCGCAGAACACCGTGCTGTGGCTGTTTATCTTCTTGAAGTTCCTCAGGGAGTCAGTCTCTTTTGTTTCAGGAGCTCCCTGACACCGTGGTGAACTTGGCCGGTCATCCAAACCCACTCCCGCGCCCAGCCCGGGGCCATGACCCCTAAGAGGGGGAGAGCAGTGTTCATTTTGCTCTTCACCATCGTTTTGAGTGCTGTAAATGGTAATAATCCTGATGCCCAGGGCTCAGCTTCCAAGAACAAGGATGCCCTCAGCTCCCTGTCCCTGCCTGCACCTCCGGCTGCTTCCTCTCCTGCAGGAGGAAGGGCAGGGAACAACTGCTTCACCACTGATAACAGCAAGAGAGCAACACGATGCGGCGGTCACGTCTTCCACCAAAAACAAGCTAGAGAAGCACAATAGCTCAGCACTTCACTGGCTGCTGCCTCCCGTTCCCTGCTATTTTCATGAACCAATTTTCTTTATCTTCTGTCTTTGGCAAGGGCAGCATTTTTGAAGATGCATGTTAATGTTTAAAATACCCAATAGCTGGTGCACAATTTTTCTGTTTCTTTTAATTATCTCGTTCACTTTTTCCTCTGTATTCATTGTAGATCTTCTATTCCTCTGCCCTCTCTAAAAATGCGTTGCATATTTATATTGTTATAAACCCTCCTGTGCTCTTCCAGTAACTGTTCTCAGCATAACCAGAGAGGTGCCCTTTCCCCACTAAAATTTTAACAGAGCACAGCTTTTAATTACCTTTTCCCCATCTCCGACAGGAAAATTTCCGAACATAAAATAATAATCAAAAAACTTCCAAGTATAACTTGCAACCCGAGAGCCAGACTCAACAAAGATAAGTCCCCGTTTCTTTCTTCTGAATATCTAAAGTTTCCTGCAAGCCCCAGTGGTGCCTCTCACATGTCCCAGGCCTCTGGCCAGGTTCCAGCCTCACTCACTGCTTGCTAGATGTCCCACTGGAGCGTATGCTCTCGGTGCCCAGCAAGAAAAGGTGCTCCCTTCTCTGAGCCAGGCCTCCCCGCAAGACCTTGGCACCTTCCGCCTGTTTTCCTGACTGCCTGTGGGTTGAGGTGGCATATGAGAACTACTTGACTGTCTTTTAAAACTCATGTTGCTTCCTTTGACTTCCTATCTGCTGTGTCGGCCAAAATACTGTTATTCAACAGATTGCTAGAGGGTGGGAATTGGCATAGAGTTTGGTATAAAGTCAAGGCTGGACACACAAAGGAGTCCCTGGCCATGCAGGCACAGAGCACATTCTTGTGGCTGTCACCCAGCTGTGCCACATGAGGTCACAGTCCTTCGACCTGCTGTCTCCATGCCTGTCCCCTCCCCAGGCTGCAGGCGCTGGGGTTGCCTTCCCTGTAAACTCCTCCTGTGACTGTCCCCATCAGCAGCCCCACCATCCCCTGCTTAGCTGGCTTGGCTCCTCAGAAGCACCTCTGCAGCCAGGGCCACATCCTGCTGACTGCATGGCCTTCAAGCCCCCCACAACCCCCGCCATCCCTGTGCCTCCACCTCTATCTCAGCTCCTTGGATGCTCCCAGCGTCCACCAGACAACCCCAGCCTCCTCAGTTGGCCCTAGAGGCACCAAGGTGTGCCATCCTCTGGCCTTTCTTTTTTTTTTTTTTTTTTGAGACCGAGTCTCGCTCTTGTCTCCTAGGCTGGAGTGCAGTGGCGTGATCTTGTCACTGCAACCTCTGCCTTCTGGGTTCAAGCGATTCTCCTGCCTCAGCCTCCCAAGTAGCTGGGATTACAGGCGCTTGCCACCACGCTCAGCTAATTCTCATATTTTTGGTAGAGATGGGGTTTCACCATGTTGGCCAGGCTGGTCTCGAACTCCTGACCTGAGGTGATCCGTCCACCTTGGCCTCCCAAAGTGCTGGGATTACAGGCATGAGCCACCCTGCCTGGTCATCCCACTGCCTTTCTTACCTCACCAGGCACCTCGACCCTTGGCCCATCCACACTCTGGCCCGCACCTGCTTTTTGCTAGATTTACCTGTTCCACACCTCTGACCACTCCCTTGGCCACATCACTCACCAGCCCAGGCCTTTTCATTATCCCTATATCAGCCCAGCTCTTGAGGCCCGCCCCCTCCTGTGGAGTTACCTCCTGCCCTATCAGCTAATCAACAGCAAAGCTTCCCTGGTCCATCATATCTAGTACCATTGTTTCAAAACAACATTGCAACTTTCTCCTTTTTATTTTTCCCCTCTTAAATTAAAAAGAAACTCACAAGTGATGCAATAAATCAAATAACAGAAAAGGGTATAACAAAACTGAAGTACTGCCCTGTCTCCCTCTGACCCTGCCTGCCCTGAGACCTGGTATCAACAGTCGAGGCCCTGTTTATTTCTGTGCTTTCCTGGGACTGTCTGCAGGTGCTCCCAGGCCTCTGAGGATCCACTTGTGTCTGAACATCTCTACCCAGTGACAACTATCTCCCCAGTCTCAGGTCACAAAAACATCTTTGTGTGTACCTGGTGGAGTTAAAGTGTACGATTGTGTTCAATCCTTTATTCCCAAAGCTGGTGAGTTTTTACCTCCCCTTCTGGTGCTGAAAATAGTACGTAACCCATCAGCGTGTGCAGCGCAGCATGTGCAGGGTTCTGCAGATTGAGGTTCTCATGGGTTATCATGGCTAACTTTGCAAATTGAGTCCCTTTCTATCTGCTTCCCATGGTACCTGACCCAGCGTTTGGTGTGTGCCCAACCAATGCAAACTGATCTTAAATATTGCCTGAGGCAAAGAGAATTAAGACGGGAAATCTGTTTGAAAGAAGTGGTGGGACAGCCACCTGTCTCCACATGGCTTAATCAAGAAGGTAACTGAATAAATGTGCACTTACGGGTCACATGTACAGGTTTACTTCATTTTCATGAAATGACTTGTATCTCTGTTTAATGTTGCTTTTTGCAAATCAAATTGTATTCCCTTTGGCTCCTTAAAATTTCAGAGACAATTTTCCATAACTTTTAATTGACCTTTAACTGGCACTGAATCTTAATTTAAGCTTTCAATTGCTTTTGCCAAGTTTTTATACTAATGTTCTACTAAACAGTTAAGGCCCCTAGAGGAGCCCCCATCTTAATCATAACAAAAAAATCTATTACTTTACCATTTGTATAATGTTTTATAGTTTTCCTGTATAGAGTGTAGTATGAATAAACGCCTTCAAAATTCTCCTTTTTAAATATCAGATTTCTAGATGATTCTTTAAAGTGGAGTACCACTTGATTTCAGGCTTCAGGCTGTGTGTGTGACTGTGAGTGTGTAAGCACACAAACACACATGGCTTTTTCTGGATATAACTCATAAGCTCTCCCTTCTGTAACATGTCAGTGTTCCGTGCCTGGGCACAGGGATGCTTTCACACCTAGATCTTGAGAGCCAGGGCTGCAGCACAGCCTCATCGCAAGCCTCCAGTCCCTGGCCCTCCCTGGCCCTTGATCTCCTACACACCTACCAGCACCTGGCTTCTCACCTTCTGTCTGGGAAGGTGGGGGCTCACCTGGAGCCAGCCAGACAGCTCAGGTCCACAGAATCAGTGTGTGCGCTCCAGCCAGAAGTCCAGCACTGTAGGGCCCTGCTTTCAACCCATGTGTGTCCCTGGCTGGGGGCACTGAGTAGGTGTTAGTAACCCTCAATAACCTTTCTTCACCTTCCCAAGGAGCTGACCCCTTCTCTGTGTCTTGACATTACTCTTTGTCGTCTGGAAATCACTTACCGAGTTGCATGACGACCATTGGCTTCTGATTGATCACTTCCTATGTTCTGTATCAGAATCATTTTTTGGTCCTCATTTCAGACCCACAGAAGCAAAATCTTTGGGGGTGGGGCCCACATTTTACATTTTGTGGAACTCCCTGATTGTTTCTTTGTATACAGAGTTGGAGAGCTGAGAGACCCTCAGTGGTTCGGGTGCTCTCCCAAGGCAAGGCAGGTGGAGGTCTTGGATAGGAATCTCATTTTATTTATTTGACAAAAATATATTGGGAACTAACTAGGTCCTAGGTATTTCGTAAACTATTTAATATTCAGAGATGAGTAAACACATTATAAAAACAGCAACATAATCACCAGATATTGATGAGATGCATTAGTCCTTTAAAAGCGCTCCTATAGCTGTCATCTCAGCAGCTCAGCGAGGCAGATGGTACCCTTCCAAAGGTGCAGAAACAAAACGCAGGTGGTGGGGATGCAGAGCCGGGCCTTCACCACACCTGCAGAGTTTGCACCCAGCAGTGTGGTTGGCGCAGGATGTGTTAGAGGAAGGGGAGGGGGAAGCTGGGCAGGCTGAGGGCACTGGGTGGTGGGGAGGGCCTTCCAGAAGAGAGACATCCCAGCAGGGCGACAGCAGCCCATCACTTCCATGGAGGAAGGACCAGTGCACCTTTCTCGGCAGATCTGTCTCCCGCCCAGGCCAGGATGTTTCAGAGCAAACGAGACGTTTTGTTCCTAACAGATCCGGCTGTTTGGTTTTCTCCCTGTGAGGCTGAACTGATTGGAGCCTGGCCATCCAGAAGGGTCATTGGAATGGAAAGTGATCCCCCCAACAGAGAGGAGTGCAGGCCACAGATGGAAACAGCAGAGTGCTAGGGGGAACGTTTGCAGAAGAAGGCAGTCAGGAAAACGTAACAGGGATGCCAAATCCACATCCCACTGGGCTCCTGAACATTGCTTGCTTACTCCCAGTCCCAGGAGAAACCCAGCAAATCCATCTTTCCTTAACATAATCTTTCAGCCCAGATCAGCCCTAAATTGTGTCCTCTAAAACCTCTTCTCCTCCCACGGTGTTGTCCCCCAAATCAGTCTATGAGCCTCTCCCCGAGTACATGCCAACTGTCCATTGGCTATTCTTTCCTGCCTCACACGGGACGACCACCAGGGAAGTGCCTAGACCGTCTACCTCCATATTCCATGGATTCCGTGAGCATGACGATTGTTAGTACTGGGAATTCCACAGCGATTGGTAATAACTGATGCTTAAGGCATTAGCAGAATTCTGTCCTGGAAGGCGGACGTTTTGGAGAGGGTTTTCTAGCCATGACATCAGCGTTTTTCCAAGTTAATTAAGTGTTTAGTTTATTTAATCCTGGAGAATTGAGACAGGAAAATTATCCATCACATTTACGCACCCCACCCTTTCCAAAGCAGACAGCTAAGGTTGGGCCTGACTGCATATACTCTCAGCAGCTGGGCAGTGAGGCAGCAGGGCCTCAGCGTCTCCAGCTCCACCATACCCCACGTCCAGGCCCACAGGGCCCAAGGTGCCCTGGGAGCAAGAATCTGCCCACCGAGTCCCTCTCTACTCAGGGGCCAGAAGGGCTCTCCCCGACGGGCCCAAGAGCCCTCAGCTGGACTCAGTTCATTCAGCAAACAAGTGTTGAATGCCTGTTGTGTTCTCAGCACCGTGCTAGGCGCTGGTGGGGATACTGCAGTGAACAAAACAAACACGACCCCTGTACTTCCAAAGCTTTGATTCTAGAGGGGAGCCTAGACGGGGATGAACAGCCACCAGGCCCCTTCATGGTGAAGAGGAAACAGAAGTGGGCAGAGAAAGGCTAATTCCTTTTCCTTTGGACAACGCAAGGCCACCCAGGTCTCCTGCCTGCCAGGAGGGGAGGAGCGGCCAGCAGCCCCAGAGCCTGCAGAGTGGGCTCCGCCGGGACACCTGGGGCAGGCCTGGCTTCTGTCCCCGCATCCTGGCCTGCTGTCCTTGTGACCTAGGGATCCCAGCCTTAGCACTGATGACATTTGAGGCCAGATAACCCTGCCATGGGGGGTTCCCTTGCATTGGAGTATGTTTACCAACATCCCTGGGATCTGCCCACCAGATGCCAGCAGCACCCCTGAGTTGTGACAGCCCAGATGTCTTCAGACATTGCCACCTGTCCCCTGGAGGCAAGGTCACCCTCTCATCAAGAACTCTTGCTGTGGGTTCAGGCCTCCTGGGGAGCCAGTTCCCACCCCAGGTACTGCAGTTCTTTCCTTCCTGGCCTGCGGAGGGGCTGACGGGCCCAGCTGCAGGGTCTCCCATCCCCAGGCCTTATGCCCTGCCTACATCGTGGCCTGAACAAGCCTCCTCACTCCCTGCCCCCAGGCACCCCACTCAGATCCCAGGGTTCTGCCCCCGACCCCTCACGGTTTCTTCTTTTCCTTTCTAGTTTCTACCCAAGCAGTTCCCGATGTGTGTTCCTGGGAACACTCTCCCTCAAGTTGTGCCGCCAACAAGAGTTCTCTGAGAACTAGACTCGGGAAACACCACACTTTGAGCTGCCAGCACATGAAGGGCTGCAACGAAATCCATGTCTAACTGATTGCTCTAGGCTGTTTCCTATTGCTCACAACCTCCAGGGCCTGGCACGGTGCACAAGACCTTCAGGAAGTTATTGGAGGGAGAGTGAGGCAGAGGGGAGATAGGCCGGGAGGCTGCAAGCCCAGTAGCGGAGTCAGGTATCTGGATCCCCGTGCTGCATGGCTCAGAGCTGGGCCGCCTCTTCCTCCTGAAATCACCCAGAACTCCCCATGGACTGTCAGTACAGAGCCTGAAAGCAGGAACAGCTGACCTCCAGGATGAGTCCAGCCTTGGAGGAAACACATTGAGAAAAGTGGGGAGCGAAGGCCGAGACTCAGGCAGTGGAGTTGGAGGCTGGGATCCACACTTGCCCAGGGCACACCTTCATTATATCTCTTTCCCTCTCTATTGCATAAGCAGCAGTGCCTGGGGCACAGGCTCTGAATGCAGTGGGATTAATGAATACAGTGGAACAAATGCTGGTCACCAAGGGTGATGGGGATGGTCCCTTTAGACACCTTATCGGGTGGAGACCCTTCACCGGGCACTAAGCAGTATCCCACAGCCACAGGCCCCCAGACCCTGGTACAGCTGCAACAACAATCCAGGCATGTGGCCTGGGGGGACTTGGCTGGGGCCGGAGCAGTTGTGCTCTTAGACAACCAGACCCCAGCGTGGCTTGGGCCTCACGGAAAGTCCCATCAGGAACCGTGTCACCTGTCCTACAAAGTCCACTTAGAAGAGCTGGGGGAGGAGAAAGCAGATGACATTGACTGCTGGTTCCTCTACACAGACAATGACGTTGCCAGGCTTGGCCAGGGTCCCGTGACAGAGAGGGCTGTGTTGTCGGGGATGGCCCGTCAGCAGCATCCTTCTCTGAGAATGGCATCACTGGCCTGCCCTGGGGGCCTCGGGGCCTATTTTGGACATTTCTGCTAGATTTTGGAAGAGAAAGGAAAACAAGTGTCGGACAAGGTTTTTTTTGGCGGGGGGTGGGCGGGGGGGACGGAGTCTCGCTCTGTCACCCAGGCTGGAGTGCAGTGGCGCAATCTCAGCTCACTGCAACCTCCACCTCCTGGGTTCAAGCTATTCTCCCACCTCAGGCTCCTGAGTATCTGGGATTACAGGCAAGTGCCACCACACTCAGCTAATTTTTGTATTTTTAGTAGAGACAGGGTTTCACCATGTTGGCCAGGCTGGTCTCGAACTCCTGACCTCAAGTGATCTGCCCACCTTGGCCTCCCAAATTGCTGAGATTACAGGCATGAGCCACCGTGCCCAGCCTGGATGAGCTCTTGGTCTTAGCTTTGTTTTCCTCCTCTGAGCCACTTTACAAGGTTATCTTTAAAGTTTCCTGATGGAACCATTCTCCATGGGTCTCTCACCCTTCTACCCATCTTACAACTGAGATGCCATCTGCTGGCCTATCTTTTCAAGATGTCCATGTAGGCACCAGCCTTGGAAAATAGAAATAATGTCAGTCTTCAAAGCAAAGAGCAGGCATGCTTACTGCTTGACTCCGGAGCAGAGGGCCAGCATCCTCACAGTCCAGTAGAGAGGATTTGGTGTCCCGAAGCTCCAGGTCCTCTGCTTTAACACAGCCTGGTGTGCCTGCAAGCGTCACCTGGCCCTCACTGGTTCACCCGTGGGAACTGGGGTTCAGGGAACTGGTGCAAGAAAATGCTGGTACTCTGGCTACTGCTGTTGCTGTGAGTGGTAAAGTCTTTTGTCTGAAAAAATAAGAAATTTAAAAATAAAGTTCCACATAGGAAGATGCATTCCCCTCTCTCTGACAGCAAGGGCATTGGGAAGCATTCACCTGTTTGGTTTCCATCTTGTGTGTCTCCCCAGAAAGAGAAGAAGAGTGGGCTCCTGAAGCTTCTAGCCGGAGCATCCACCAAGAAGAAGTCACGCTCCCCGCCATCTGTGTCTCCAACCCACGACCCCCAGGTGGCCGTGGACGCCCTGCTCCAAGGTGCAGTGGGCCCCGAAGTGTCCTCACTGTCCATCCACGGCAGGGCAGGGTCCTGCCCCATAGAGAGCGAGATGCAGGGTGCCATGGGGATGGAGCCTCTGCACAGGAAGGCAGGCTCCTTGGATCTAAACTTCACATCTCCTTCCCGGCAAGCTCCGCTGTCCATGGCTGCCATCCGCCCCGAGCCCAAGCTGTTGCCCAGAGAGAGGTAAGTGCAGGGGCTTGTCTGCTCTGTGGCATGCTGTGGTTTGGCCTCTGAGGTCTGGAGCCACCTTCGGGGAGCAGGGACACTGTGGCCTTGCTGGGATTAGGTTTACCAGATGTACCTCAACACCCAGATCCACATGGTCCCGAGCTTGGGTGGTGAGTGCTGGATGAAACGAGTCTGGGAACTGGAGTGTTATTTCATGTTCTGCATCCATCTGATTCCTGAGTTTGGGATTGCAAAGGAGCCATCAGGAAATGTGTCAGGACCAAGTGTTTCTGAGTGCAAATAGTGGGAGACTAGGCAGTGAGTGGTCTGTGCCCCCTCAACCCTGGGGGATCCTGGAGCAGGCCCCTGGGCTGAGTCCCCAGTGGGCCTATGTGTCCCACTCAGGGAGCAGCTCTTCCCTCGCAAGCCTCAACCCACTCGGCGTCTTAGAATTGTGATGTTACTCAAGACGGCTTCAAGTCTATATCCCTTGAATTATCATGGCTTCAAGGGTATATAGTCCGTCAGACTGAACCCTTTGAAATTGCCCATATTCATTCATTTCGATGCTTACTAGCAACTTCACATAGTTCAGCCTAGGTTTTTACCGATCTGGAAACTGAGTCTGGTTGAGGCAACATGGCCCACTAAGGCTGTGGGCTGTGGGGCTGCAGGTGCTTGGGTTTCACCTGGGGCTAGAGGCGTACCTGGCTTGGATCCCCCTGTGTGAGTTATCCATCCTAAAAGGGCTCTCAGGTAAAAGCTGGAGGCATCACAGAGAGATACGATGGCTGTCAGGTTAGGATGGTAGAAAGATATGATCCTTACTGAGTGCCTACACATTGTAACATTGCTGAAATAATAAAACACAAACAACCTCCCAAAAAGACAGTCCTGGTGTTTCTGCCAGAACCTTTCCTCCCTTGGCCGTTCGGGTGCCTGCAACCCGGGAAGGCAGCCTCTGCCCTGAACACCTGCTGCCCTCCCAGACGCCATTCCCAGTGCCAGGTGGGGAATGAGACGGGGTCTATCTAGATCAGAGGTCTAGTTTTCTATCCTCACATATTCTTCTGTATAGTTTTCTAGCTTCACAGGTTCTTCGTCAAGGGCCAGATGGTAAACACTGCAGATGTTGCAGTCCTGCTGTGTCTGTGGTGACCACGTCCTCTGCCTTCACGGTGGAAGCGTGGCCACACACTGTATGTAGATGAATGGGCCGGTGTCCCAGTAAACCCCTACTTGTGGACACTGAAATTTAAATTTCGTACAATTTTCGTAGGTCATGAAATAGTCTTCTGATTTCTTTTTCAACCATTTCAAAATGTGACAACATTCACAGCTCTAAGACTACACAAATTAGCCGCAGGCGCAGTTTGCCAGCCCTGACAGAGATGATGCCTAGCGCCAAGCCTATGGGGCTAGGCCTGGGGCTCCAGAGTGGACAGGGCTCTCTGCAGAACCCGCAGCTACTGACTTCTGCTAACCAGTGAGAACGGAAGTCGCATGTACACCTGCTGTTAGCATCACAAGAGCTGGGTGTTCTGCACAGGGGTGACGTTCAGAACACTCAGCAGTGGGCATGGATTCCGGCTACGCATGCCCAGGACAGCCAGGCCCTGCCTTCTATGTTTCCCCAAGCGCTACATGTGTGTAGTCTCAGTGAACCTTCCCACGAACCCTATGAAATCAGTTATCCTCGTTTTACAGATGAGGAAACCGAGGTTTTGTAAAAGGCTAGGTAACTGGCCCAAGATCACACAGCTAGTTAGTGGCCAAGCCAGAGATTCAGCTGAGGACTTTCTGACCTCATGGCCCACGCCCTGAGCTACCTCTCTGTAGGGTGCGCAGTCAGCAGCACCCCCAGTCCTGTGTAGTCACAGGGCCTATTATCAGCTTGTGGACATCGTGGGACATGTCACAGCTCCTCCAGGGGCTGCACCATTGTTGGGTCCTGCAGATCCATCAGCACTGCCATGCCAGTCCCAGCCCCTACAGCCACACCCACAGGGAGAAGTGCCTTCCCCTCTACAGGGCCCCAGGCCCTTGGGGGACTGGGTTCACACTGCACACCACACTGTGCAAACATACACTCACCACACATACACCATACAAACACATACCCCACATACATCATACAAACACACACACCACACATACACCATACATACAAACATACACATACACCACAGATACATCATATAAACACACATACCCCACATACATCATACAAAACACATACACCACACATACGCCATGCAAACACACACACCACACATATATCATATAAACACTCACACATTACACATACAGCATATACACACGCACCACACACACTGCAAACACACACCCCACGTACACCATAGAAACACACACCATGCACACCATGCAAATATACGTACACCATACAAACACACCCCACATACGTCATACAAACAGACACATGCCACACACTGCAAACACACATGGTACAGACACCACACACACCACACATACATCATGCAAACACAGACTACACACATGTGCAAACACACTCCACATACACTATACATACAAACACATACCCCACATACACCATACAAACACATACCTCACACACACCATTGCATACCCACACCCTTCACACACCATACACATACATACCATACACACTGCACACACCCCACACACAATACACACAAACCACACACACTGCAAACRCACACCCCACACATGCTGCAAACACACACCATACACACACATATTATACAAACACATCACACACCATACACACACCACACACCATACATACACACCATAAACACACACCATATACATTATGCAGACACACACACTGCACACCAAACATGCACTGCACACACACCAGGCAAACACACATAACACACAGATACACACACTATACACAAATTGTACATCAAGCAACCACATAATACAAACACATATTCAGACACACAACACACACCCACCTTCTCTTTCCTTCTCTCCTCCTCCTCCACTTCCTCCACCTCTCATCCTCTCCTAAGGAGTCTCCTCCGCATCAGAACCTCCCTTCATGGGACCAACACCTGCTGCCTGTGTTTTCCGGATGGGTCCTGGCCCTTGTCTGGAGTCACAGAGTTGGTCTGCCGGCTCGTGAGAATGACAGACTTTGGGATAGTTCAAAGCTGTTCTCATGTCTCCCCTAGGATCCTTCTTCCCCAGACCCCTCAACTTTATCTTCAAAGACATGACTTCCAGACACCTCAATAAAAAGTATTGAAAGACCCTGTTTCTATAAAGTCATGGGCATCTCTGATGAATTAGAAAATTCAGAGACTCACTCCCGTTCTCTGAGTGTTCCATCTAATCAGGGGTCATTGTACCCAGAGACTCTTTGGTGGCTCCTTGCACCCAAGCACTCTGTAGCACTCATTAAAGAGAAGTGTTTCCAAAAAACAGCCTGAAACCAAACTGCTCATGAGCCCCAGAAGTGCCCCCTCCCCTCAACATGGTAGCCACAGGCTGCCTGGTATCCTGGGGAGCCCTAGCAGGTCGGAGCTGAGGGCATGACTGGGAAAATGCTGACTCCTCGGGCTGGGACAGCACCAGAGAGCACTTGGACTTGGGCCCTGCAGACTTGTGAGTAAAACTTACTTCCAGGCTTACTTTGGAGGAGGAGCTGCTGGGCTGCGCCCTGTGCAGAGGTGAGAGTCCCTGCAGTGGGGCCAGAACACTCAGCTGCCAAGCACTCCTGGAGGGCCTCAGGTGTGCAAGGCCCACCTGTGATCATGAAAGTGGGAATGCAGGCAGCAGGGCAGTATGGGCTGTCAGGGTCAAGGTTTCCACCCCAAAATGCCAAGGAGGAATGGGCAGTGTTGCTGCCTGCATTTCTTGGGCCTTTCCTGTGCCCAGACTCCTCCAGATCTCAACCATCTCTTTCAAGACTCTGGAAAGAGAGCGGGCGCTGCTCTCCTCTCCACTCTCAGAGGAAGGACATTCAAGTAGAAGGTGCTGCAGAGGGAGCTCCTCTGAGAAAGGACTAGGGGAGTGTACTGTGAGCAGCAATCTGGGGCCGGGTCAGCGAGGCTGGCAGGCTCAGCTGCCCTGCCCCAGCAGCTGGCAGGCAGCAGGCCAGTCTCGTAAGTAGACTTATGAGCCAAGCCCACGAGCCTGGGGTGTAAGTCACCTAGAGGGCCATGCCCCGTTCCTTCCAAGAGGACCTCATCTTTAGGTGTCTGGCATATTCTTGTCCTGCGGACTATGTGCAGAGGGAGCTGAATTTCCAGAAGTTGCTTGTGGAACTCAGAATACGGGTGTGGTCATGGGAAATGCAGGCAGCAAATGCACATGGCATCAGGTTAGAACCGTCTAATGCCCCAGTTCCCCAGCTACACCAACCCTGGTCTGTTCTGGTGCAGGGCCAGGCAAGCTGAGTTCTGGGACCAGCCCCTCCTGCCCACTGGATGCCTGCCTCCTGGCTCTTCTGCACCTTGGCAGTATCAAGTATCGTAGAGAGGCTTTGAGTAGACAGACACTCTGGGCCACCTACCGGCCATTTCATCCTGAATATCTTTCATTCCTTTTTTTTTTTTTTTTTTTTTTTTTTTTTTTTGAGACAAAGTCTCACTCTGTCTGCTGGAGTGTGCAGCGGTGCAATCTTGGCCCACTGCAACCTCCGCCTCCCAGATTTAAGCAATTCTTGTGCCCAGCTTCCCAAGTAGCTGGGATTGATTACAGGCGTCCACTGACATGCCTGGCTGATTTTTGTATTTTTAGTAGAGACGGGGTTTCGCCATGTTAGCCAGGCTGGTCTCAAACTCATGGCCACAAGTGATCCGCCCACCTCGGATTCCCAGAGTGCTGGGCGTGAGGCGTGAGCCACTGCACCTGGCCCCCTTTCTTCATTTTTATAGTCCTAGTTTCCACATACATAAAATGGGGATAATAATACATGTCTGGGTATAATACTTGTAAATCACCTAGATTAACACCAGAAAAAGTATGAGTGCACACTAAACACAACAATAATAATATATGCTATTGTGTCCAGAGTTGGTTCCTGGTGGGTTCGTGGTCTCACTGACTTCAAGAATTGAGCCACAGACCTTCGCGGTGAAGAGCAAAGGACAAAGCTTCCACATGGAAGGGGACCCACCGGGTTGCCCTGGGGTGGCCAGCTTTTATTCCCTTATTTGTCCCCTCCCATGTTCTGTTTTTGTCCTATCAGAACGCCCTTTTTTCCATCCTCCCTGTGATTGGCTACTTTTAGGATCCTGCTGATTGGTGCATTTTACAGAGTGCGGATTGGTGCATTTTACAGAGTGCTGATTGGCGCGTTTTACAGAGCACTAATTGCTGCATTTTATAATCCTCTTGCTAGCTACAGAGCGCTGATTGGTGCATTTTACAGAGTGCTGATTGGTGCATTTTACAATCCTCTTGCTAGCTACAGAGTGCTGATTGGTGCATTTTACACTCCTAGCTGCAGTGCTGATTGGTGCATTTTACAATCCTCTCATAAGAAAGAAAAGTTCTCCAAGTCCCCACTCGACCCAGGAAGTCCAGCTGGCTTCACCTTTCACTATGACCTCTCTAATAGTAACATATGCTGTGACATCTATGATAATAGTAAGTCAGTGAGGGTGAGGGCACCTGCAGCACGGCCTGGCCGACTCCTGCCCCTTTGACCTGCTTCTCCCCAGATGTTCACATCGGATCAGCTCATCCTCAGCTCTTGATGGCCTGTGAGTTATATGGCTTTGTTAGGATTTCAGCGTTCCTTGATCTGATCCATTATGTGTGTGGTGAGCAGAATAATGGCCCCCAAAGATGTCTATGCCCTAAACCCTAAAAACTCATGACTATGTTACCATACATGGCAAAGAGAAATCAGGTTGCAGATGGAATTAAAGTTGCTAACCAGCTGACTTTAAAATAAAGAGATTACCCGGGATTATCCAGGTGGGCCCTGTGTAATCACAAAGGGTCCTTATGAGTAGAAGAGAGAGGCAGAGGAGAAGGTCAGAGTGGCATGATGTGAGCACTCCCCTTTGAAGATGGAGGAAGAAGCCTCCAGAGAAGGGATGAAGGCAGCTTCTAGCAACTGGAAAGGCAAGGAAACAGCTTCTACCCTAGAGCCTGCAGGAGGAACCAGCCTTGCAGATGCCTTGATTTTGGCCCAGTGAGACCACGTTGGAGTTCTGATGGACGGAACTATAATATATTTTTATAGTATGATGCCACTACATTTATGGTCATTCGTTATAGCCATAAACAACTAATATGTGTGTTGATATTACAGTTTAGTGTCCAGGGTATAGAAGTATTCTTATCCCCAAGTTCCTAGCAGACACCACTCTGTTACCAGCACATTCCATGGACTCAGGGGCTCATTCGTCTTCCTGTGTTGGAGCAAGTGCTCTGAAAAGGCTACCACATGGAGGGCCACTTTGCAGACTCTGTTGTCAGGGAGGGAAGCAGACGACCCCCAAGGAAAGCAGAACATCCAAACCTCGCACACAGAGCTAATGGTAATAATAATGGAATGAGAATTCATTCTGATTTTGCCCATTTGGATTCCTTGAGCCCTGTGTCTGAAAATTAGCTGTGGTTGCCATAACCTTAATTATACTCAGCAGGGCAGAGTTGCTTGCTGATTTATGACGCACAGTTGTGACCTGGGAGTAGCTGTCATCCTCAGCTGCTGACACGGACACGACAACGGCGCTCTGTGTCTATAACGGGGAGTATCAATTACTTTCCTGCAGCAGGAAGAACAGCTCAGAGTCTTGGAATGATCTGGACAGAAACGTTAAACACTTGTCTCGTATAAATTCAGCCCACATCCATCTGGGCTCATTAAATCATTGAATTGCTCAGAAGCACCAAATTACATCTTTCTAACAAATTATATTTTTAAAGCTGCTTGTTTATTTCACATCTGGAAGTTGAGGCAAAAGCCAAAACTTGCATTCAAAGTCTGAGAAATCATCTCGCCCTTTGCCTTCCTTTCTTTCCTTGGGGAAGAGAGAGGAGGAGCAGGTGTTTGGAAGAGGTGGAGGATGGCAGAAGGCCACAGGTAGGATGGCGCTGATCCTGTGGGCCCTCGCAGCCTCAGTTTGTGTGTATGCTGTCTGATTTCACAGACCGCTGGCTGCATCCCGGCAGCCATCTGTCCTCCTTGAAGGAGGGCCAGCAGGAAGCCCTCACAGAGACGCTGAGCTGGGAGGAAGGAGGTGCCTCCGCCTGCCCTCCTTCCTTCCCGCCTGCATGTCCCTGAGAGCAGAGTCTGGTTCGCCGGCAGATAGCCCATGGGAACCAGTCCAACCATCGTGCACCCGTAGATGCTCTGAGACACTTAGAGTTGGCTGGTATTCGGGACTGCGACCCAGAACCTGGCCTGTTCTGCTTCCCCAGGAGTAGGAACACTGCACCCCCAAGTCAGCCTCAGGAGCCCATCCTCCATGCCTCCTCCTCTTGCCAGCCTGGTGCAAGCTGGGCCTGTGTGCCCAGGGGCTGTGCACTCCATAGGACTGGGCCTTGGTCTCCTGTCTGCACATTTTTCCTGAGCCTGGCACCAAGCCAAACTGCCCCAAAGCCATGGCTTCTGCGCCCCAGGCTCTGTGAACACGTGGGGTGGGGAAGGGCAAAGGCTTCCTCCCTGAGCATGCACTCAGCTCGATTTTCAGACACCAATGTGCAAGCATTCCCTCCCAGAGCTGCTGAAAATCCACATTCCCTAGTTCATTCCCCCTAAGTAGTATCAAGTAGGTCCAGGATGGGCCCAGGGAACTGTGGGGGGTCCTGAAGTATGTGAGCCACACTTGGAGCAGGTGTGCAGTAATCCCTGTGGCGATGGGGCTTGCAGACTGGTGCAGGAGGCAGGATGGGTTGGGTAAACAGGTGAATGGCTGGGCAGTGGAAGATGGTAAGAGCTGGGAAAGGGCAGGCCCGGCGTGGCCACACAGGGAAGGGCGTTCTGGGCAGAGGGAGCAGCATATGGAGGAGCCCTGAGGTGGGTGCACCTGGGGTCGCTAGGGCGCGGCAGGGCAGAGCTGGTGGAGTGGGAAGGGCGCAGTGTGGAGGGCCTGGGAATGCTGGGGCGTTTAGACTGTGGCCCCTCCTCTGAGAGGGATGGGGACTGCTGGAGCCCTCTGAGCCTTTGCCCAAAAGGAGCCTCAGCTGTGAGGCAACTCAGTCCAAGCAGGGTGAAAGCAGGAGGCCCAGAGTGGGCAGCCGCCAGGACCAGGAGCCACCCACAGGAGACCTGCACGGAGGCCACCAGGGAAGGCATCCAGAGCCGCGGGGGCCGTGTCTCCTAGACAGCCTCGGCGTCTGTGGAGATGGGTACCCGGGCAGTCCAGTGCTGGTTATTGAGTGCCTTCGCCCTGCCAGGCCCATCTCGGTGCTGCTCAGCAAAGTGGGTGTCTGAGGGACCGTCAGCCAGGGGTTTTTAGGCAGAGAGAATAGCTGCACCCTGCCTGCCACAAAATCCACCACATGTGGGATCTGGGCTTTAGATGTGCGGTCCAACACCCTGGTGGCCCAGGGGCATCTTCTCTCAGCCCTTACTGCACAATCCTCACCCACAAAAGGGCTGGGGGTGCAGGGGCCCAGCCAGGCTTCGGGCAAGCATGCCCCTGTGGAGTTTCCCCAGGGCAGAGGGAGGCCCAGCTAGTGGGAGTGGGGATGGGGCCCTGCCTGTCAGACTCTAAGCATAAGGGCCGAGGGCACAAGGCCCAACTGGTTCGTCCTTGGCAGTGTTTTAGAGGAAGGCTCTCCTGGGGCCACCACAGCTGCTTTTCAGCCTTGTTCCTCCTCCTCTGTGGCTTGCAGGATGGGTGTGGGATAGCAGAGCAGGGGGGTGTGTGTGTATGTGTGTGTGTGTCCTGTCAAACATAATCATAGCCGGACACTAGTGAAAGTAGTCAGACAGGTTTTAATCGGCAACATAACTGACATTTGCAATGGGGAATAGGGTCCAGGCTGAGCTGAGCTCAGGTTCAATTGGCACACAAGTGACTGGGGGTTTCCAAGAGAGAATGAGGGAGCAGGGAGGCAGCGAGTGGGGGCTCAGGAGAGTGGGGGAAGTGAAAAGTTACAGATGGTGGAAGCGGGTGGTCCGTGTGAACACATCTGGACATGCTGACGTGCTCACTGAAGTCAGGAGACAGTGTGTGGCTGTCCTCAGGTGTGGCTGGAACCCACAGTCGATTCTTTTGGCTGCCGTGAGGTTTCTCAGGCAGGCACTTTAAAGGGGACTGGGGTCAGCCTAGGGATGCCACCTTGAGCTGTTAGAAGCTATGTTAGTGGTTGTTCAAGTTGTTATAGGCAGAGGTGAGGCCCAGCCAAGAAGAGGGCTCAGAGGAGCCAGGCTGGAGTGTGGTCGAGGAGAGAACTCTTGGTCAGTGCCACAGCTAAGTGTTGCCAGGAGCACCTGCCACAGCCCAGAGAGCCCCTGGGGTGCACTCAGAGCTCCAGCACCTGCCACGCAGCACACCCCATGCCCCTGGGTCCCTGCAGGCGGAGGCCATGCAGGGAAGACCCCAGGGAAGGCTCCTGTCTCTGATTCCACACTACAGCATATTGGTCTGAAGACAGGGACTCCAAAGAGGCCTCAGAGGCTGCAGGGGGCCCAAGTCTTGTGGAAATGAGATGTGGGGAAAGTTGGGCCTTATTGATGTTGATGTTGTGGCCTCAGCCAGTTCCAATGCTAAGGCACTGGGAAAAAAATCTTATGATTTTTGGAGCACATTTAAAAATAAGGACAGGTTAGGCACGGTGGCTCATGCTCGTAATCCCAGCACTTGGAGAGCCTGAGGCCAGCGGATCACTTGCACTCAGGAGTTCAAGACCAGCCTGGGCAACATAGCAAGACCCCATCTCTACAAAAAAAAATTAGAAATTGGCTGGGCATGGTGGTATGTGCCTTGGTCCCAGCTATTCGGGAGGCTGAGGTGGGAGGCTTACTTGAGCCTGGGAGCTCAAGGCTTCGGTGAGCTAGGATCATACCACGGCACTCCAGCCTGGGTGGAAGAGCAAGACCCTGTCTCAAAAAAATAAGGACAATTTACATAAACAATGTTCCAAGTACCTTTCACACATCACATTGGGCCCCAACCTGTGAGGTGGTGCTGCAGTTGAGGAGCGTGCTTTTCAGAGGAACCTGCAGAGGGAGAGGTGAGGACACGAGCCCAGGGTCTTGACACTGGGATGGGGCAAATGGGGACACAGTTTTTCCTGACCCTCCCCCGCCCCTGCCCCTGGGAGGCCGCAGTCTAGGTGGGTGGGCCAGGGCAGGAGCGTGGATATGAGATGGGGGGCTGTGCTTGGGTGGAGAATCTTCAAGGGAGTGAAACAGTCCAGCTTCTTCGTAGATCAGCGTCTAAAAGGACAGCAGGGGGAAATGCCTTTTAAATTTTTTTTATTAAAAAATGAAAAATTTCCAGAGTTTTGAAAAAATTAAAAATAAAGATAAATAGAAATTGTATAAAGTGGGAAAATAGCAGCAAATAACAATAATTTACACCGAGGGAAGAAGAGAAAGCACGACCCAGCAGATGGAGATTGTCTGTGTGGGGCTCACCCACTGTGCTGTTTCCCCAGGTACCGCGTGGTGGTCTCGTACCCACCCCAGAGTGAGGCGGAGATCGAGCTGAAGGAAGGCGACATCGTCTTTGTGCACAAGAAGCGTGAGGACGGCTGGTACAAGGGGACCCTGCAGCGGAACGGCCGCACAGGCCTCTTCCCGGGCAGCTTCGTCGAGAGCTTCTGAGAACTGGTGCTCCCTGCACCCAGCTCACAGAGGGGGAGGCCGCCTGGGAAGCTCCACGGCACACAGAGAGGGAGCCATGGCGCCCCAAGGGTTCCAGGTCATCTCCAAGGCACCTGGCGGGGGATACCCTGGCCCAGGGTGGGGGCCAGGGACTGTGGAGGTCGTGCCTTCTCCCAAAACCCCCAAACGGAGAGCACACCTGGGATGTTCTTCAAGGAAATGCCCACCCCCTCTGTGGAAACTGCAAAGAAAGCACCTTGAGGAAGAGAGGCAGGTGCCGGCGCAGGCAGGCCTGTGGCTGTGGTTTGCAGCCATGGCAGCGTTCTCATTTACCACCTAAGCAGGGTTGGAGGTTGCAGGAGGTCTGCAGGCGAGGTGGGTGGCATGGGGGCCAGGAGCGCTGGAGATCATCTTTCTGGGCTGCCCTGGGCTTCCCGCGGGGCCCAGGTTGCTCTGTCACCATTCTATATACCTCAGTCACCTGCCGCCCGGCTGCTCAGCAGGGGTGTTTGTGAGGCCCTGGGGGTGCCCCGGAAGGGGCACCCCACCGCCCCTGTTGGGAACCAGAGCAGAATCTGTGGGCTTGTCGCCTGCCAGTAGTATAAGCAACACTTTCTGTTCACCACCATTGTCCCTTGCATTACTTCTTTCTTACAGCATATTTTTAACATAAAGCTGTTAGACTTTATATATTTCTAATAGGTCAGACATTGCCTATTTTTCATACATCTGGTGCTGCCTTTTTGTAAAACTAATAATGACTTGGTTGAGCTTGAAAGAAAAGATGTCTGAGGCGACATCAAAGGGGCAGAATTTTTATATTTCCCATATGGCTTTGGGAGAGCGCCGAGAAGCCGCCATCCCGCACCTCAGCGCTGGCCAGTACTCTGGGGGCTGGCGGGGTGGATCCATTGAGGGGGTCGGAGGGAGCTTGGAAGCAGCCGGTTTCTTTAAACTCTTACCAAAACCCCGCGCTCTGTCTAGACGGTGATGATTATTATTCAAGACCTGGAAACATTTCGAGGAAGGGCCACTATAATTGTCCTTTTGTGTGGCGGTAGAAGGAGCACGCAGGTCAACCCCAGCCGGGAAGGCAAAATCTTCCCTTTATTGCCTCAGAGAGAACTGCAATTAGCATTCTCAGAAGATGATTTCTTGGTATCAAAATGTGCAGTTTCTACAACAGTTTAGATCACCACCACCATTTTTCTTCTTTTTTAAAAATAAATAACTGCTCCCATTTCAGGCAGTGCAAACCTTCATCTGCTGGAGACCAGAGGTACAAGGAGATCAGGGGGTTGCAGCACCGCTGCAGGCTTGCAAGATCGGGGAGTTGGGAGGGCGAGAGAGGAGGAGGTGCAGCTTTGATGCTGGGACCTCCCTGAGTGGGGCTGATGAATGTATATTCATTAGCACCATGGCTCACTTCCCAGGAAGACTGATCAGGAGCCCTTCAGGGACAATTTTGTTCTCAAGATTCACACCTTAGGAACACATTTTTATCACCTCAAAATTTTGATCCATCACCCCTCTCTCCACCTATATTTTTACAAATACCATTCAGACTTAAATTAAGCTGAAGAAACTAGCCTTTGGTAACATAGGGTGTCATTGGTTTTCAGGGATGTAACCAATTCCAGAAATACATTCTTTTGCCTGGCATGAAGACTTTGAAACACGGGCCGCTTATTTTCAGAGTTCCTGTTTTGGGACGTGACTTGGCTACTTGTTACTTCCAGGTGGTCACCACACGGCGGGGGTCATGCCTTTCCCTCCCCCAAGATGATAATAGATTTAATAGACTCAAAGAAGTTGTTCAGAATCAAAGAAGAAAAAGTCTGGCTTAAACATAGTAACTTCTGTGTGCCAGGTTAATGACAACCAAAAGCTCTCTATTTACCATTATTGCCAAACTTCATCAGTTGCCCATCCTGCACCAAAATCCTGTGCGTGTTTAAATTCACGTTGTCACCAAAGAGGTGCACAGATCAACAACCTGGATGACGCAGGTGTTCTCCAGGGAAACCAGACCAAGTCAAGTCTCCAGGTAACTTTTTTGAAGTCTTTTTTTTAAGGCGCGCAGGTACCAAGCAACAGAATAGAGTAACCTGAACGTTCTTACTCTCCCAGGCATGGCCCACGTGGTGCTTCAGGTAGAAATGTGCTTCACCCTCCTGGTGGGGGGCGAGGACACAGCCCACTGCATGCAGCATGGTAGAGAGCTGGGGCGAATATCTCCATGTCTTTGGAGGATGTCAGCTGGCCGCTTTCAGGGCAGAGTCGGGTGGGCGTTGGTGCCACCTTAGGAAGGAGAGCGATGCGTGGGTCTGGCCAGAGCTCTGGAGCCAATGCCGGGCTGCCTGAGAGCAGAGGAAATGCATGGCCCATGTGCATTTCTGAGTATTTTAAACTCGTTCAGGCCCTGCAGCCTTCATGATGATGTAGCTCGCAGAGAAGAGCAGGAGCAGAATTAGCCCTTTCTTCAGGCCATCTTGCCTCAAAGGGTACACATGTTTGGCGGTTAAGATGAAACTAACCCTTATGTTTCATCCTGGCCCCATGATGTACACATCTTAGCCATGTAGTGGCCTTGGGGGGCCACAGAGATTTCCTTTGAGGAGCATGGTAGAGTCCACAGCCATGGCTGAAGTCAGTGGACACCGAGGGGACAGGACTGCAGGCCACCAGGGGCCTCTGCCCAGAGGGAGGCAGAGAGGATGGCGGCCACGGGTGCTCTCCTGGCATCCTCATGGGGTGATGCCAGGCCGGGCACTTCAAAACAGGCTCAGCCGACTGGGAGATCCTTTGTACTTTGCACAGTTCACACACACAAACACACACACCCTATCCCAAGTGTTTTTGTTAGACACAAATGTCAGCGTGTGATTTTGGAAGACTTGTCAGTGATGACAAACCATGATGCCTGTGTTTCTGAGTCTTTAAATAAAAATGAACATGGAGAAGGCTTGTGTCTACGTGTTGGGAGGAGCAGGGTCCAGCAGAGGCCAAGAGGGACCCAGGTAGGAGCAGAACCTGAAGGTTTGGCCCACCTGCCTGCTGACCAGCCCAGCTGGCTTACGCACCTGCCTCTCAGTGCTCTTGTGTGGGGTGCACCGAATCTGTATCAGGATGGCATTAGTCAAGGAGATGGGAGAGTCGTGACATCAAATGTCTGTACCCAGCACATGCCAGAGACCCAGGAGCTGGGCAGTAAGAGCCAAGCCACAGAAGCCAGCGGTGGGCTGGGTGGGGAGGGTCTCCAGTTCCCCTCTAGGGGCTCATGTGCCTGGAAGGGCAGGGTGGCTTGCTGTAGATGACTCGCCTCCTTTTCTTGTCATTATTCAAGTCCTTCGTAACCAGAAGTGCCTGGTATTAACCTCGGAGACCAGCACTCTCCTGGTCTTACCCTTGTCTCTCTGGCCCTTGGGGCGCCTGAGCCATGGCTGCCATTCCCTGGAGCACAGGATGGGGGTGCAGGGAATCCCACCAACAGAAGAGCCCAGGAGCCCACTGATCTCCAGAGAGGTGCATCTGTCTCCAATCAGCCAGCCTGACACCTGGCAGAGGGCTGGGCCGCCAGCCTGATCCATGCCTGGAACCACGTGTTTCTTGAAACAGGCTTTCACTGTTCTCTTGGCTGAGACACATCTACGTATACATTTGAGCTGGAAGAACACTTAGCAAAGAGCCATTTTACTCTACCATAAAAATTAAGTGACCTTGCCAGGCAGTGGTGCATGCCTGTAGTCCTAGCTACTCTGGAGGCTAAGGCAGGAGGATTGCTTGAGCCCAGGAGTTCAAGTCCAGCCTGGGCAACATAGACCCTTGTATGAGCAAATAAAATAATTTTTTTTAAAAAAGTGAACTCGTACAAGATTAACACAGCATGGACAGTCACTGGGGAGGTAGCTGCAGGCCTGGCACTGTGGTAAGGAGGCCTGCTGTGTGCTCACTCTCCCTCCGGACAAGGCTGTGTGGATACCACTCTTGCCTCCATTTGCTACGTGAGCAATCAAGGTTGTAAGAGGTTAAATGAATTGCCCCAGGTCACATAGTTCAGTGGACAGCCATGACTCAAACTCAAGTCTACTTATCCAATGTCAAGTCTACCCTCAGAACTCAAAAGCTGGGTGCCAAACCTGTACTCCCTAATAGAATTGATACCTCAAGCACAAGAGTGTAGGAAGAGGAGAGCCAGAGGAAATGCAGGCAATGCCCATCACAGTCTGTCTGGAGAGGGTGCCTGGCAGGCCGTCCCAGCCAGCTTGCCAAGTGGAGGTATTCTGCCTATAGAAATTACACAGCAACCCATCAGGGCCTGGTGCCGTTTTACATTCAAATCACGTACTTCACTGCCTGTTTTCCAGATCCATGCTCCTAAGCAAACAAGTAATTTGCCTTTACTGATTTAGCAACCACAGAGAGAACAGTGGGAGTCAGGGCATTATCTGAACAGTAGTCTACCACTTGGCCTGTGTAGCCGAGATGTTCCTCATTAGCCGCCAGTGAGCTGGGCCTTCAGTTGAGGCCTCAGTCCCTGTGGGTTTTGTGATGGGAGTTGGTATCCCTGCCTCTAACTGACACTGACAGGTGGTGTACCTGAACTGCGGAGGGGCGTTGAGTCTTCTTTCTCGGGAGAAAGGCTCCATGGCCAGGCCTATGCTGGGAGCTGCAGGGTGAGCCAGGAGGGTGAGCACCACTAGCTCTCAGCAAAGCTGCAAAGACAACACACAGGTGGCCATGGCACAAGACATTTGATCTTAGAGAGGCACCTAAACAACCTTGTGAGGACCCTGGAGAGAGGGAGCCACACTCCTGGAGGCCTCCCCTGGGGCCTTGCAGAGGGTGGGGCAGGACAGGGTGGGGGCTTCTCAGATGGAGGGAAGGGAGACTATTCACAGCCTTTTATCTGCATAGAGTTGTCACATATGTTATGTCACTGGATCCTTACAACAGCCCCCGAAGTGTGGTTCGTATCATCTCCATTTTACAGGTAAAGAAGCTTGATTCCAAGAAGTTCTGTTGTTAGCTCTGAATTAAATCAGAGGCAGAGCCAGGACTTCTGACTTCCAATCTCTGGCTTTTCTTGAATGTAGCAGAAATACTAAAATGATGGTTCTGACAGGGGGCTCTGCTGGTAGCACTTACCACCTAATGAGGTGGGACTGCTATCATATTGTTTCAAAGATGGGGAAACCGAGGCACCACCATCCAATGCTTGGTGTGAGGCCACATGCTAGGTCAAGCTGTGGTTCAGCCCCGTGCTCAGCCACCCCACACAGAGCAGTGGGAGAAGAGGAAAGGGCCCAGGGAGGCCTTGACGGCTGGGCAGGGTCCATGCCAGTCCCGCAGTCTTGGGGGCTGGAGGCTACAAGTGGAGACTGTCCAGGAGTGGTCGGCTCTGAGCTCTACCTAGGGGAGAATGGCCTGGGCAAAACGCTAGCAGGGAGGAGGGTCTAAATGCCTCTGCCAGTGCTGAGACCCTAAATGCCAAGACAGAGCACAGCCCCTGCCCACTGCCACGACGTCTGTGCTGCCCTGAGATGCCAGCTGAGGCTTGAGATGCACCCCCCTTCCCGAGCCGGCCCCACCCCTGGCCGGGCCTCACAGACCAGGGACCGTCTTGGAATCGGTCAGGACCTTCTAGGGCTGAGCAGTCTGTCGGAGTTCTCTTCTCCCTTCTGTTTCATGTCACCCTTCCAGGGGGTTCCCTTCACTTCTCAAAGAAGATCACATTCAGCTGACCACAAGGGAAACATCTGGGGCCTGTGAGCTGTTGGAGCCCTGCTTCTGTTCCGCCTGTGGTCCCAGCATCTGAGGCTGGCTGAGTTCTGCTGACTGTCCTCTCTGTGCTCTCCTCCAGCACCAGAAGCAGTGGTCTCCATCTTCCCACAGTGATAGGAGCCTGTGCTACCCAGCCTGTGGCTCCAGAACTTGACCCCTCCCTCAGTGAAAATCCTGGGCTCGGCCCTAAAGCCACACCAGGGTCAGCTGGTGTTTAACATGGTAAGGGTTAAATCCCAGACACCCAAGAAAATGGCAGCAGCTGTTTGTCCAGGGCCCATCATTTGAACCTGCCCCAAAAACCAACTGGAATAAGTCAAAAGAGGACTTCTTGACTCAACTGAAAAGCTGAGGGCAGACAATCAGACGTGTGCAAATGATGGGGCTGGTGTTCCATGAGGACACTTGGCATTCTGCTGGACCTAGGGATGTGGGATATCTTGCAATGTGTACAATCGTCCCACGTGGGCAAAGCCTGTCCTGTCCCAAATGCCAAGAGTGGTGGGTTCACTAAGAAACGCTGGTGTAGATGAGTTTGCTTCAGGCATAGCTGGGTCCAGGTGCTCACATGACGTTTGTGGGTATTGCTGGGCTCTGCTGCCCTCCACGTGGCTCCTTCCTCAGCAGATTTCCCCATCTTACAGCACAATGAGGACCAGCAGGTTCAGGGTGCCATCTGACACCTTCCCCATCCCTGCAAAAATAGGCCTGCTCCTTCTCCATGGGCCCAGCCAAAACCCTGGCATTGACTCTCACTGGCTCCGTTTGGGCCCGTGCTGCCCTCCCTGACTCAGCCATTTTGGACAGGGGACATGTATATACTGATTGATAGCGCCTGAGGTGTCAGCCCTGCCCAGACTTCATGGATTGAGAGTGGGGGTGAGAAGATACACGTAGAGCTATTGGCAAAAACAAAAGGAGCTCATGACCGGGCAGACAAAAACTGCAGACGCACACTCCCCAGGGCCGCTCCTCCAGGACATTGCCCTGGAACCCCATGGCACTGTGCAAAAGCACGCGTCTTCCGAGGGCCACCATACCATATTTAGGAAAATGAGATATAAAAACTGGATCTAAAAGAAGTCCCAGAGGAAACGTCAACAGACGTGGACATCATTACAAATGTGAAGAAAGAACTCTTTATTTGGAAAAAGTAACGTTCTGTAATGTTCCAAAAAAAAAAAATGGAAGCAGATGAAAGCCTGGAGACAGCCAGGAAGTGTCACATGGGACACCCACTCACCACACCCCTCGATGGCCTGGCTTCACCCACTCACTTATCAGATCAGTGAGCAGTCACAGATGAATGTAAGTGCTCAGACAGGGCACCCCAGATAAGGCATGAAAGGAGAGACACAGCTGCCCACCCCAGCCAGAGTTCACATCTGGAGAGGAAGGCAAGCCGTGTGGGTAGTCATGGACTCGGCAGTCTGTGCCTGAGGAGCAAAGGCGCTACAAGCCCGGGACGGGGGGATGCAGTCCACTCCATGATGGGTCCCAGAGCGCTTCCTCTGGACGTTCTTGGCAAGAATACACAACACCAGCACATGAGTCAAGGAGCTCACAACCAGCTTACCCATTCCTGCCGGGAGAAATGGAAGGAAGTGCCCATCCGTCAGGGTCACACAGGACTTGCCTGGGTCTGGGCATCTTCTCTCCACCCCTTCCCACTCTACTCATTCATTCAACAGCTACTTCTGCTCTGGGCCCAGCACCAGGGTCACGGAGATGAATCCAGGCAAGAGGACCCACCTCATGTATTCAGGCCTTCCTGGAGGTCTGCCTGGTGGGGCCCAGCCGCCTGTCAGATTATGCGGTGTTTGGTGCTATGGAAAGAAGTGTGCAAACCCACGTGCCTGTATCAGTCACTTAGGCTGCCATATCAAAATACCATGCACTGCGTGGCTGAAACAACAGAAATATATTCTCTCAAAGTGCTGGAGGCTGGAAGTCCAAGGTTGAAGTTGCAGCAGGGTTGGTTTCCTCTGAGACCTCTCTCCTCGGCTTGCACACCGCCGTCTCCTCACTCTGTCAAGCAGCTGTGGCGGGTCGTCTTGCCCGGATTCATCTCTGTGCGTCTGTATCCAGTGTTCCTCTTCTTTTTAAAATGAATTTGTGTAAATTTATGGGGTGCAATTTTGTTACATGCCATAGTGGTCAAGTCAGGAGTTTTAGTGTATCCATCACCCGAATAACATACATGACATGTCCCCTTTAAGCAATTTCTCATCCTCCACCCCCTGCACCCTCACCCTTCTCACAAGGACACCAGTCAGGCCAGATTAGGCCCACCAATGGACTCATTTTAATTTAATCTCCAAGCAGAGACACACGCTGAGGCACTGGGGGCTAGGACTTCAACATATGAATTTTCGGGGAACATAATTCAGCCCATGTGCCTGTGCTCATGGAGACCAGGTCATAATGAAGTCAAAAGTTAAATTAATCAAAATAACTAGGCGATAGCTACCGGGCAAATACTATAGGGCAAAGTACTAAGGGATCGCAGGAAACTCTTATCTAGTTGGAGAGGTGAGGGGCATGGAGGGCCACTTAGAGGGTGTCCGGGTCTTATCTGGACCTCCACACTGTAGTCTTGTTTAGAAATTCACAAGGCAGGAAGAGGGGAAAGAATGTTCGGTTGGCGGGAACGGTGTGTGTGCACACCCCAACCCGAGGCTGGGGAGAGCTTGGCAGGATCAAGAAACTGAGGGAGCCCAGAGCAGGTGTGGAGGAGAGGGCTGAGGTGAGAATGGCCAGGGGTAGGTCTCTGAGCCTTCCAGGCCAGAAGCAGGAGGCAGTGTTTCCTGGGCTCTCAAGGGGTGTTTAGATGCAAACTGTGTCGGGAGCTCCCTCTGTTGGTGGCACAGGGAATGGCTCGTATGAATGTGGGAAGCTGGCACAGCAGATGCTGGGCAAAGGGCAAGGCGTCTCTGCCAAGGGGGCGGTGAGGGCATGTGGGGGAGCAGACAGCCCCGAGGGTCCTTTGACAAGTCAGTCCGATGTGGAGGCCGAGGGGAAGCCTTCCACATGTCCTAGAGGGAAACCCCGAGGTAGCTCTTCTCACATTTGTGCAGTGACTACCAGACTGAAGGAACCCCGGTTCCATCCTCACCCTCTGCAGCCCAGAGGGCTGATGGGGTCCAGGGCTTCATTTCTGTTCCTAGCCGGGACCAGGGGCTCTGAGCACCCACAGCCCCTTCCCAACAAAACAGCCACTTGTGTGTGCCATGGGGTGACCCCTCCTCCCTGCCCAGCCTGGGCTGGGGAAGGGCCCCGTCTGACCAGGAGCTGGCCTCCTCCAGCTAAAGCCAGGGTGAGCAGAGTGGGGCCCATGCTGGGTGACTGCAACAAAAGCAAGAGAGGCTTTCCTGCAGGGGAAGCGGCAGAGAGCAAAGGTGGGACGGGTGGCCGGAGCTATGGGGAGTGGGCCCTTCCAGGAGCCCCTGGCCTCCTCGTGGGTGCTGAAGATGGCAAGTGCGTGTTAAGCATGTACTAAGCCCACCCTCTGCGCCCGCCCCATGCTTAGCACTCTACATCCATTGCCTCGTTTTTGTCCTCACATCAGGCTTATGAAGTAGGAATTATGACCATGCAATTTCACAGATGGGGAAACTGAGGCAGAGAGCAGTTAACCAACTCGCCTCAGGAAGGGGCAAAGAGGTGCGGCACCTAGGATTCAAGCACTGGCAGTCTGGCTCCAAAGGCCGCACTCCTAACTCCTCAGCCTGTTCTTGGCCTCGGGAGGCCTGGCTGATGTCAGGGCCATTGACACTTGTCCCTGTCTGACTTGCTGTGACAGTGCTCCCTGAAGCCTGACTCGGGACTGGAGAATGAGGTCCCACAGCCACAACAAGTTCTCAGCTGTCCTCTGTGGCCTCTGATGACAGCACCAGGTGGCCCAGTATACCACATGCCCCCATCTGGTGACAACATACTCTTTGATCAAAAAGAACAAAAAGTTCTCCCGCAATCCAGTGTGCCTCTGGTCAGGCCTACAGGCTGGCAATTGGTGGCCTTAGGGGTGGTGTCCTTGCAGTCAGGCTGGGAGAACCTGCCCACCTGAAGGTGCCTGGACCACATGGCAATCAGCTAAGGCCAACCACTGTTGTGGCAAGGCTCAGATCACCTGCAGAAGGTGGGAGCCTGCAGGGAGGAATAGGGAGGGGCACAAGCCCTGGGGTCAGGGGCAGGTTCTAGCCCTGCTTCTGCCTCCAGCTGGCTTTGTGACCCAACGTGAGACCAGGGCCAGGGCTGGCCATCTACTGTAAGTCTTTTCTATGGAATTGCTCCACAAGTCCTTGTCCACACCCTCCCTGCATTTTCATGGCTGCTGCCCCATGCCCCCAAATAAGGAATGGGGGGTGGACAGAGAGAGAGGTGAGGTCCTGCATCCTGGGAGAGCACACCCAGGAGGCCGAGGTGGGGGTGGCCCATGTGTGCCTCCTGGCACCCAGTGTGGTGCTGCCCACAGCAGGTGCCGATGCACACGTACTGCAGAATTGCCCTAGATGGTGTTGCTGCCCAGAGGACTCTGGGACTCCCAAGTGGGAGTTGAGCTGAGTGCCAGACCCATCTCCAGGGCACACAGGAGTCCCATCATGTGTGATAATAAGCTTTCTCTACAACTCTAGTGGGGGCTGTGATATCTGTCTCAACATCCAAACACTTTTAGGGGGCTTGTCCGCCCTCCTCGGCCTGCTGGAAACTCTCTTCCTGGCTCTGGCCTGGGACCCTGGCCCTCCTCCTGCTGGGCCCTGGCCCCACTGTCCTTTGCTGCATGCATGCCTTGGTGACTGACGTGTGGGCCCCATGTGTCCCGGCCCTCCCTGCCCTGCATCCCTGCTGCTCCCAGGGTGCCCTCAGTGTGTCCTTCCTCCTTCTTCTGATGCCCAGCAAACCACCTGATGTGCTGCAGCTGATTTCACCTCTCACTGTGGCCTCCGCCACCCTCCTGCCCCCTCCTGAGTCAAGCTCCAGGTATGCCCAGGGATGGTCCCAGGCTGCCTGGGGGTCCACTCTGTACCGCGCTGGGCACCCAGGGATTTTAACATCACAAGTCCCCTCGCTACCCTCCCTGGTCTACTGCATCTGCCTCCTGGTCTCCTGGTCTTCACTGTGTGTCTCTCTATCTACACTCCAGGTTTTTCTGGGACATTCTTGACTAGACCCGGCTTGCTGGGCCTCGTGGGAGGCAAGTCAGCCACAGAGGCTGAGCAAGAAAGAGAAGCCGGGCAGGCTGGGCACCCTGGAGAGCCCTCAGGTAGCATCTTTGACTTTCCCCCTCCCAGGTGCTCCTGTCTCTCCCAGAGCCTCCACCCTGGGTGCCCCAAGACCTAAGACCCCTCACATGACTCTGACCCTGACCCCTCCTCACCCCCTCCTGGGCCAGCAAGGGAGCAGCCGCCTGCTATTCACCTCCAGTTCTTCAGGTCCACCATGACTTTGGCCATTGCCATGGCAACCATCTTGCACGTGGGTGGCCTGGCAGCCTCTTTCTGTCCTGGGTGGCTTCTCAGTCACCTAAGGGAGGGAAACCTGCAAGAGCCCACACAATACTTTCCCCTGCACAGAGCTGAAGGTGCAAGGCCCGAAGGAGCCAGCGGACGGATGTGCTGCCCTTCCTGGGGCAGTTCTGAGGCACCCCATGCCATGCCACCCCAGCTCCTTCCCTGGCACAATGCCCCGACCTTCCACTCCCGTGCCCTGGAATTTCTTCCCAAAAGAAAGCACCTGCACAGTAGACCTGTCTCAGCACCCAGGCCCCATGGATTCACACCTGACACACCACACACACCTCATGTGCATGCACACACATCCCACATGCACACACCCCACACATGTACACATGCATGCATATACTCCACATGCACACACCTCACACATGTACACATGCATGCACACACCTCCCGTATGCACACACTTCACACATGTACACATGCATGCACATACTCCACATGCATACACACTATATGCACACCACACACATCACACACGTGCACATATAGACACTCCACATGTACACACACCACATGTACACACACCACATGTACACACACCATACCCACATGCACACATTATATGCACATACACACACACTGCATGCACACACCACACAAGCCACGTGCATGCACAAACACACGTCCACACACTATATGCACATGCGCACACATCACTTGCACATTTGCACACACACCCTTCTCCCAGTTCTAGGACACCTGCGTAGATGAGGCTTTGCAGGAGGAGTGCCACAAGGGAAGGAGGGAGGTGGGTGCCCATGGAGGCTGTAGTCTGTGCTGCCTCACCTCCCCAGAGCCAGCCTGTGGCTACAGAGGATGTGGCCAGGGGTGTAGGGGATTGGGTATCACCAGCAAACCAAGCCCTCACCCACAGCCACATTCTAACTTCAGCATCCAACAAAGCACTTCAGCTACCCCAGGGGGACCACCGTGATGGTGGCCGATGAGCAAATCCTAGAAGAGCAAGCAGCCGGGTGGAGCCCAGGCAGCCTCCTGGGCCTGGGGGCCTTCTGGTCCCCAGTGAGTCTGCGGCTCCATGTCAGAGTTCTCCTCACCACTCAAAGCTAGAACGGAGAAGGGCCTTAATGTGGGCATGTTCCCACGGTCCTTAGAAAGGCAGTAAGCCTGGTTTATGTTGCTCCATCAAGTGCTCTTGCAGCTCTGAGGTTTGGTTGAAACTTAAACTCAGCATCAAGCTAGCCGGGCCAGATTCTGAGCTTATGTAACGCCCTGGAAACTCCCATGTGCTGGACTGGCTGTTTCTGGAATCTTATTATGATTCATAACTTGGTTACGGCTCTGAGCTGGTAAATACGGAGTTTCTGCTGTGGACTCAGAAAACCACGTTATAAAACACAGACCAGGGCTGTTAGGAAAACGCAGCCCCGGGTGTGCGAGTGCCCACAGCTGCAGCCCATCCGCCCACCGCCCCCAGGGCTAGTGAATTATGACTGTGCACAGCTCAGACCTCCATGGATGAAAGGCAGACTCACAGGGCCCTGTACGAGTTCAGTGTGGGGCACTTGGCTGTGTGTTGGAACCAGCCTGTGTGCAGGCCAGGCGGGATGCCGCAGGGAAGCCCTGGTGTGGGACCAGGGCCGTCCCTAGAGTTGGGCTCTTTCCCCTGTGTACAGACCCCCACGCAGGGACCTTGAGCCTGCAGTGCTCTGCCAGAGTGGCCTCAGGTGTGGCTACAGCCTGGACTGGAGTTTTCCTTCCCCTCATTTTTCACTTTCAGTCGCTGTGGGACCGATTGGTCTCTGGACTCTTCTTGCAGCTTTATTCCATGGTTCGAGGTCCACAGCTTGACTCCCTTGGGGGTTTGGGTGCCAGGGGAGAGGGCTGCCCCCCAGGCCCTGGGCACGGCGGTCACTTTCTCACTGCCTCCTCCTTTCCCTGGTCAGGTGGTGCTTCCCACCCTCCCTCCCTCTCATCTTCCCCCATGCCCCTCACACACTTCCCTCTCCTCAAGCCTCTGACTTCCATTAGCCAGAGATGCCTGGGACATGGAGCCAACCACATCTGCCAACTCTCATGCCCAGAGCCCTGCCCTGGGGCCTGAATGCAAGTCCAGGGATGACCTTTGCCCTGGAAATCACTTGTGGCCTCTGTCTGCTGGGCATAGGGTTTACCGCACATGCTGGATGTGGGTCCAGGTCTGCACTCAGCCTGGATGACCAATGGCGGCCAGGGCCAGGAGGGTTCTCCAGGCATTGGGAATAGACTAAATGGAAACTCGGCGGCACCCAGCACCCCATGATGGCGAGCTTGGCACACCCCTTGACGCCAAACAGTGTGCCCCACATGATTCAGTGTAAGTTGAGGAGGGAGGGCCTACAGGCAGTGGCTGAGAGAAGGGGGCCTGCAGGCTGGGGGCAGAGTGGCTATGCCCTCCCTGGAGGGTCCGTGGGGGATGTGGAATGTCCTGCCTATTGCTAACTTGCTTCATCTCATGGCTGGCCAGACTCCAGGACAAAGCCCTGGTGGAGTGGAGGACAAGAGCCATTGGCAGTGCAGGCCCTTCCTTCCCTTCCTAGGCCCCAGATCTCAAACCCACCTCCCCACTGAGGACCTCAGGAGAGCGCCTCATCCCCTCAGCCAGATCTCCAGCACCCCAAACTCGGCCATGGCTACAGAGACGCTTCTTCCCAGGGTAGGAGTAGTAGTCTGTTTTGCGTTGCTACAAAGGAATACCTGAGGCTGGATAATTTATCAAGAAAAAAGGTTTATTTGACTCATGGTTCTGCAGGTTGTACAGGAAGCATGGCACCAGCATTTGCATCTGGTGAGGCCTCGGGAGGCAAAAGTGGAGCAGGAGGGGTAGGGGCCGTGGCGGACTTTTTCAAACGATCAGATCTCATATGAACTAACAGAGCAAGAGCTCACTCATTACCGCCAGGAACGCACCAAGCCATTCCTGAGGGATCCGCCCCACGACCCAAACACCGCCTGCCAGGCCCCATCTCCAGCACTAGGGATTGCATTTCCACCTGGGGTTGGAGGGGACAAACAACCAAACATCCAAACAATATCAGCAGGGATTCTTTGTGCTAACTACCTGCTTAATGCTTAGCACTCAGCTCCAAGGTCTCTAGCTGAGTGGAATGGTTATGATTCAGGGGTCTTCCCTGGGCTAAGGGGCATGGGAGCAGCCTATGAGTCCTGGAGCCCCCAGACACCCTTGAGTGGGCTGCTGAGCCCACCAGGCCTCCTGGCACTCTACAACACATGGGCCCGAGCAGGTGATGTGTGGCCCATGCTGGGCCTGAAGGACCTAAGTCCCACCCCCTGTGCCCAGGGCCTGGGGGGCAGCCCTCTCCCCTGGCGTCACTGATGGTGCTGTCTTAGGCCAGAGTCTCCTCATCTGGAAAATGTGGCCATGACGGGACATGTTCTGAGGCTTAAGGGTTTGTAAATGCCTGGTGCAGGAGAGGTTCCACTGGCACAGAAGCACGGGCCTACAGCTGGGGCTGAGCACTTAGGCCTGTCCTGATATGCGGACACTCAGTCTCCCAGGCTGTGGCCACCGGGTCACAGAGAGCCCGCCCTTCCTCAGGCAGGGCACAGGCAAGGCGGCTGTGAGGGCCGCCACTGGAGGGCGTGCTGGTCCCACTCCAGCCACCCCAACGCAAGGGAGGCTTTCATTACTGAAGAAGTGGGAAGGAGGCGAGCCCGTGTCTGGCCTCTCGCAGGAGCCCCCAGCCCCAAAGCAGGGCTGGCGTGTGAGGCGCAGGTAACTGCAGTGCAAGCGGGATCCCCTCGACCGAACAATTCAAATTAAGGGCAACTTCCTACCTCTTGCCTTCAGATGAAATCTGCTAAACGATGGCTGCATTTTCCAAAACTGATAGATCAGTTACTTTCCCACGATATTTTTAGTGCAAAGAATGGTTAAACACTGCTCCTCATCAGTCTCAGTGGATCTTGATGCCAGAGGTAGGGTGGGCAGCATGGCCCCCAGAATTCCTGGCCTCAGCAAAATGAGCCCCAGCCCAGTCCTCCAGTGTACAGTTCGGGTAAGGGTGATCGCAGCCCTACCCACTAGGAACACATGGCTGAGCTTTGCTCCCCTGCAAACTGCCTTCCAGGAACACTGGCCAGCCCTCACCCCACAGGCCTAGAACCGGCCAGAAACACTGAGTTCTGGGGGACTGGTGTCCCTGTACGAGCCTTAGAAAGGGTCACCCGGAATGTGCAAAGGGTATACACAGAGGTCCCGCCCAGCCTCTGGAAGCTGCTGTCCTCCCCTGTTGCCAGCATCGCCCGCCCCCTCCCACGCCATCGCCCATGACTTCAGTGCCCCTTTGTCTCCACACCAGCCCCCCTCTTTATCCCCGGACTGTGCGGGGCCTGGGACTTGGTCCATGCTCAATAAAGCCTGACAGGTTCATTGGTCATTCATGTGTCAACCTGAGGCTTGCAGGAGTCTCTGCTGGAATCTTCCGGAAGCTGCCGAACCACCGCAGCAAGGAAGGCCGGGTGAGTGAACAGAGTCCAAACACCGCAGGTTCGGACCTGTGAACCCCGCCTGGCTGCTGCTTGCTTCAGCCCTGTGCAGGGAACAGCATTAGAGCAATGGCTGCACTCTGACGTTGGAATCCTGCCCAGGCCCTCCTCTCATGGCCCCTTCACAGCTCAGCAGGGGTGTGAGCTCCACGCCTGCAGACCCCACGGCTGTCTGCCTCTGCCTGAGTTCTTTACTGCTCCGTCCTGGGCTGGGTTCTGGCTGGAGGTTCTGATCCCACAGGGCTGGGTGGGTGTCCCAAGTGCCCACCGTGCAGCACAGGCTGACACCCAGTGCTGTCGAGAGCCTGGAGCACACCCACAAACACGAGGCCTGGTGTTCCACAAGGACAATGCCATCCCCAGGTGACTAGGAAGCCTAGATAACGACGCCCGAGGTCTTTGCAGCTTTGTGTGGCCTGCAGGGTCCCAGAAGGTGCAGCTGCAGAGGGTATGCCCCCGATGGGAGCTCGAGTCCCATTTGAGAACTTCAGAGGAGCAGACGTGGATGAAAACAAGTGGGCTGAGCCCAGGGGCTGAGGCCCTGCAGATACGAGCTGCAACTCGCTTACCTGGTGTGCAGCCATGAAGCCACAAGCTACAAGGTCCGCTTTTCTAATTGGCGGCATTTGAATCCTTGCACACATCTTGCAACAACAACTCACAGGGTAAAATATAAATAAGTGTGGGCAATTGTTTCTTTTCTGGTTTCCTTCTATTCAGCATGAAGTTGTTTCTAAGCCTTCCAAAAGGGCTGTTCCTACACATCTCTTGTTTCTCCTCCTACACAGGCCGGCCCTCCAGGGTGAGGGCATCAGCTGTGTTAACTGAGCACGGTGCTGGGCCCTTTACTCCATCATCTCACTTTACAAGCACCCTATGAGGACTCTCATCATGGTCATTTTACAAATGGGAGAGCAGGGGTTCAGAGAGGTTAGGTAGCTTCCCCCAGGGCTTACAGCCAGCCAGCAACTTAACTCAGTGTCTGCAGACCCCAGAGCCTACGGCCCAGCTCCACAAATACCGCAGCTTCAAGTCTGTAACTCCAACAGGGGGCATCTGCTCTAAGAACCATTGCCTTGTTGCTTCTGCTGGACATTCCCACCATTAGCAGCACTAAATTGTAAGTAAAGCAAATATGTGCATACTGAATCAAAATTTCCAACTGAACTTTGTTGTAATTTTTTTTAATGCATTCTCACAGAATGTGTTTTGGGTTCTGTATGAGTCCATTCTTGCACTGCTGTAAAGAAATACCCAAGACCGGGTAATTTATAAAGAAAGGGGGTTTATTTGGCTCACAGTTCCACAGGCTGTACAGGAAGCAACTGCTCAACTTCTGGGGAGGCCTCAGGAAACTTACAATCGTGGCAGAAGCAGGCATATTTTACATGGCCCCAGCAGGAGGAAGAGAGAGGTGGGGAAGGTGCTACATATCTTTTTTTTTTTTTTTTTTTTTTTGAGGGAGTCTCGCTCTGTCACCCAGTCTGGAGTGCAGTCATGCAATATTGGCTCACTGCATCCTCCGCCTCCTGGGTTCAAGTGATTCTCCTGCCTCAGCCTCCCAAGTATCTGGGATTACAGGTGCCCGCCACCATGCCTGGCTAATTTTTGTATTTTTAGTAGAGACGGGGTTTCACCATGTTGGTCAGGCTGGTCTTGAACTCCTGACCTCAGGTGATCTGCCCACCTCAACCTCCCAAAGTGCTGGGATTACAGGCTTGAGCCACCACACCCTGCCTGGTGCTACACACTTCTAAACAACCAGATCTCTCCTGAGAACTCTAACACGAGAACAGCACTAGGGGGATGGCACTAAACCCTTAGAAACTGCCCCCATGATCCAATCACCTCCCACCAGGCCCCACCTCCAGCATTGGGGATTACATTTCAACACGAGATTTGGGTGAGGACACGATCCAAACCAAATCAAGTTTAATGCATATTTGTTACTGTGTGATTTGCCCAAACTTGTAGTTCTAGGAACATTGACCTGTATGTCATCCTGTTGTTAAAAGAACTGCACCTCAAGAGAGAGGCCTCAAGAACTCAGCCCTGGCTGGGCACCAACTGTGTCCCTACAGTTGCTGGGGAGATCATACTGGTCTCCAGGGTCAGTTGTGACTTGAAAATTCTGTTTACACCCTTTTAAAAGAAGAGCAGACACGCATTAAAAATAGATAAAACCACATATGTCACTCGGCTAGTTAGCATTTCATTGAGAGGCCCAGACCCTGGGTAAAAAGAAAGACACAGGACATCCAGCATGCTTTTGTCAAGGGCATGTGAGGGCGTTGCTTTCTATTGCCTGCTCTTGTTGCTGTTCCATGTATGTAGCATCCCTGAAATTACGAAATGATAGAGATGGAGAACAGGTGAGTGGTTGCCAGGAGCTGGGGTTGGGGTAAGAAAGGGAGTGAAATGATAGCTGTGGCTGCAAAAGGGTGGACTGAAGCATCTGCGTGAGGATGGGTGGTTCTTTGTCCTGACTGAGGAGGTGGTTGCATGCATCTACACGTGAGATGAAATTACATGGAAATAAATACCGGTGTGCACGCACACACATGCTTGTTAGCATGATATCTGAGCAAGGCCAATGGATCGTACAAGGCTAATTTCCTGTGATACGGTACTACGTGTAGTTTTGCTAGATGTTGCCATTGGGGAAAATTTAGTGAAGGATATGTGGGATCTCTGAATTTATGTCTTAAAACTGCATGTGAATCCACAATTATCTCAAATTTTAAGTTTTTAAAAGGGAAGGAGGAGTTAGACCTGAATTCAGAGCAGAAAGATAATAAAGGTGGGTGGGAATAAGAGCTCTGCTTAAGAATTATGATGTTGGCCAGGCGCGGTGGCTCATGCCTGTAATCCCAGCACTTTGGGAGGCTGAGACAGGCAGATCATGAGGTCAGGAGATCAAGACCACCCTGGCCAACATGGTGAAACCTGTCTCTACTAAAAATACAAAAATTAGCCGGGGGTGGTGGCACATGCCTGTAATCCCAGCTACTCAGAAGGTTGAGGCAGAAGAATCGCTGGAACCCAGGAGGCGGAGGTTGCAGTGAGCCGAGATGGTGCCACTGTACTCCAGCCTGTGGACAGAGCAAGACTCCATCTCAAAAAAAAAAAAAAAAAAAAAAAAAAGAAAAAAAAGAATTATGATGTTGAGGCCAGGCACAGCGGCTCACGCCTATAATCCCAGCACTTTGGGAGGCCAAGGCAGGTGGATCACCTGAGGTCAGGAGTTCGAGACCAGCCTGGCCAATACGGTGAAACCCTGTTTCTACTAAAACTACAAAAATTAGCCGGGCGTGGTGGTGGGCGTCTGTAATCCCAGCTACTCAGGGAGGCTGAGGCAGGAGAATCGCTTGAACCTGGAAGGCGGACGTCACAGTGAGCCAAGATCGCGCCACTGCATTCTATCTAGCCTAGGTGACAGAGCAAGACTCCATCTCAAAAAAAAAAAAGGCCGGGCGCGGTGGCTCACGCTTGTAATCCTAGCACTTTGATAGGCCGAGGCGGGCAGATCACGAGGTCAGGAGATCGAGACCACGGTGAAACCCCGTCTCTACTAAAAATACAAAAAATTAGCCGGGCGTGGTGGCGGGCACCTGTAGTCCCAGCTACTCGGAGAGGCTGAGGCAGGAGAATGGCGTGAACCCGGGAGGCGGAGCTTGCAGTGAGCCAAGATTGTGCCACTGCACTCCAGCCTGGGTGACAGAGCGAGACTCCGTCTCAAAAAAAAAAAAAAGAATTATGATGTTGAAAATGCTGAAGAGAAGACAGGTGGAGGAGAATGACCTTCAGATGAAGCCAAGAGGGGCAGGGACAGAAGGGCTGGCAGCAGTGTCCCAGGCTGTAAAGGGCATGGTGGCCAAGTCACCCGAGTGATGATCAGGCTCCCCAGGGTGCTGAGACATGGTCTGGAATCCAGGATTTCCTCACCACTTCAGTAGCACCACCGAGCTGGGGCATGGGCTGCCTTGTAGGGCAGGAAACCCACACCCCTGGAAGTGTCCGAGTGAAGCCAGGACTGCCGTGTGCCAGAGTAGATGATCACACGGAGCTGGCACTCAGTGCATGCTCGCGGTCCCGAGATTTCACTCTTTTCACTGAAGTCTATTCTATTCTACAGTGTTCTATTTATTTCCACCCCTTTATTTGACACTTGATGTTTTTGATGATCAAAAGAAATTGCTGGCTGGACGTGTCACCTGGAAGCCTGCTTTCCAACAGAAAGACGGTGTGTATCCAAGAAAGCAGGGTGGAGTCCCCTGAGCAAAGCCTAGCAGCAGATAATCTCCTTGGGGGTTGTGCTTTTGACACTTTAATTACAGATTTAATCAGCTCATTACCTAAGTACCTCTCATTAGGACCTGTTATAGTCGGTGTTAATTGAAGCTGAGTCTTTGAAGATGTATTTTCTGCAGGGATGGGGAGGGAGGGGTCGCAGCTGCCGCCCTGCCCGCTGATCAGCCGGGCTCCCAGACCCACCCGAGGGTCCAGGACAGCCACGACTTACATGGGACAGCTGTCACTCCACAACGGCAGCGTTTTACTTCGCAATGTTTAAAGTTTTGATAAAACTGTTTTTCAAAATTTAATTTTAAAAAAACCTGCTGAATGAACATATGCAAATTGAGCCTCCTACCAGTTGAGATCAGTCCAAAGTTCCAAACTTTGGACTTTGAGTGGGGTATTTTGTTTCTCCGGTGATCTGTGTCAATCCTAGCTGCACATTAGCATCTGAGAAGAAAATACCAGTGTCCGGCCCCACCCCAAAGGTTCTCTTTTCTTTTTTTTAAAAAAAAACCTTTTTTTTTTTTTTGAGACGAAGTCTCGCTCTTGTCCCCCAGGCTTGAGTGCGATGGCGCAATCTCGGCTCACTGCAACCTCTGCCTCCTGGGTTCAAGGGATTCTCCTGTCTCAGCCCCACCCCCCAAGTATCTGGGATTACAGGCACCTGCCACCATGCCCAGCTAATTTTTGTATTTTTAGTAGAGACGGGGTTTCACCATGTTGGCCAGGCTGGTCTAGAACTCCTGACCTCAGGTGATCCACCTGCCTTGGCCTCCCAAAGTGCTAGGTGCTGGGATAATAGGCATGAGACACCGTGCCCAGCCTTTTTTTTTCCAGGCTGGTCTCAAACTCCTGAGCTCAAGCAATCCTCCCGCCTCGGCCTCCCAAAGTGTTCAGTCCCACCCCAAACGTTCAGTGCATCAGGCCCAGGATCAGGCCCTGGCATCAGCATCTCCCACAAGCTTCCCAGTGACACTAATATGCTCCTGGGATTAGGAACCATCGCTATCTTCATTTCAAGAAAATGCAACACGCAATCAGCAGCACCTGCCCAGGGTGGAAGCACGTGGCAGCCAGACTTAACTAGTGAGGATGACCAGGAGAGAGAAGAGTGCTTCAAAATACTCGTGTGTTTAGACACAGCTGTGCAGATTCAAGTTCCACTTAGGAATTGTAGATGGCCCCATTTAGAGTAAGTGCTAAAAGGCACAAATCTGTGAGTCCGTGTCAGGCACTGTCACTCCATTTCCTGCTGTAACTGGTCTACCCCTCGGAGTCTTTGCTTGCTCCACTGACAGGCAGCCCTCTGTGGTCCTGGAGAGGTTGCCTGGGGGTAGTCAGAGTAGATGCGGCTGATGGCAGGCTCCTTCCACAGGGCCCCAAGACTCACAGTGCCCTTGAATCTCTGTAGGTTGCTCCTCCTCCAGGACCGCTATGTCACAGTTTTTGCATATCATGTGGCGGAGAGGCTGCAGAAGCTGCCAGTGGCTGAGGCCCACACCTAGGGGAAGTGACCCACTCATGGGTTGCTGGAAGGCCTTGGAGAGCTGTCCAGGCTGGAAGACCCCAGTGGCCAAGCTGTGCCATCCTCACTTGGTGAGGATGCTCAGGGTCTACATGGAAAAGCCGGGTCACCCAGGTGACTAGGTGATGCTGCACCTGCTTTCCCTGGTCCCACAGGGACTCAGGCTGTGCACAGGTGGTCACCCAAGATGTGCCGTGATACACACGCTGTTCCATTGATTGATCTTATGTGTAGAATGGGTAGGTGCCCCTGCTCCAGCCACACACCTTTCAACCATAACTCATTAGCCCTTTAGAAGGACCTGAGAGGTGGAGACCTGGGAATTCCCACTGGACACATGAGCCGCTGAGAAGCAGCTGCTGGCACCTCGCCCAGCTCTCACACCCAAGCCCTATCTGCCCACCCCCAGCCCCAGCTCACCCCTGCACCCCATCTCCCTGAACTGCCTGGGTACAGTCTCAGCAAAGCTGGGGAGCATCCCTGACACCCATTGAGGCTAATACCTCAGAGACTGGGACATGGGCCACCAAGCAGCCTGCGACGGTCTCCCTCTCAGATTTTCCTGTTTGCATCTCAGGGCCATGCTTGTCTGCTCTGACTGCCGTGGTTCCTACCGAGCCAGTGTCTGTAAGGAGCTGTGGTGCACAGCCCTGCCCCATGTAGCTGTCTGCATCACAGCCGCCCACCTGCATCCTTCAGAGTCCTGGGCCACCTCCTGCCTTCCCCGAGGGACAGGAGCAGGGGCTGTTCCATGCACACCTGCCTGGTCTCACCTCCCCAGCCTCACTGGGACTCCGTGGGCCTCCGTTCTGCACATCATGCATAAGGTCAGGGCCTAGTGGCGCAAGAGCAGGACACTCCCTCCATTGCACAAATAAAAACTCAGGCTCAGGGAAGCCACACAGCTTGTCCAAAGGCTCTAGCTGGTAGGGAGGACCTGGGGCTCAGAGGGCAGTTCTCTGACCTCCATCCACTGTAAGGACGGCTCAGTGGTCACACGCTGCCCACTGTCACCTTCTCATGACATGGGGATTTGAATGAGATCATGTGTGTGAAAGCCGGAGTGAAGCAGCCATAACACGCTCTGTGAATATCAGCTCCTGCTAGGGATCTTAGGGTGACAGAGTGGGACCCTGTCTCAAAAAAAAAAAAAAAAAAAAAACAAAACAACACTGGGCGCGATGGCTCACGCCTGTAATCCCAGCGCTTTGGGAGGCCGAGGTAGGCAGATTACTTGAGGCTAGGAGTTCGAGACCAGCCTGGCCAACATGGTGAAACCCTGTCTCTACTAAAAATACAGAAATTAGCCAGGCGTGGTGGAGCATGCCTGTAATTCCAGCTGAGGCAGGAGAATCTCTTGAACCTGGGAGGCAGAGGTTGCAGTGAGCTGAGATCGCGCCACTGCACTCCATCCTGGGTGACAGAGAAAGACTCCATCTCAAAAAATATATAAATAAATAAATAAAAATTAAAATTAAAAAATCTAAAAAGGCCTTCCATTTTTAAATTTTTAAGGGTTTCTAAATGAGAAAGTCCTAATTATAGAATATATAGAAAAGAAGGGAAAAGAATCAAGAAGGAAACAAATGGCACATGGAATTCCCAAGCCCTGGGTTCCTCCTCGGCGCAGATCTTCAGTTATGTTCCTTTCAGCAGGGTCAGGATTCATCCGTCCTCTGCATCTTCACTCAGTGCTTCTGCAGCTGCCTGCTGTCCCCACATCACAGACTAGTTCAACACTTTCCCATGGTGGGCATTTAGGCTCCTTACCGTTGTTTTTTTTTTTTTTTTTGTGGTTATGGATGAGGCTTCAGCAAATATCCCTTGACATCATTTTTGTTTTTGTTTTTGTTTTTTGTTTGGTTTTTGAGACAGAGTCTCACTCTGTCACCCAGGCTGGAGTGCAGTGACGCGGTCTTGGCTCACTGCAACCTCTGCCTCCCGGGTTCGAGAGATTCTTCTGCCTCAGCCTCCTGAGTAGCTGGGACTACAGGCATGTGCCACCACGCCCAGCTAATTTTTTTTGAATTTTTACAAGAAATAGAGACAGGTTTTCACCATCTTGGCCAGGCTGGTCTCGAACTCCTGACCTCAAATGATCTGCCCACCTTGGCCTCCCAAAGTGCTGGGATTACAGGCATGAGCCACCATGCCTGAGGGCTGAAAGTGCTAGTTACCTGCACCCTCACCAGCCGGAGCCCCACAGGCCTACACTCCCCGAGCTGACGCCAACCACAAAGTGGTGGGCTGGTGACGTGAACCCCAGGGCACTGCAGCCATGAGGAGGTCCAGCACCCGGCATTCAGGGCAGGATGGAAACATTCCTGGACAACAACTTGGTCACCATCAGGGTAGCTCAGGACAACCTGCTCGGTGCCCATTTGTTGTAAGATGCCAGAGAGGAGGCTCTCAGTGGCCCTCTGGCCACTGTCCTTACTAGCAAAAGCAGCCTCCTCCCTAAATCATTGATGCGTTTCCTACTTGCACTTCCTACCTGCTGGAGGCCTGTCCTGGATGTGGCTCCGAGTTTCCTCCTCTGTTCAGGTTTTGGGATCTCTCTGGTCCTACCATTGTCATTGGAAGCAGATGGAGGGTAATTTTCTTTGTGCTGCTATTGCTAATTTTCCCAGCTCAGAAGCCTCAGCATTAACAGTCTCTGCAGCCCACTGTGGCCCAGTGAGTGGGGAGGTGGTGTCACCCAGGTTCTGGAGCTGCTCGCAATCCCGAGCACCAGAGCCACCACAACCAGTCACCATCAGGGCCCCTGACACACGCCCACAGGTGACCAGGAATCAGGGCACAGTAAGCACCAGACTAAGTTCCTTATGTCTTTTCACAGATGCTATTTCCCTCTTTTGTCTCTCAGGAAAGCTCATCTGCCACCCTCTGAGACCTCAAATTCGAGGCACAGGCTTCCTTTCTTGGGTTTAAGCCCAGGGCTGCCTGCTGTTGCCTGTGGCCCTGGGCAAGGCACCAGCCTCTCTGAGCCACTCTCACCTCCTTTTTATTTTTTATTTTTTTGAGATGGAGTCTCATTCTGTCGCCCAAGCTGGAGTGCAGTGGTCTGATCTCAGCTCGCTGCAACCTCCACCTCTGGGGTTCAAGCAATTCTCGTGCCTCAGCCTTCCAAGTAGTTAGCTGGGACTACAGGCATGTGCCACCATGCCTTATTTATTTTTGTATTTTTAGTAGAGGCAGGGTTTTGCCATGTTAGCCAGGCTGGTGTCGAACTCCTGACCTCAAGTGATCCACCTGCCTTGGTCTCCCAAAGTGCTCGGATTACAGGTGTGAGCCACCACGCCCGGCTCACCTCCTCTTTGAATGACACCAGAAAGCAGACTTTCTGGAGGCCCAAGGGTGGGAGGAAGTGCACGGATGTGTCTGCCATGCACTCTGGCACAGGGGGCTCACCGATGACAGCTGCAATTGATATTCTCCCCGGCTCTTGGGTCCCCAGATGCACCCTCTCTCCACCCTTGCCTGGGACCACCTCAGCCTGGTGAATTCCTATTCAACCCTCTGGTGGGCTGCTTCCTCTCTAGGAGACCCTCTCTGATGGCCTACAAATGTGTTCTCAGAGATGTGTCTGCCTCAGCCAGCACATGTTCGACTCTAGCACGAGGCTCGAGCCTGCCTGCGTGGGGGCTGGGTATGCACAAGGACTTGGTGTAGTGTCTAATGAGGATAGTGCTTGCCATAAAGCTCACACTTGACAAATTGTGCTTGACCAATTAAATGTCTTAATTTAGCTTATAGAAATAATGGATTTTTACAATAGCTACCAGATGACCCTACACACACACACGTGCACAAATACACATACCTACAAATGTTTACATGTGCAACACCTCACACAAACCCACACGAAGCAGATGTGTGTGCCTGAACCCAGCTCAGCCAAAGTGCATCCATCAGCTGCCGCACGCCTTCACTGTGCTGGTCCTGGAGACTAAGCAGAGAGGCCTGGGCCCCAGGCAGCCCATCTCTGGAAAACCAGTTGCTTGCCTAGGAAGCTGACACAGGCAGAACATGGTATGTTAGGACAAGGATGGTGTTTGTGTCCTTCCCCTGCAGCGGGAAAGGAGTTTGAGTAACATAAGAAACAGACGTGCTGGAGGCATTTCCCCACACCTGAGATGTGTCTCACAGATCCTAAACTCCAGAGACTGGGGAGCCACCATGGACTGGAAGACCCCCAAGAGGAATAACGCAGGCCCTGTGGGACCCTGGGCATGAGAACGGATGTCACTGGACCCACAGCCACATTAGGATGAATCCCATAGGTGAGTTCATAGTATCGAATCATGTGAATTTTCTAGGGTAGATTGTTTTAGTCACGTCAGGTGTTAATGTCGGGGGAGTGGCAGGGAAGGCATATGAGATTTCTGTATGAATTTTGCAACTGTTTTGTAGGTCTAAAATTATTTCAAAATAAAAGATTTTTTTAAAAAATAAATAGATGTGGCTGACAGGTCGCCAATCTTAGCAAGTTTGCTTTGCAACTGATTCCCTATGAAGATCCTCAAGTTGTCGTCAGAGTCACCAGGGAAAGAAGCCACTGTCAGAAGGAAACAGAGTGGAAATAACGACTGAGGAGCCAGGGAGGGCAGAGCAGGAGAAGCCAGGCAAGGGCTGGAGGGCGAGGAGGATGTGCAGAGTGGAGACCCCTGCAGCCAGGCGGGAGGACGGGTGGATAGTCTGTGGGCTGTGCCCATGAGCAGCTTCCAGAGTGACTGAGCATGGGCTCTTCCAGGAATGCACCTGAGGCATCCCAGCAGCTGAAGGGAGGTCATCAGGGTCAGCTGGAGGCCCAGATGAGTCACAGTGACCTGGGAGCAGGACTGGGCCCAGCAGGGCTTCAGCCAGCACAGATTTGATGCCCCACGTCACCAGGTAAAGTTTCAGCTAAGTGGCATGCAGGAGGGATACCCTGTGCCCCGCTGTGCCCTGCCCTGAGTACACGCTCCATCCTGACCACCCCACAGGCCCCAGCCCAGCACAAGGCCCAGCAGAGCAAGGGGGTATGCTCTTCCAATTGCCCGCAATAAACATGAGTGCCAAGTCTAAAGGTTTGCCATTTTAAAGCTATGCCAACATGGCCCATGGGAAAGTGTCGTCAGAGCCCAATCCTTCCATGCCCTGCCCTCCTGGGAAGGATCAAGCCAAACGGGTGCAAGACCAGGATGCCCGCCACAGCCAGTCCCAGGACCCCGCTGGAAGGGATGGGAGGGGTCTGCGGCTTAGAACAGTAACTCTGGCAACTCTGAGGAGGTGGGAGAAGGGAAGGAATCAGGCCCAGGAGACTGTGGTGCTGCAGCTGTGGGCAGAGCCCAGAGAACAGGAGGAAAAGCAGCAGGGCCGTGGGGCAGGAGGGGTCGGAGCAGAGGCGTCCTGCAGATGGAACCACGGTCCCCAAAGCGTCCTACTCCCTCCCCAGACCCTGCAGTCACATCACACGACAAAGGGGGTTAAGGTTGCCAATCAGCCCATCTTGAGATGGAGACACCATCCTGGATTATTGGGGGTGGGTGATGTGGTCACAGGGTCCTTGGAAGTGACCATGGGTGCAGAAGGGTCGGTGTAGGCCGGCACGAACTGAGGAGGACTCCACCAAGGAGGGGCTGAGCTGATGACCGCTGCAGCCTGTCCATGCCTTGACCTTAGCGCTCAGACCCATTCTGGGCCTCCGACTTCCTCCACTATAGGATAAGCTTGTGCCACGGGTGCTGAGTTGGCGGAGATTTGTCACAGCAGCCGCAGGAAACAAGCCCAGAGGCCATGGCTGCGGCTCCATCCAGGCACCCGGTGGCTGCAGGCTGCTGGGCCCTGCAGGTGAGTCCTGCCACTCCCTTGATGGTGGCGGGTCCTGGATGGGCTCAGGGACTAGAGGTGCCTGCAGGGCCTGGCACATGGGGTGCCCAGTCTGGTCTTGGGCCTCTGAAGGGATGGGGTGGGTTTGTTTGAACATAGACAGGGTGGGGCAGCCAGGCCAATGTGGACAGCCAGCCAGGAGTGCAGAGGAGGAGGAAGGGCTACAGTGTAGAGTGACCAGCGGTGTCCTGAAAGGGCGATGGAAGCTGCGGGAACAGATGGGACCTCGAGGGAGAGCCGGGGAGGCCGGAGGGTGGGGGCAGGGGAGAAGCTCGGAGCCCAGCCCCTGCACGGGGAAGGAGATAGCACGGCCTGGACCACAAAGGGAGGTGTTTCAGGACAGCAGAGCAATAGGGTGCTGAGGAGGTCCTGAGGAGCCAAGGACACGTGGTAACAGCTGCAGAAAACAGTAGTGTTTGGGTTTCATTTGCTTTGCTTTGCTTAGGACAAAAGAAAGCTGTGCATGTCTACAGGTCACCAGGAAGGGGGAACTGTGGAAGGCGTTGAGGGGCGGCTGGGCAGGAAGGGAATCTCAGAAGGAAGGACAGACCCTGAAGGTCATAAGAGGTCACCTCACCTGTCACAACCCTGGGGCTCAACCTGAGGGGGTGGGGGCTGTGGAGCCCCTTCCCAGGGCCCTGCCTCCAGCCCTCACTTCCCCACTGGGCTGAGCCTTCTTGCCCCTTGAGGCATGGAAACTTGTCTGAAATCATCCCACATTCTCCCCACACTGCTGTTTCTAGAATGAGTCTCATGTGCTAGGTCCCTTGGGCCATCAGCCTTTTAGCAACCATAACGACTGTTTTCTTTTAAAAAAAGAAAAACAGCTCTTGCCTGACTTTTAAGACAGATGTTTCTGCTCTGGGTCTGATGAGTCTAATGAACAGACAGTTCTTAAAAAAGAAATATGAATGGCCCTCTCCCGCATAGAAGATGTTCAGCCTCACTCATCAGCAGATGCAATTCACACAACACCAGACACTGCGTTTGCCCTCAGAGTGGCCAGAACTCATGGGTGTGGCAATGTGGTGGGAACACAAAAAGCATGGCCCAGGGAGGCGAGCTGAGCCAGAGATCACCTGTGCACAAAGGAGCGGCATGTGGTCAGGCAGTCACGGCGACGTTTGCTGTGACATCAAGCAACTGACAGCCACGTGTCCACTGATCAGGGCCACGTGAGCAGGCTGTGGCGCCTCCACTCTACGGAGTCCAAGCAGCTGCAAACAAATACAGAAGTGAGGACGGATTTGCAAAGTTCACTGTGCAGATTACTAAATGAAGAAAGCAAGGCTCAGAACAATAAAATAGTGTACTCTCTTTTGTAAGAAAGTAGTGCAATAAGAAAACGTGTCTATACATATCTATCTTGGTGTTGGCTTTGTGTAAGAAATACCGGAATGATATGCAAGGTTCTAATAAAAATGGCTAAGGGATAGGAAGAAACCAGCTGAGAGAGCCGAGGGGGCATGTGCTGTCTCTGGGTGTACCTTTCTGTGTGCTGTTCAGTTTCTAACCATCTAATATCTTACACACTGAAAATTGAATTATTTTGGAAGTCAAAGCTGACCACTGACTGCTTGCTCTTTCTCTCTCTCTCCCTGGTATTTACCAAGGATCACTAAACTGAGTTATTTGTCTTGCCCCACCCCAGACATTCAAGAGGAAGGGCCGGGCCAGGGCAGTTCCTGGGCAGTTCCTGGAGTGGCCACTGCACATCTACGGAGAGGGAGAAAAGGAAGGGAGAGCCGACCCTCAAGACAAGGAGCTTCTCGGGAAATGAAATAGAGACTCTGGAAGAGGGAAAGAGGGAAAGAGCATCAGAGCTTCCCGAGGAGGCTGGGCTTGATGTCCTTCCCTCACCTCTCTAGCCCACACCCAGGCCTTGTGGGACCCCATCTCCCATCTAGCAGGGAGGTGTGGACCGAGCAGGAGAGCAGAGCACAGAGCCAGGCTAGCCCTTCACCCAGGATCTTTGAGAATTTGGCACAAGGGCCCCTCTATTTGGTCTCAGAGCCTGTCCCTGAATATCAGAGCATCTCTCTTTTTTGATGTTCAAAGGCACAATTCTGACACTTGGTTTCTGATGTGAAAACATCCCACTCTACAGACCGGCTCTGCATTTGATGTCAGACCTTGCAGGGCTCAGGACGTGGTATGTGCAACTGCAGAGGTGCCAGCTGTAAAGTCTCACCCTTGGCCACTTCTCTCTTCTCTGATGACAGCCATCTGGCACTGCGCACTTACAAAGGGAAGGACAGGGCTGACCCACAAGACTTCTGAGTTGCTGAAATCATGGCGAATCCAATCCTCCACCCTGAACTCAGCCCTTTCATCTGTCTCTTGGATATGCATCGTGGCCCTAATCAATGTAAATCAGTCTGGGCATGACTTTCTGGCTGCTCATTGGAATCATGATTGATTATATTTTTTCAATAACTCATCAAAGGACCTTAGGTTTTAATCAAAGACTTCAGAATCTTCTGTGGGGCCAAGTTAAATTATTGCCAGCCTGGAGGGAAGTCTCCAGTGGCATACCACAGGGCTCTGTCACGTCAAATACTTCTAGAATTTAGATAAAGACATCAGTGCATAAATATTGCATCTACTGATTACCCAAAGCTGAGCAGAACAGGTAGATACAACAGATGGCGGAATCGAGGTCATCATGGTCACCTCAAGGGGAGGGATTAATGCCCCAACATCAGTGAGCTCTGGCTCAACCCACATAACTGTAAAACCTCATGTATAGAAATTGATTGCACTTGGCCAAAGATCTTTTTCAGGGTGACAGATTCTTCCAGAAGGATGGTGTAGCTGTGACAAAAGTGAATACACAGTTGCCTACATGGGTGGACACACGGGACCCCACGGCACCAGGCCAGAGACAGTCCAGATGAGGTGGCTGGCACATCCTGGGGGCATGTGGGAGCCACCAAAGGACACAGAGCTGTGAATCCTGGAGAAGGCTTGGGAGGATGTAGCATGATCTTGGGACTCAGGGGCTAGAATTGCTTCTGGGCCCTCCCAGGAGGTGTGGGCAGAAGCATCCCCTGCAAGGGAGGAAGATCTCTCTTCAATTACAGACTCGGTCACTACCAGACTTGGGAATTATCCATCAGTAAAAACATTCACGTTCCATCAACCAAGTAAATTGCAAAAGAGCTGTTTTAGCTTTTATACTTCCAAAGCCCTAGAACTTTTTGTTCAAATTAAATCTTATCTAGAAGCCGGCTAAGGTTTATAAACCAGATAAGAGTGGAGTTATTCTTCTTGAAATGGCAGTGGGGGCCTAGAAGCCCTGTGCGTGGGTGCCCCCACCTGTGACTTCCCTAAAATCTCACGGGGAGCACAGCCTGAAAGCCACTGTGACAGAAGGGCCCTGACCCCGGTGAGGGCTTGCTCCTTATTTCTCTCAGGTGAACTCAATGTGTCTATAATCTAAAGCTGCCATGTATGATGGGGACACATCAGATGATGCCCAAAGGCCTCGGGAGAGAGAGCCGACCTGGCAGGGAGACCAGGATAGCACAAAGGAGCTCTTACCAAGACCTGGGAAGAGCCCACGATGCTCTAATAACCTCCTGACAGATCTTGTAAGGAAGTTTAGACTTAAATGCATGATGCAGAATTGCTGTCATTCTGCCCCGTGACGCCTCCTCTACCCTTTGGGCAGTGGACACCTCACACAGGAGCTCTCACCATCTTCGGCCCCAGCTGCCTAAAATCTCCTGCTTCCTTCTGTTTAGTTTCTGTTAATTCATTCAATAAACACTCACTGGCCAGGTGCATGCTTGGCCCTGGGATACAGCAGTGAACAAGGCAGATAAGGTCCTGCCCTCTTGGGGCTCACACTCTAGAGACCACCCTCACAGACACAAATAGACACGTCAGGTGATGACCAAAGGCCTCAGGACAGAGAGCTGACCTGAGAGGGAGGACAGGATAGCACAAAGGAGCTCTAAAACAGAAAGGGAGGAAGGGAGGAAAGAGGGAGGGAGGGTAAGCAAGCATTTGAAAAATCCATATACCAATGTATACCCACACAAGAGCTACTGCCAACACAGCCCGTGGAGGGCACTTGCCCTGCTGCTGGATGGAGGAACAGGCTGCGCTCACTGCTGACCTGGGGATCCCATGAGGAACAGCAGGACGTCTGTTTATCTTTTTTGTTAGTGTGCTCTCTGTGTATCTTTAAAAGAAGTACTAGACACGCTTTGTTTCTGTTAGAAAACACGATTAAGTTTCATTTGTCTCTGCTAGTCAAGAACACAAGAACATCTATCTTCTGGCAGAAATGTTGGTGTGGAATGCCCCAGGCCATATTGACAGAACCACGGGCCTGAGGAGGAGGCTGCGGATGGGTAAAGGTTCAATATCATGGGTGTTATTCCCATAATATTCTAACAATATTATCCACTCAATGTCATGTCAACTTTTAACAGAATAAACTTAAAAGCTTTAAAAGAAAAAATTAGCTGTTAGCGAATACAAACAGCTAAGGATGAGAGTGACAGCACTGTGAACCCACTTAACCCATGTCAAGCGTAATTTCTAACAGAAAAGCAGCCTTTACTATGATTGAGTTAGATAATTGAAAAGGTCCTGGGGGGTACTTTCAAGATTTCTCCAGCTCCTGATATTCCTGAACTCCCACAGTTCAAATTTATTTGTCTTGAAGATTTTTCACTCTTTAAGCCTGTCTTTGTAAAGCTACTTGTCTCCCGCCATGTGGAGTGGCCCCTAGCACTGAAACTCACACTGCCTGGAGGGGAAACTGGGAATGGGCAGTCAGTGAGGCCAGACCGGGAGGAGCCCAGGGCAGCGCTGCACAGTGCCAGAAGCGGGTGAGCGGCCTCATACCCTCTCCTTCTGTCGCCCAGCCTCAGGGACAGTACTAGCTGCTTCCAGATGTCCAAAAGGCATTCCCCTCAGCTCACTTCTGCCTGGAGACCTCATTTCTGTGGACGAGCCTCTGCCAGTGTGTAAGACTGTCAGAGCCAAGCTATGATGATAAACACCTACACTGTTTCCTCAGAAAGACCTAGAAATGCCTGGTTTTCTCAGCCTGGTATGGAGACAGGTGAGGTGCAATTCTCATCTAGCTCTGCCACTGCCGTCTCAAGTCCTTAGGGCGCTCGGCCTCAGTTCCCTAACCCATCCACCTGCATCCTAGTAGTTCTAGGATCCACCTGTTCTAGTAGGATCACAGGCATTAGAGCAATCTGAAAATTACAAAACTCTTTATAAGCAACTAAGAGCTGGGAGGACAACAGAATAAGCAATATTTATATTTCAGCCAATGCTATTGAAATGTTTAGGAACGGCTGGACACCGTGGCTCACACCTGTAATCCCAGCACTTTGGGAGGCCGAGGTGAGTGGATCACTTGAGGTTAGGAGTTCGAGACCAGCCTGGCCAACACAGAGAAACCCCGTCTCTACTAAAAACACAAAAATTAGCTGGGCGTGATGGCACTGGCCTTTAATCCCAGCTATTCAGGAGGCTGAGGTGGGAGAATCGCTTGAACCTGGGAGGCGGAGGTTGCAGTGAGCTGAGATTGTGCCACTGTACTCCACAGAGTGAAACTCAGTCTCAAAAAAAAAAAAAAAGTTTGGGAGTGAAAGTTGTTTTGTTTTGTTTTGTTTTGTTTTAAGTATTGCTATCACATCACTGAATGGTTTGTTTCTTACCTGACTAGAGCTGGGTAATTTGGGAGAGTGGTGGTGGACATAACCCTGAGAAGGCCCCCTCCCCTCCAGCACTGCTTGTGAGTGCAGGACATCTGCAGGACTCTGGACTCACTCAGCAAGCCCATTTGGCTCTCAACTCACTCAGCCTCTATCAGTGATCGAGTTGACACTTCACCTCCAGGTGCACTGTTTAATTTCTTTCAGAACCCAGATGAGGAAGATGGAGGCTATTAGGCCCCTGGAAAATTCTACCACTTAGGGCACTGGTCAGAAGCGTGGAGAGAGAATGCAAACAATGGACGATGCAGACCAAAAGGAACTACCTAGTGTGTGGACCTCAGTATGCTGGCATTTTCTTCTCCCTTTATCCCTCCTTTATTTCTAAACATTTTGTTGAAGTATAACGTGGCAGAAAAGTGCACATGTACATGGCCAGCTTGATGAATCTTCACAGAACCGTCACCAACACCAAGACCTAAAAATGCACCAGCCCCCAGAGCCCTCCCAACTCCCTCCCAGTCACTATGCCTCCCATGGAATGCACATTCCTCAGACTTCCGGCTTCACACATTTGACACGGGTAGGGCTGTAGCTTGGTGTCCTGTGACTGTACTAGGCCAAGTGGGCTGTTTTGAGTTGTGTAGTTGGCTTCCAACTTCTGGACTTGGGCTAGAAAACTTAGGGTTCAGGGCACAAGCTGCTTTAACTTTGTGGGTGATGCTACCTGTAGGGGCTGTCTCCACAGGTGTGTTTCTGCACAGCCAGGAATGTAAGAAAAGTCTGGCCCTTATGTGATGCTGCTTGGGCCTCAGCAAAGGCACAAGGGCATTTGCATGAGCCCAAGAGAGAGTGGACCTTGAAAGTGGACCTTGACCTTGAACCACAATTAGCATAGGTATGTGGCAGCAGGAGCCTGAGTACACACAAGTAAATGTCAGTGCAGCTGTCAAGGCAGAAGACAGTGGGTGCAACGGAGCCAAGAGCCAAGGACGCAATTTAGGGAGAAGAGAGTCTTTGCACTGGGAATAGAACAGAATTTGGGGCTTTTAAACCTGGCAGCTTCCATGTGGTGTTGAACTTGCAAGTGCACAGAAGTCAAGAATTGAGGTTTGGGAACCTCTGCCTAGATTTCAGATGTATGGAAATACTTGGATGTCCAGGCAGAAGTTGCTGCAGTGGGTGGGGGTGGGGGGGGGGTCTCTCATGGAGAACCTCTGCTAGGGCAGTGTGGAAGAGAAATGTGGGGTCAGAGCCAAACAGAGTCCCTACTGGGGCACTGCCTAGTGGAGCTGTGAGAAAAGGACCACCATCCTCCAGACCCCAGAATGGTAGATCCACTAACAGCTTGCACCATGTGCCTGGAAAAGCTGCAGACACTCAATGCCAGCCCATGAAAGCAGCCACGAGGGAGGATATACCTTGCAAAGCCACAAGGGCAGAGCTGCCCAAGACCATGGGAACCCACCTCTTGCATCACATGACCTGGAGGTGAGACATGAAGTCAAAGGAGATCGTTTTGGAGCTTTAAGATTTGACTGCCCTACTGGATTTCAGACTTGCATGGAGGCCTGTAGCCCCTTTCTTTTGGCCAATTTTCTCGCATTTGGAATGGCTGTATTTACCCAATACCTGTACCCCCGCTATATCTAGGAAGTAAGTAACCTGCTTTTGATTTTACAGGCTCATAGGTGGAAGGGACTTGCCTTGTCTCAGATGAGACTTCAGACTGTGGACTTTTGAGTTAATGCTGAAATGAGTTAAGACTTTGGGGCTGTTGGGAAGGCATGATTGGTTTTGAAATGTGAGGATGTGAGATTTGGGAGGGGCCAGGGATGGAATGATATGGTTTGGCTGTGTCCCCACTGGAAGCTCATCTTGAATTCCTACGTATTGTGGGAGGAAACAGTGGGAGGTAATTGAATCATGGGGACGTCTTTCCTGTGCTGTTCTCATGATAGTAAATAAGTGTCACGAGATCTGATGGCTTTAAAAAGAGGAGTTCCCCTGCACAAGCTCTCTCTTTGCCTGCTGTCATCCATGTAAGATGTGACTTGCTCTTCCTTGCCTTCCACCATGATTGTGAGGCTTCCCCAGCCACATGGAACTGTAAGCCCAATTAAACCTTTCTTTTGTAAATTGCCCAGTCTCGGGTATGTCCTTATCAGCAGCGTGAAAACAGACTAATACACTTGCACTGGCTACAACTTCCAGTAAAATGCTGAATGTAAGGGGATAACTCTGGCCATCCTTGCCTTGTTCCCAAAGAAGAAGGTTTTCAATATTTCACCATTAAGTATGATGCTTGCTATTGGGTTTGGGGGTAGATATCCTTTATCAAAATCAGAAAGTCTCCTTCTAGCCAGTGTTATAAGAGATTTTTCTTGTCAATTTTCTAAGTCTTAAAATGATGCTTTTATTAATATTTTCTGTATCTATGGGGATGACGATGATTTTCCCTTAATGTTTGTAGTATGAATTACATTAATTTCCTAATATTAAAACCACCTAGCATTTCTGGAATAAACCAACATGGACATGAGGTACTATCCTTTTTATATATTCTTGGGTTCCTTTCATTAGCATTTTGTTTAGGATTTTTGCATTTCTGATGAGTGAGACCAGACTATAAATACCCTTTCTCAAATGTCCTTACCAGGCTTTGAAATGAAAAGTCATACTGGTCTTATGAGTTTGGATTTTTTTTTTAACGTGTTCTTGGGGATGCATTAGTTTTCTATTGCTGCCGTAACAAATTACCATAAATTTGGTGGCTTAAAGTAATACAAATGTTTAGGGACAGCTGGGTGCGGTGGCTCACATCTGTAATCTCAGCACTTTGGGAGGCTGGGGCGGGCGGACTGCTTGAACTCAGGAGTTCGAGACAAGCCTGGGCAACGGGGCGAAACCCTGTCTCTACAAAAAATGTAAAACTTAGCCAGTTAGGTGTGGATCTCCACCTGGGACTCCAGCTACTTGGGAGGCTGAGGTGAGAGGATTGCTTGAGCCCAGGAGGCAGAGGTTGCAGTGAGCCACGATTGTGCCACTGCACTCTAGCTCAGGCAAAAGAGCAAGATCCTGTCTCAAAACACACACACACATACACACACACACACAAACACACACACACAAATTTATCTTATGGTTTTGGAGTTTAGAAATCTGACTCACGCCTCACTGGGCTAAAGTCCAGTTGTCAGCAGGGCTGTGTTCCTTCTGGAGGCTCTAGGTGGACATCCTTTTCTTTGGTCCTCCCAGCTCCAGAGGCCACCTCCAGCCACTACCTGGCTTGTGGAAGGAGCCCCTTCCTCCACCCTCCAAGCCAGCAGCATTGTAACTCTCTGACCTGGCTTCAGCTGTCACATCTCCCTCCTGCTCACAACCAGAAAAGGCTCTCGGCTTTCAAGGACCCAACCACACCTAGACAGTCCAGGATCATTTTTCTATCTCAAGGTCTGCAGCCTTAACCACATCTGTGAAGTCCTGTTTGACAGGAAGGGGAACATATTCCCAGGTCCAAGAATAAGGCTGTGGATGTCTCTCAGGGCCATTATTCGCCGACCACAGGGAGAGTTTGTGAAAGACGGGCTTTCTTTAAATGTCTCAAAGGATTCACAAATAAAGTTATCTCAGCCTGACCTTCATGGGAACTTTATGCCGTGTCTTTTATTTTTGAGACAGTCTCACTCTGTCGTCCAGGCCAGAGTGCAGTGGCATGATCTCGGCTTACCACGGCGGCCTCTGCCTCCCAGGTTCAAGCAATTCTCGTGCCTCAGCCTCTGAGTAGCTGAGATTACAGGCATGCACCAACACACCTGGTTAATTTTTTATATTTTTAGTAGAGACGGGGTTTCGCCATGTTGGCCAGGCTGGTCTTGAATTCCTGGTGTGAAGTGAACCACCCCCTCAGATTCCCAAAGTGCTGGAATTACAGGCATGAGCCGCCACAGCTGGCCTGCATTGTCTTTGTTATGAGATTTTCTATTCTTATATTAACACATTAATCTTCTACACAAATTTGTCATTTCCTCTGTATTTTCAAATGTATTGACAAGGTTTTAATGTCTACCACATTTGCAGTGATAATACTTTTTTGTTTTTACTTTTGAAGAAAACAGGTTTGCTGAGGTATTTACATATCATAAACAATATTTTGGCTGGGAGCGGTGGTTCACGCCTGTATTTCCAACACTTTGGGAGGCCAAGGCAGGCGGCTCATGAGGTCAGGAGTTCAAGACCAGCCTGACCAATATGGTGAAACCCCGTCTCTACTAAAAATACAAAAATTAGCTGAGTGTGGTGGTGCCCACCAGTAGTCCCAACTATTCGGAAGGCTGGGGCAGAAGAATCGCTTGAACCCAGGAGGCAGAGGTTGCAGTGAGCCGATATTATGCCACTGCACTCCAGCCTGGGCGACAGAGCAAGACTCTGTCTCAAAAAGAAAAAAAATATTGAGTGCACAGTTCTATGAGTCTTTACAAATGTATGTAGCCATGTGACCACCACAATAAAGAAATGGAATGGAACATTCTACCACCCCAAAAGGTTTCACGTGTACCTTGAAGTCAACCCGTGAAGCCTGGCAACCACAGCTTCTTGTTTTTTGAGGCGGATTCTGTCACCCAGGCTGGGGTGCAGTGGCACGATCTTGGCTCACTGCAACCTCTGCCTCCCAGGTTCAAGCAATTCTTCCACCTCAGCCTCCCAGGTAGCTGAGGCTACAAGCACGTGCCACCATGCCAGGCTAATTTTTGTATTTTTACTAGAGACGGGGTTTCATCACGCTGGCCAGGCTGGTCTTGAACACCCGACCTCAGGTGATCCGCCCACCTTGCCTCCCAAAGTGCTGGGATTACAGGAGTGAGCCACCGTGCCCGGCCGCAACCAGTTTTGTCCCTGTAGTTTTGCTTTGGAAAAAATGTCACATAAATGAAATCATGCTGTATGTAGCCTTCTGCATCTGGCTTGAGAGCATATGATTGGGACTCATCTGTGGTTTTGCATGCACCAGTAGCTTGTTCCCTTTCATTGTATGGATGAACCACAACTTGTTTATGTGTTCACCAGTTGATGGACACTTGGGTTGTTTCGGGTTTTGGCAGATGATGAAGGCTGCCACAAACTTTTAGACAGGTCCTGGTGGGACATGTGTCTTCATTCCTCTTGAGTACACATCTAGGACTGGGATTGCTGGGTTGTATGGTGCTGAGCAAAACAAGTTCCCTTAGAGACAGGAATTTTTTAGCTTTTTATTATTGATTTCTACCTTAACTGTATTATGATCAAGAACATAATCTTTCATTCCTTTAAAAGGTATTAAGGCTTGCTTTATAGTAAAACAGTCAACTCTATGCTCCACATGTGCTCGAGGCATTCCCCGGGTGCACTGTTTTATCTACGCTCACAAGGCCAAGGCTGTTGCTTGTTTTCTTCAAGTCTCCCATATCTGCACTAATTTTCAGTCTGCTTGTCCTATCATACACAAGTGGTATGTTTAAATCTCTCACTAAGTGTGGATCTGTATTTTCCTATACTCCTATCAATCTTTGCTTTAAATATGCTGAAGCTATTATTTTGTACATAGGGATGTATAGTTGAGAACTGCTATTTATTTTACAGGTCTCTCTTCATCTCTAGCAATGCTTTTGGCCTTCAAGTTCTCTTAATATACTGAAAATATGGCCAGGCACAATGGCTCATGCCTGTAATTCTAACACTTTGGGAGGCTGAGGTGGGAGGATCACTTGAGGCCAGGAGTTTGAGACCAGCCTGGGTGAGACTCTGTCTCTACCAAAAAAGGAAAAAAAAAAAAAAATTAGTTGGGCATGGTGATGTGCCTAAGGCAGGAGGACTGCTGGAGACCAGGAGTTTGAGGCTGCAGTGAGCTATAACTGTGCCACTGCACAACAGCTTGAGCAACAGAGCAAGACCCTGTCAAAAAAAAAAAAAAAAGCTACACATTAGCTTTTAGTTAAAATTTGCATGATGTACCTTTTCCCATCTTCTTTTAACCTTTCTCGTCTATAAAGACAAAGTTCTAGACTGTTCTCTTGTAAACTACATACAGCTGCTTTTTAAGGAAACTTATCTAAAAAAATTGAGCATGTAATCCAAGTACTTACTGATACATTTGGGTCTAAATCTACCATATTACTACATGCGTTCTGGTTGTCATACCTGTGCTATTTCCTGCAGTTTCTTACTTTTTTCTGTATTGGCATTTTAAAACCAGTTTTCCTATTAGCCTGGAAGTTACACACATCACCATGTTTCATGGTTACCCTAGAGATGGCAAGAAGCAATTCTGATTTACCTGTGTGACTGGGACTCTTAACCACTTCCCAGTTAATGCAAGAACCTGAGATCCCTCGATTTACCCCATTCCTAACTTTCATGCCACTATTTTCTCATATTTTAATTCACTATGTATTTTCAAGTCTGTAAGACGTTATAATTGCTTTATATGGGCTATTCATTTGGATTTATCCATACAGCTACCATTTTCATTACTATACATTCCTTTCTACATCAGTATTGTTTAAACACTCCTTAGGTGAGTCTATTGTATCTCTAAAGGGTTGGCCTGCCCCGGCCCAGCTCCCCCTGCCTGCCAGTATCTCCTTCCCATAAACCCTGGAGAACACCTAACCTTGTGAGGCCAAGCCTTTCAATGGCTCCCACTGCCTGCCAGACGGGATTTATAAACTTTCCTGGGATTTATAAACCCATTCCTTAACTGCTTCTGAAACCTGGCCCTTACCGGAGCCCCACTCCTTGCTGGTACTCTGATGGTGCTCAGCTACCTTCCAGTGCACACAACATGCTGTGCCTTGTACTAGGAATGCCTCCTTCTTTCATACTCTGGATAAACTGCTCCAGTCCTTCAGGACCAGTCACTTCTTTGGACGGCTCCTTGTGATCTGTGAGAGGCAGACACCCTTTTGAGAGTGCCCTGCTCCAAACCTACTTGGTTGTCCAGCCTGCTCCGGCTGCTCCATGATGCATGGATGACCTGAGTCATGTGTGTGTCCCCATTTCCTGGCCCAATAGGAACACGGGGCTTACACTGAGTTCATCCACAATATAGTGATAATAATCCCTGTAATGCTTTTTCCTTGTGTTGCTTTGAAGTTCAAATCCTAGTCTATGTGAAAGGGCTTTAAAAGTCGGAGGGAGTACGTACCAGGATTAACGGCTGTTAGTTAGAGACAACTGTTTCATAAGCTTAATGGGAAAAATTTTTAACAAAACATGACTAGCTTTATTTTATTCCCAGGAGATTATGCCTCAGTGGATAATTCATTTTCTAATCTTGTGCCTGATGATAAATTAGCTTTGTAAGAAGAAGTCATTAAAAAATTTTTTCTTTGTTGTTCAACTCTTTTAAAATAAAATCTTACATGGAACCCAAATATATGAAATGAATTAAAAATTCACATTGCGGCTGAAGCAGGAGTGAGGCTTTCTCACAGCAGTCATCAGCAGTACAAAACGACCGCCCTGCTGTTAAGTCTAGAGAGTCTCAGGCAGGTTTATTACGTTCTTTTCAACCAGAAACTTGAATAACTGTTTACCATTCCAACAACCTATCTCACACTTCAAAGTACGTTCTTCAGAGTTAAGGAGAGCTGCTTTATAAACAGTATGGTCAAATATAGCCACATATGTAACAAACACTCCCGCAGTGTCATCGAGCCCATCTGTGAACAGTCTGCTCAGCTGGCACTAAGTACCGTGATGCTGGCCTGGCTCTGTACCTCAGGTCACCTACCCTCCAGGACTCCCTGCCTACCAGAACCTGGGTGTCACTGATCTTGCGAAGAAACTTCTGAGCTTGTTCTATGACATGTATAATTTAATTTACTGAAGTTTTAAAAGACTGAGAGACATCTGTGAATTTCAAATGCAAAAATAAAATTTAAAGTATACAGATAAATTGTGCTATGCAAGGTTTTATTTACAACTTAGATGACTCTATGATTGCTCAGAATCTGACACAGACTAATAAGTTTCATTGTCTGAAAATACTCATAAAATACCTCATCTCCAAAATAATTCAAATACATAATTAAATGAACGTTTTTAAAATGAGAGTTTTCAGAAAGGAAAATTAAACACATTTTAGTAAATATATGTTTTATTTGTCAAGAGTAAATGTCAGTTTTATTTAGAATATTCAAGTACAAAAAATGAAAATGTATATATCTATGACTGTTAAGAAATGTTAGAAATCATTAAAATGTTCTGAGAATACCAGTAAGGCACTGAATGCAAATACCACCTGAAATATGAATTATGTGCATTTTTATATCTTTAATATTCAGATGTTCATAGTTATTTTCTTAAAAAGTATTTTTAATAAAATGATTCAACCTTATTATTTTTACCCTGGAAGACAGAGTTTAAACAAGTATGTAATGAAAAGTTTTCCTAATGAAAGCTGTGATACACTCATGCTCAAAGGTACTTTATCCTTAGGAAAAAATAGCTTATATATCTGGATGTTTTAACTTTTAAAGATATTTTGTTTCACCACAGTAATACGTCAGCCATAATAAGGCATAATAAAGCATGAAGTCATCATATTAAATAATCTGACACAAAAGCTTAAGATCATATCACCAATTGGGTAATTGTATAAAAAATTTTTAAGTTCTATAAAACTATTAAGAGGTTAGAGTTTTAGCTCCATAATACATCCCAAAACATATTCCCCAAAATTTTTAGCATATATAAAAAAGGTTCATCTTGGAATATAAATGTAATCAGATAGCCACGATATTAATGGGTTCTGTATTTTCAGTGGCACTGACTTCGCTCTTTGGTATAATGCACTGCAGTGACAATAGCTTGGTAGCAAGAGAAAAGATTTAGATTCATCACAGAACAGCAACTTAAACATTTCTAACAACAGTGAATATATATGAATATATAGGTACAAGCTGAGTATCCCTTATCCAAAATGCTAGGGACCAGAAGTGTTTTGGATTTCAGGTTTGGAATATCTGCATATACACAACGGGACCCGACTCTAATTACATAATTCATGTTTCACATCCACCTTATACATATAGCCTGAAAGTAATTTATACAAAAATTTTGTGCAAGAAACAAAATCTGTTTAAACTGAACCATCAGAAAGCAAAGGTGTCGGGTGGGGAATTTTCCACTTGTGGGGTCAAGTCAGTGCTCAAAAAGATTCAGATTTTGAAGCTTCTGGATTTCAGATTTTTGAATTAGAGATGCTCAACTTGTAGTATCATTCACTCTGGCTTATGTATTGACCTTGTACTTGAAAGTACTTTTCCATAAATATCAGTAACTGTGGCTGTTCACCAAATATAGAAGTGATAAAACAAATAACAGCAAAATCAAAGCACACTTCTAGTTTTTTTTTAATAAAGTTTGCTTGTGATGATGACCTTCTGTGCTCTGGAACTTCTGTTTTACAAAAAATTGGAGCTGGAAAGAAAAAGAACCTTTTGATTGGTACAATTTAAAAAAAATTCAAGTAAAAATTAGCAAACATGCATCTAGTATATTATAGGATATCTGGCCATGGGACTTTGAAAAAGAAAAGAAAAAACCAAAAACACCAAACCATATTTTCTTGAAGATAAATTCTTCTAGAGAGCTCTCAAAAAATATGGGCTTGGTCCTGATTTTGCAAACAACAGCAGGGTTCTCAAGTGGAGCAGGGTGATAATTTTTACAAGGTAAATGTAAATTATCTTTCATATAGGGGAAAAAATGGGAAATCTAATTTTAGTAACACTGGGTTAAGATGAAAGGAAAAAAGGTATTAATAAAAGATCCATTAGCTTTAAAATCCAAAGCATGTTGAAAAGCAGTAATAAATTTATAGTTTATCTTTCTAAATTCAATGCTTGAATAAAATACAGCTTTTATACTATTTATTCTTTCAAAAATAATTGCATGCCTACTATGTACCAGACAACTGCTCTAGGCTCTGGGGATGGCTATATCAATGAACAAGATAAAGATCCATGCCCTTGGAGAGCTTGCATTGAAAGATCATACATGAGAATTCCTTCCTCTTTTCCAAAAAAACAAACAAACAAACAAAAATACCTGTAAAATATATAAGCCAATAAAATCTGCCAAAGTCCTGTGGTTTACTTCTCCATATTTAAAAATTGAAAGCCACCAATGGGCCAAGGTTATGTTTTCCTATTTTAAAGTTGAGTTGCAATATTCTGAAAATGGGTCTGAAATAGATGCAGTGAGAGCATTAAACCAGATGTGTTGCTCTGTGGGGAACATGGGAGCATGCAACGCTGCTAGCACAGAGGTAGCTAGAGTAAACTGAGGCAGAGTCCCCCAAATGAGCATTCTGAATAGAACAAGGCATGATGAATTTCCTCAAGAGCCAAATAGTTAAACCGACAGGGATACTTAAGTGGGAGAAATAAAACAAGGGACACAAAGTACAGAAGGAAATTATCAAAAAGGAAAAATAAACTTATTTTCTAAAACTTGGGTAACTGATTTTAACACATACCCCAAACCTACACGCCTTGCGATTATCATCCACATGCTACTCATGGCTGCCCCCTTGCACTGTGGCCCTCTCTACCTTTCTCTGCGTCTTTACGTCCACCATTGGTTTCACAAGCTCTGACATCAATGCACAGGAGTTCGAATCGACAGCCTGGTTCCCTTATTAAAATAAAAATTCTCACAAAATCAGTATCAGTAGAATTTGTTCTAAAAAACTGAACCTAAGAATTAATTCAATAAAATACTATCTTATGTCTATAATTCCCCAACAAAGGGCACAGCTTTATTTAGACATGAAATTCAAAATAACTCATGGTAGGTCAGCAGCCATTAGCTGTGTACTAGGGCCACGGCTGGGCTATTCAATAAGAGCAGCCATTTTCCCCCAGCTAACTGATCCTTTTCACACTGTGATGTATTTTTATTTTGTTCATTCATTCATTTTGGCAAATACTGAACACATAACATGTGCCAGGTGCTGTTCTGGATGCTGGGGAAACAGCAGTGAACAAGAGGGACAAGGTCTCTCCTCTCCAGGAGCTGACATTTAGTTGGAGAAGGAAGACAAAGCATAAGGAAGCAGAAGTAAGAAGCGCTAGGAAGATCCGACAGGGCAATGTGACAAGTGTGGGCAGGGCTGCCAGGGAGGGTGGCTGGGCCTCTTACTTCTTACGGTCCTTGTCCTTCCTCAGGTTGCTGCCTGTTGCCAGAAAGGACTGGCTGTGAAATATCTCGGAGGTAGCTTTCTTTTTAGAGAAAGCAATTATTTCTTCTTCCAAAAGTCTTCTCTTTTCTTCAAGCTTCATTCTCTCTTCTTGGTGAAGTCTCTTAAGGTGCTCAAATTTGGCCTGTAGCTGGAAACAAAAGTGCAATCCCCACTACTGACACAGCGCGGCAGCAGAGGCACGCTCTCCAGCTCAGCAACACAAAGGCGGACCCCATAGCGCAACACAGAATAACCTACACAGTCAAAATCTTTCTGAAGTCTCAGAAGTTCATAGTTCAAGGAAAAGTTTACATATGGAATTCCCTTGGTAACTTTAATTTAAATGAGTTCCCATGCAAAAATCATAGCTTTATGTACAAAACTATTTTTAAAACATTGTGAACTTTTCCTAGAGTTTTTATTTTCTCGGTGTGTATTTTCCCTACAAAACTTCTTAAAGTCTCTCAAGTCCATGCTCAATAAAAATAAGAGATGCAAAGTATAGAAAGAAATTACCAGAAAGGAAAAAAACAACAACACTATTTTCCAAATAAAATATATGCAGTAAACAGTTATTGAAAACTGTACTAGTAAACATCACTGGAAAGCAAGTGTCAATTGTCAACTATGTCAAGAATGTTAAAACTGTATTCTATTTTTCCATAGTCTTTCAATGTCCTGAGATCTAGGCTTAAAAAAATCCTAAATTCAGAGAAAGCTTTACATATAAAAATACTCATCATAGTAGAATTTACACTATAATAGGAAAAACATTGCCTACATAGCCAATAAAGATAAAGAATAAATTAATGCTAAATACATTTGATGCAGCTGTAGGAGAGCAGAATGTGCAGGACTGTTGAGCTGAGGGCAACTAAGAAGCAGCAGATACAGGAAAGCTCTCTGACCTCCCTTTAGGCGCCTAAAGGCAGGATACAGATGTACAAAGAAAAAAGGTATCCAGCCCCCTTCCCCAACCAGGGAGAACAAAGGTTAACCACCAAAGACAACTTCAGACCCTTTTGGGCCTGGAGACTGGTACCAGACAGCTCTACATTAACTAGCTTTACTGACTAGCCTTCATCTGCCAGCTATGTGCCTTCCTCCAAGTTGCTGCCTCTAGAGACTCCAAGTCCTTTTCCTTTGTCTTGTCATTTCTGTAAAAATTAACTGTTCTTTGTTGAAGATGCTATAGAAGGTAGAATGCAGTCGCCTCTTTGAGAACTACTCATTGACTGTATCACCCCTGTATATGTGAAATATACATGCTAATAAACTTGTTTTTTTTTTTTTTTTTTGGTTAATCTGAAAATAAGGGGTCATTCCAATAAGAACCTATAGGGGTTATTCTTCCCGTATACAACTGTTAAATGAGTTTCAAGAGATTTCTCTTAAGTGAAAAAAGCAGAAGAAAAAATTATTTAAAGAATACAATTCAGCAGTTTTTCACCTCCTTGGGGCTGAAAATCATCTTGATAAACCATATAAAGGGAGCAATGTCACCTTAGATGTCAATTTTGGGGCAGGCCTTTTAATTTATTTTGTTCCACAATTTAAGGAATGCCCTATATGGATCATAGAAGGCATATTTCTCAAAGCTATGAAGGGCATAAAACTCTGGAAACTTACAAATAAAAAGGAAGCTTTAAAACAACTGGGATATACCAAAAGAAAACATCTATCTAACGTTTTTACCATGATGGCTGGCACTGAGTAAGCACTCGATAAATATTAGCCATTGTTAATAACAAAAAATAGGAAACTCAGCTTGCTCCAGCTGCCACCCTGGGTAGTTCTTTCTGTGTCCTGTGCTCTGTTACAGGTGCAAAAGAGAAACCCTTAGCACACATGTGCTGGGGTAACTGTGGGAGCAACGTCTCCCTGAGGATTACTTAGGAGCTATGTCTTTTTCATTTTTATACCCCCAGCACAGCACACAATACTGCTCATAAAAGAATTCTAAAAGATGTAGAAGAACTAGTAATGAGAGGAAATACAGATGAAAGTTATGTGAAGTTCTGCATGCAGTTCAGAGAGACAAGGTCCAAGGAGAATGTAGGTGGACCTGGTTTAATTGTGGCTTACCTCAAAAAAAAAAAAAACTAGGGTCTTAAGCCAGCTCCATAGGAATCAGCTGTGTGCTGTGCCCTCTAACAACACAACCACAGTGTCTAGAATCTACATTTTAAAAGATAACCTTATTTTTGGTCCTCTGATCTGGTTAGGTAAATCTGACATTAACATTTTAGTTCTGGGTAGAAACCTGGCATTCATGCAAACAAAGCAGGACTTGGTGTCTAGAAAAAGACGACATAGCTGGGCGTGATGGCTCATTGAGGTTTACAGGCTCATTGGCTCACGGAGGTTTACACGCATGAGCCACAGCGCCTGGCTATGTTATCTTTTTCTAAGACACCAAGTTGTCTAGAAAGGGGGAGACGTTTGGGAGGCCGAGGTGGGTGGATTGCCTGAGCTCAGGAGTTCAAGACCAGCCTGGGCAACACGGGGAAACCCCGTCTCTACTAAAATACAAAAAATTAACCAGGTGTGGCAGTGTGCGCCTGTAGTCCCAGCTACTCGGGAGGCTGAGACAGGAGAATTGCCTGAAGCCGGGAGGCCGAGGTTGCAGTGAGCCGAGATAGCGCCATTGCACTCCAGCTTGGGCCACAGAGTTAGGCTCCATCTCAAAAAAAAAAAAAAAAAAAAAAAAAAAGACATAATATTTGAGGAAATATTTCACTGAAAATCAGAGACTGAGAGAAGAAACCAGAGAGCTAAACTCTGGTCTAATAAAACTGTTATGTTCCAAATATGGAATAGGTTGTCCTGTGAGCCAGTGACCACCTGATAGGAGAAGTATTCCAAGGGAAACAAGGTTAAAACAGATAATCGATTAAGGCCCTCCTAACATAAGATGCTTTTATTCCAGAGGATGCCTTTTCAGAGAAGCATCAGTTCCTTAGTATTTGCTTATTTAAATGGTTCCTGCTTTTAAAAAAGTTACATGTTAGGTATGTGTGTGTGTTTAAAGGGCACACTCCCCAGATGTCATTCAAATCGGTGGCACAAACAAAGAGTGGCAGTTCTCTGCACACGTGTGCATCGGTGATGTGGGAGAGGAGCAGGAGTGGGACAAAGTCTGGAAAGGAAGCAGCAAGGGCAGGTTTCTATCACATGACTAGAGATAGCTCTCTGGTTACTCAAATGGAGGTTGCATACCTCACATGAATATTAAAATATCTTGAAAGGTCACACAGCACTTTATACATCATTCATGAGGTTGACTAAAAAATTCCAGGAAAACTACAAAGAGGGAAACATTAAACAAGGGGGCAGGGAAGTGTGAATGTGACTGTTATTCACACTGGGTGGCATTTCCAGCTCTGGCTATCAACAACTATTCCATACACATGAAGCATGCATTCATGGTTCCATTATTCACTACGACAGGCAGTTAATTCAAATACATTTTCAAATTCTCAAAAAATTAAAAACAAGGGATCTTTTGTGCTATCAATAGTCACCAATTCTCTTAAGAATATTAAGTCATCAGTATGGTACGATAGTCCCCCCTTTTCCACGGGGGATACATTCCAAGACTCCAGGAGGATGCCTGAAACCACAGGTAGTACCATACCCTATGTTTTTTCCTATATATAGACACCTATAGTAAAGTTAAGGCACAGTGTTGAGACTAACAATAATAATTAATAATAAAATAGAACAATTATAACAATGTATGTAATAAAAGTTGTGTGAATGTGGTCTCTTTCTCTCTCAAAATATCTTATTGTAGTATTTTCAGACCGTAGTTGACCATGGGTAACTGAAACCTCAGAAAGCCATACTGAGTGTAAAGGGGGACTACTGTACAATGCTGTATCTTTTGTAAACACTACTTTTAAGGACACGACACATTCTCGTACTCAAAGATCCTTTTAAAAGTATCTTTTTTCTTTGGGAGGCCGAGGCAGGCGGATAACGTGAGGTCAGGAGTTCGAGACCAGCCTGACCAACATGGAGAAACCCCATCTCTACTAAAAATACAAAATTAGCTGGGCATGGTGGCACATGCCTATAATCCCAGCTACTCGGGAGGCTGAGGCAGGACAATTGCTTGAACCTGGGAGGCCAAGGTTGCGGTAAGCTGAGATTGCACCATTGTACTCCAGCCTGGGCAACAAAAGCAAGACTCAGTCTCAAAAAACAAAAAAAAAGTATCTTTTTTTTTTTTGTTTTTTGAGACGGATTCTCGCTCTGTTGCCCAGGCTGGAGTGCAGTGGCATAATCTTGGCTCACTGCAACCTCTGCCTCTTGTGTTCAGGCGATTCTCCTGCCTCAACCTCCTGAGTAGCTGGAATTATAGGCATGTTGCCACCATGCCTGGCTAATTTTTGTATTTTTAGTAGAGATGGGGTTTCACCATATTGACCAGGCTGGTCTCAAACTCCTGATCTCAAGTGATCCACCCACCTCGGCCTCCCGAAGTGCTAGGATTGCAGGCGTGAGCCACCACGCCCGGCCCCATTTTTAGAAATTAGAAATAAATGCCAGGGAAAATATTTCTCTCTGCTGAGCTAGCAGATGACTTCCATCTAAACTCTGTGTGGTCCCTTCTGCCCTGCCTGCCTAGAAGTTAGAGCCCAGTCTTTGTGTTCACTTAAAAATTCCCTCAACCAGGGCTCTCGGCTGCCCTCTGTGCAAACCCCTTCTTCGTACCCTGTATTATAAGGCTCCTGTTCTCCTCATGTTCATGGTTGTAACGTAGCTGCATTTTTAAATTGTAAATTACCGAGCATACTTTTTGGAAATACAAGGGGCATAAATGTTAAATGAAAAAATTATTCCAAGATATAGACAGACATATCAAATTGGGTAGTAATAATAATGATGGTCATGTAACCTGAGGGATAAATATAAACTGTACTTTTTCTTAAAGTGGGGAGGGTATATAGGAAATCCGTCTGTCATATGCAACATGCCTCATGAGTTCTTCTAGAATCTTGTCAATAAAGGAATAGGGAAGACAGAACGTCAACGATATTTGGAGACATCATTTGTTCTGTGCATCTCCCCATTCTAGTCATCTAATGTTCACACACTATTATCTAAGCACACATCATTTTACAAAGCTACATATAGAAATATGGATTTATACAAAAGATAAATTAAGGGATATTTGTTTCACAACAATATTGGCAAGGACATATTTAAATAACAGTCCTTTAATATAGAATTAAATAATGTTTTGAGTGGTATCTTTTTATTAGTGAATTGGTAAAACTAAGATTCATGCTATATGAGAAACTCTTGAATAAAAGAAACTAAACAAACATAATACCCATGTACAATATGCAATCTGTGATTGCATCCTGGTTCAAAAACAAAAACAGAAAAATCACCAAATAAAAAGGAACGATTTTGAAAGCCAATCTTGGGGCAACTGGGGAAATCTGAATAAGGACTGAAGATTGGGTGAGATTATGGTATTCCTGTTTTCTTAGGTAAGGGGAAGGACATAGGTATCCTATACTTTCACTTTTCTGTTGTTTGAACTTTTTCCAAATAAAACATCAAAATTCGCATTATAAATAAATTAGTAAACTATTACTTTTACAAAACCATTTCCTGCACAGTTCATTTACATAGCAAGTACTGTAAGTGTATTTGAAATAATAAACTAGCACAATTGGATTACAGATTAACTCTTCAAGAAATCATGTATTTTCAAGAAAATAGCTTTACTCAAAACCTAAATTGCTGCTTCAGAACTAGAAGCAAACAAAACTACAGAAGTTCAGTGATTTTTTTGGTGCCAGGGCTACCCCAAGGTCATCTAGACCAGGGGTCCCCAATCCCCAGGCCGCGGACCAGTACTGGTCCATGGCCTGTTAGGAACTGGGCTACACAGTATAAGGTGAGTGGCGGGCAAACAAGCATTACTGCCTGAGCTCCGCCTACTGTCAGATCAGTGGTGGCATTAGATTCCCACAGGAGCACAAACCCTATTGCAAACTGTGCATGTGAGGGATCTTGGTTGTGCGCTCCTTGTGAGAATCTAATGCCTGATGATCTGAGCTGGAACAGTTTCATCCTGAAACCATCTCCCCTGGTCCGTGGAAAAACTGTCTTCCAGGAAACGGGTCCCTGGTGCCAAAAAGGTTGGGGACCACTGATCTAGACCACCTAACTACATCCTGAGAGACTGAGTTCAAATGGAAAGTAAAGCTACTTCACAGCCTTCACAGATATCCATTTCAGGGCAAACAACCACCCCAGCAACACTCAAAAAAGGCTTTATTAAGCCATAGTAAAAATGTTTATAGCTCATGGTTAAGATACTTCTTAGTAACCTAGTCCATTACAAGCCCTTGGTAAACCATTTCTAATGGAAGAATATTTGCTCAAAAGGCCAAAATTCTCTTTGGTCTCAGTCAAAGGAGTGAGATGACAAAGGGAAGGTCATAGTTTGGGAAGCATCACAGTAAGACGCATACACTGTGTTGCCACTGTGGCTGTGAGGCCCACCACCTTCAGGAGTTGGGCTGTGGCAAATGTGGCTTACCCTGCTAGGCATAAGAAAACATCCAGTCGTGTTTCTTCTTTTAGCCTTGGCACTAACAAAGACAAACCACCACTGAGACTGGTTGAATGAGGCACCTAAAAATTGTATACCGTGGATTCAAGGCATGGATTTCATGAAAGAAAAATGTGTGCACCCAAGAGGGTAGCTGCTGCAGCTTCCAGTTCATTGTAAGAATTTCAACGATTAGTGACTCCATAAATGTACTGCTTTAAAAAAAAAGAAGGCCAAAGTTTTCATTTAATTTCAGGCTATGATTCTAAGTCAATATTCAAATACTATGTGTTGGAAAAGCTACTCTTTAAAGAACAAGTAGCCTACAAAAGAGTCTCAAGCAAATTCTTGGAATAAATCCTCCAAATTAATAGGACATCTAAAAAATAAATGCAAATCACATCAAACCAGCATACTTGCCTCTCTCTCAGCTTCTTTCAATATGGCTTCTTTCTCCTTTACTCGCTGCACAAACATCTGTTTCATTTCTTCTTCCTTCCTCTGACGTTCACCATGGAACTCATGTCTTTTGGCTTCATAGGTCTCTTGAACACTAAAAAGTTATTTGTGTTACTCTCCTGCTAAAAAGTGATATAGGTCGGGTATGGCGGCTCACGCCTGTAATCCCAACACTTTGGGAGGCCGAGGCAGGTGGATCACCTAAGGTCAGGAGTCCAAGACCAGCCTGGCCAACATAGTGAAACCCTGTCTCTACAAAAATAAAAAAATTAGCTGGGCATGATAGCAGGTGCCTGTAATCCCAGCTACATGGGAGGCTGAGGTGGGAGAATCACCTGAACCCAGGAGGCAGAGATTGCAGTGAGCTGAGATCATGCCACTGCACTCCAGCCTGGGTGACAGAGCGAGACTCTGTCTCCAAAAAAAAAAAAAAAGTGATATAAGTGGCCTGGCCTGGTGGCTCACGCCTGTAATCCCAGCACTTTGGGAGGCTGAGGTGGGCAGATCACCTGAGGTCAGGAGTTCAAGACCAGCCTGGCCAACATGGTGAAACCCTGTCTCTACTAAAAATACAAAAAATTAGTCAGGCATGGTGGCGTGCGCCTGTAGTCCCAGCTACACGGGAGGCTGAGGCAGGAGAATTGCTTGAGCCTAGGAGGTGAAGGTTGCAGTGAGCCAAGATCGCGCCACTGCATTCCAGCCTGGGCGACACAGCAAGACTCTGTCTCAAAAAAAAAAAAAAAGTGATACAATAAACTTTCAAAAATACAAGTGCTCACCTAATGCCATCAATAGGTTCTTGAAAACTGTAACTTTAAGTGAAGCAATGTATGATTAAACCAATTTTTACCATAGGGTAATTGATATAAACAAGAATTAAGTTCGTATGGTATATTTCTGGTCACAAAAACATTACCAAACTTCTAAATAAAGACTCAAAACCCTTCTAATATTAAACACTGAAATAAATGTTAGCTATATATACATTTAAGAAAAATTAACAAAAACAAGAAGGACAATTAATTACCCAATTTTTGGTGCATCAGTGAGTGATGGCAGTCATTATGGTGGAGGTGAAATCAGGGAATAGATGTTTGCAAAGGGAAAATTGTAAAGATCACCTCCTACCACGATGTAATTCAAAAACAAACAATAACAAATATGGCAGGGTTACTGAGCACTTTCACACCGCATTGCTTATTGTCCTACATTTGTGTATCGTATACACAATGTATACAATACATTTTTATGTTACAATAATATGTATTCATTCATTCATTCTCCAACCTGCTTACTCCAGTTCAGGGTCATGGGTGGCTGGAGCCTATCCTGGAAGCTAAGTGAGAATCAGCCCTGGACAGCATGCCATTCCATTGCAGGGCACACTCACACCACCCCCACCCAACTCAGACTGGGACAATTTAGACATGCCATGAACTTAACGCTTACAGCTTTGGGATGAAGAACCCAGAGAAAACCTGTAGATACAGGGAGAATATGCCAACTCCACACAGACAGTGGCCATCGCCGGGAATCAATTTTTTTTCTTATCAATGTTACAACAAAATGACATTGAACAAAACATTGTTATTCAAGAACCTGCTGTACATCTCATGTTCAGCCTCATATATGTAACAGGTACCAATATTTTTTTACACATGGTAACCCAAAACATGAAATTTCCTATAGCATGAAATATGAAGCCACCCGTGTTAGTGCTGATATGGAGTACTAGAGTCACTGGAATCACTGTATGTAGAAACTTGGAAATCCTGAGTCATCTTTCACTCTTCCCTTACCCTATCTCCCTATCTTATCAAGGTCCATTAGTTCAGCTTCTGAAGCTAAGTCTCCTAATATAACCTTCTTTCCATTTCTACAGATACCAGATTACAGCCGAACCTGATCTTTGTGATTTTCTGCCTTCACTACTGCAACAATCTCCTAATTCATCTCTGAGCTTCTAGTTCCTCTTTCTTTCACTTTGTTCTTGTCACCCTCTAGATTTTCCACCAAAAACACAGATCTCATTATCTTTTCTCACCACATTAAAGTTATGCTATCTATAGAATAAGGTCCCACCTCCTTTAAATTGCACTCAAGAAACTTTATAATCTCTGGCCTAATTCTACCTTTCCAGATTGATTTCTCACCAAACAATTCTGATATCCTATCCTCAGGTTTCAGCCACACCAACCTGTTCATTGTTCCCAGAACGAACCTGGCATTTCAGGCTTCAGTTTGTGGCCACTGTCCACCTTCTACCCCCATGCTGTCCTGCTCATCCTCTACCCCTCAAGGGCAAATTCACATGTAACTTCTTCTGTAAAGTCTCCCCCACTCTCCCCTGTTGCAGGCCAAAAGAATGAGGGTCATGATCAACTCAGTATACCACTGGAGGCTATATTAGTAAAGAGCAAACTATTCTCATAAATGCAGAATGTTAGCAAACTGACAAACTGCGTCTGCCATCCAGAAGGAATGCTGAGGGCAGTCACGACCCAGGCACAAGTGTTTCTTGTGATTATCTACAGGGCACATCTGAAGCCTGTTAGCAATAATATGAACCTGTGATCAATTACGCAGCTGACCAATCGTTACCTCTTCCTCCCTGTTCTTTCTACCCAATAAATACAAACGGCTTAAGAAGCTTGGGGCGGCTGCCTTTGCTCACTAGAAGCAGGACGCTCTCTTCTTCTTCCCCTGGCCCCTTCCTTTAAAACAGTTTCTTGTAAGTTTTCATTTCTGTGTTCATCCTCCTTCGTTCAGTCCCGTAGTGACTGCCAAACTCCCCAGTTAGAATTAACTGTTCCTTCCAAGCACTGCCATGGCATTTATATCCTGCCCATCTCTCCCTTCTCATAGGTCACAAATCTTGAGAACAGAAAATGAAGCCTCATTCATCTCTGTGACTATCCAGCAGAGCTCTCTAGACATTTCAGTTTCTTTATAAATGTTCATAGAATGACAAATTTCTGGGAAGAGGAGGAAGATTTAACCAGCATAACCAGCAGAGAAAGGACTATCCTGGAACTCTACCAGTAGCTGCCCTTTCCTATGTGTAGAATTTTGGAGGTATAATAAGCCTTCTTATATGTCAGAAACACTGAGCCCTTCCATTTGGGCTTGCTATAAGAATATCCCAAAGGTTTGACAGAGAATACAAATTCACTTTCCAGCTACATTAGTGAGAAATTTCTATTGCTTATAAAAATAAATCAATTTCAAAATATGAATTAAATCTTATTAATCTTAAATTTTATAACTGGAGACATTAAGCTTTTAAGTATAGAATTCTGTAAGTTCAAAGAAACGCAGAGTAAGAAATACTACACAACAGCTACCAAGGCTGAGAGGTGAGTTTGAGGCATGTACAGGAGGGGTTCCAAGCAGGAACAGATCCTAAACACTTGCAGAAACCTGTTCTTTAAGAGCAGAGATTACAAATGTGCAAAATACCCTAGACATCACATGTCTCACACCCCAAGGAGGCATTTTACTTAGTATCAGGCCTTTTTTTTTCTGTTGTGATCTTTTTTTTTAAAGAAGCCCCTATATTTATCAGCTACTTTCTTCATCTTTAGAAACCTCCCTACATTTCACTAGTCCAACATGACTGATAGTCTTTAAAGACAAGCTTGATGTAAAAATATCTTGAATTCAGACTGGATTAAGAAAATGTGGCACATATACACTGTGGAATGCTATGCAGCCATAAAAAATGATGAGTTCATGTCCTTTGTAGGGACATGGATGAAGCTGGAAATCATCATTCTCAGCAAACTATCGCAAGGACAAAAAAACCAAACATGGCATGTTCTCACTCATAGATGGGAATTCAACAATGAGAACACTTGGACACAGGAAGGGGAACATCACACACCGGAGCCTGTTGTGGGGTGGGGAGAGGCGGGAGGGATAGCATTAGGAGATATACCTAATGTAAATGATGAGTTAATGGGTGCAGCACACCAACATGGCACATGTATATATATGTAACAAACCAGCACGTTGTGCACATGTACCCTAGAACTTAAAGTATAATAAAAAAAAATTTAAAAAAAATTATAAAAAAAATCTTGAATGCATAACAAACATAAGTTTTTTAAAACAATGCTTCATTAATCTATACAAGCACTTGAGTTGTTCACAAGGAAAATATATCTACCTGGTGAAGAGAAGAGACCTAACATTTGTTGAGTATCTGCTACTGGCAGGGTACTCTTCTGGACTCCTTTATGTTGACTATTTAATTCCCACAGCAACCCTGAAGAACAAGCCCTGACATTCTAAATAAGAAAACTAAAGCACAGAGAGTAATCTGCCCAAAGAAACATAGCTGAAAAGTAAAAAGCTGGGATTTGAACCAGATTAGACTTGTTCCAAAGTCCATATTCCCAACTACCACAAATCAGATTGCCCCAATGTGGTGTCTCAGCAGGAGAAAGTAATGGACTGCTTCTGCATATTTTGCATCTCATCGTGCTGCTTTCCAACTTCTGACAATGTAAACTTACAAGGCCAATTTCAAGTAAAGAAACTTGTACTATTTTTCAAAAGGTGGTAAAGAAAGTCAGATCTGAAAGAGAATGGTCTATAAAGTTAGTATTCTAAAACTAATGCAATCATTGTTTCTTATCATAGATTTATTAAATAAAAATAAAAACATTTTCTTGCTATACTATTCCCTTTTCTAGCATAAAAGTAGCTTGCTGTCATAATTTTCTTTTTTTTTTTTTTTGAGACGGGGTCTCACTGTCATCCAGGCTGGATCATCCTGCCTCTACCACCCAAGTAGCTGGGACTATATGAGCATGCCACCACAGCTGGTTAATTTCTGTATTCTTTGTAGAGACAGAGTTTTGCCATGTTACCTAGGCTGGTCTCAAACTCCAAAGCTTAAGTGATCCACCTTTCTGGCCTCCCATAGTGTTGGGATTACAGGCGTGAACGACTGCACCTGGCCTGACATGAATATTTAATGCCAACATACTACTGTTGTTGCAAATCTCACTGATTTAAAGTTGAAAACTAAAGAGAAAGAAAGAAAAAAATCTCAGATGCTCATGTCATCAAGAAAAGTCCTTTCCTTCAATTGGGACATGTTTGTGTTTCAAGTACAGTTCCGATAAGCCTAGTGAACTTTTTCCAAGTCTACTATAGACTACCTGAAGAACTATTTAGTTCTTGAGAATTCCAAAGACATGAAGTTTTACTAAAATTACGTCAAATACTTAAACAACTCTAAACTACTAAGCATACATCTTCCTTTCAAAGCTACAGGTCCCACAATACTTCAATGACAGTGATTTTGTGCTAAAAAGTTAAAGGTGATTAACTGTGGGAAAGAGATTAGTTAGGTTAATCTTTAATTATTAAACTTGGGGATTTAAAGAGTTTTATAAAGGCATGTTTCCAATGGTTGAAATAATTAATATAAAATGTTAAGATCAGTTAATTAAACTATGACTATAGTGCTATTTACGTGGGCCTCGTGACAAGCCTGCGATTGGTGCTGGTAGATTAGGATACCCACCATGACTCAGCATACCCATTCAATAAAGTGTAAGTGGAAAAACAAACGGAAGTTCTGGCAACAAAGAGGGCCAGGAAGTACAGTCACATAAAGGTCACCCAACAGGTTTGCGTAACTTGTCTTTACTGCTAGATAGATATAATACTGAGGGACAGATTTTACATGCCAACCAAATTACAACAACTACCAAATTAAATAGGAAAAGACTCCCGAGAAAACAGATATAAATTCTTTTTTTTTTTGAGATGGAGTCTCGCTCTGTTGCCCAGGCTGGAGTGCAGTGGTGCGATCTCAGCTCACTGCAGCCTCCACCTCCTGGGTTCAAGCAATTCTCCTGCCTCAGCCTCCCACATAGCTGGGCTTATAGGTGTCCGCCACCACACCCGGCTAATTTTTGTATTTTTAGTACAGACAGGGTTTCACCATGTTGGCCAGGCTGGTCTTGAACTCCTGACCTCAGGTGATCCACCCACCTTGGCCTCCCAAAGTACTGAAATTACAGGCATAAGCCACCACGCCTGGCCAGATATAACTTCTTGAAACTATAAAAAATAAAAGCTTCCTAATACATCAGACTATAATGAGCTACAAAAGCCTTATCAAATCATTTAATCACATATGACAAAGAACCAGAAGAGACATTTTGCCTCAACTTTACCCAAGTGATCCAGAAATACAGTAGAAAGGTCTACTCTCTTAGGAAGACAATAGTGAGCCACTGCTCCCACTCACTCTGTAGCCTGACCTAAACTTACTGAGTTTCTTCCAGCCACTGCTCCCACCCAGTCCGTAGCCTGACCTAAGCTGAAGAATCTCCCTTTCTAATTTCCCCTTCTTTGTGTGATCAGTGATCAGATGCTTCCCAACCTGAAGAAATGCTCAGCAAATGGATGTGATGGGCAATCTATGATTTCTGACTACCTATCATTGAGTCCTTTCCTCTTGGTACCAGTATCCATTATCCTCATTACCTTTTTGGGGGCTACCTCTCCCCCATGGGATACAGTCTTGTGGGACAATTAATCAGGTTCACACTCACTCCTAAACAAGAGATGGGAACATGACCTACATCAGGCCTACTGGACATTCTTTCCCTGGACTATGAATTGTGAGCAGTGAACAAAAAAGGCTGGCAATGGTTTCAGTTCATTCATTCCACTCCCAGAGCTGGAACAAAAATGGTTTCTACCTGTTGCAGGCCTTCCCTTCAAATCTGCAAGTCCAGACCTATGTAGCCTCCAACCAATGCCTTTTTTTTTTTTTTTTTTTTGTCTTTTAAGATGGGGTCTCGCTCTGTCACCCAGGCTGGAGTGCAGTGGCATGATCTTGGCTCACCGCAAGCTCTGCCTCCTAGGTTCACGCCATTCTCCTGCCTCAGCCTCCCAAGTAGCCGGGACTACAGGTGCCCGCCACCACGCCCAGCTAATTTTTTGTATTTTTAGTAGAGATGGGGTTTCACCGTGTTAGCCAGGATAGTCTTGATCTCCTGACCTCGTGATCCGCCCGCCTCAGCCTCCCAAAGTGCTGGGATTACAGGCGTGAGCCACCGGGCCTGGCCCCAACCACTGCCTTTTTTAACTGAACACAAAGTGGTCTTCATTATTCTCCAAGAATTGTCAAGGAAGCACCTCTGTACTTGTGCAGCATAAACCTGGACCTCAACTTTGACACAGCAGCAGACTCCCTCTCTCTTGATCCCCTCTGTCAAGTTCCAAGACGTGACACTGCTGGTTTTCCTCCTCCTCCCTTCTCAAGCTCTCCTATCTGCTCCTCCAGCTGACAAATACTAAAGGGACTCAAGGCTGTTTCTGAGTCACCTTTCTTTCTAGATGTATTTCTCTCTACAGGCAGTCTTATCCCTGGTCACACATAGAATTAATCATTTAAATACCCATGACTCTTAAGCTATTTCTTTGGCCCATTGCTTTTCTGACCTCCAGAAAGATACCCCAAAGTGCTTACTTGTAATTGTCACTTTGCTGTTTCAGAGGAAACTCAAAGTCAACAGGTCCCAAACTGTGACCTCCATTGTGCCTACCACTGCTGCCTCACACACACACAAAAAAGCTAGTCCTCCTTCAGCCATACCTATCTAGATGAATGCAGTAACCATCCACCTAGCCATGAAACCATAAATTCAGGAGACTAGGCGTCTCCTTCTAGCCTCCTGCTTTCTCACTTTATTATATCCAAACAACCACTAAGTTCTTCCAATTTTACCTTCTAGTCATCTCTCAAATATGTCCAGCTCTTTATTTTCATTGATCTCACTTTAGTCAAAGAAATGCTCTCCTAACTGGCCTCTCCTAAGCATCTCTGAACACCCCTTCAATACCTCCTTCACATTAGAGCAAATAATAATTTTTAAAATGCAAATATTATATTATTCCTAAAATAGCGTTGCCTTCCCCTTAGGACAAAGATCAAAATCCTCCCCAGGGCCTCCACAGCTGCTGCCTGCCTGTTCTCTTCTCTCATCTCACGTGAGCCCAGGCCTGCCTCATCTGTCCTGCTGTACTGCAGTGAACTGATCTTCTTCCGGAGTCTTACAGATGCCATTCTCTCTCCATCTTCAGCCCTTTGTATATGTCTTGCTCTGTTTTCCCCAAGTTACTACAGCTCAAAATAGCCACTGCCTCAAGAAAGTCTTCCCGAATTTTCCAGCTTAAATTTGGAACCCCCCCACCCACACAACCCATTTTACACTGTCTGCCTCTCCTTTAGTGCTTATATCACAGCTACAATGTACTGTGCAATTAGGTGTTTAATTTTTGAACTCCCCTACAAGAACATAAACTCCATGCAAAATAATAGTAATCTCTAGCATTTAGCAGAGCCTTTTAAAAAAATACTTAAGATTTTACCCAGTATTATTCACTGCTGACTCCCAAATTACTATGGCAGCCCTAACTTCTCCCTAGCTCCAGATTCATCATGTGTCTAATAACCTACTCAAACTCTTCACCTGAATATTTAATAAGCAGCTTAAATGTAACATTTCTAAAACCTCTGGATTACCAACTACACCCCTAAACTCTCTGATTCCCATCCTCCTCAGGTCAATAACGATCACCACCAGTCACCCCATTTTCTAGGTCAAAGTGGTGACTGAGTTATCCTTGATCCCTCTCTTTCCTTCAAATCCCATATGCAAAAATAATTTATCAGTGGGTCCTATGGACTTTAATTTCAAATTACATATCCTTAGCCAGGTGTGATCCATCACTGTAATCCCATCACTTCAGGAGCCCAAGGCAGGCAGATCACTTTGTATTTTTAGTAGAGATGGGGTTTCAAGACCCCAGGAATTCAAGGCCAGGAATTCCTGACCCCAAGGCCAGGAATTCAAGACCAGCCTGGCCAACATGGTGAAACCCTGTCTCTACTACAAAAACACAAAAATTAGCTGGGGGTGGTGGTGCATGCCTATAGTCCCAGCTACTCAGGAGGCTGAGGCATGAGAATCGCTTGAACCCAGGAGGCAGAGGTTGCAGTGAGCAGAGATCATGCCACTGAACTCCAGCCTGGGCAACACAGTGAGACTCTATCTCAAAAATAATAATAATAATAATAAAATTAAATTTAAAAAAATACATGTCTTAAGCATGCTTCTCACCCCTCTGTCACTACCCCTCTCTTTCACGCCTCCATCTTCTCATGCCTGGACCACCATGGCAACCTCCTAACTTGGTCTCCCCACTTCCACCTGCCCCCCTCCCCCAACTCTCTTCTTCACATAGGGGTCCTCCTCCCACCCCTCAACAGAGACTCTACACAAGCAGGGTCTCTATTTGATCCAACAGTGCACATACACCCAATGACTAGCATTTGGCTGAGCAGATAGCAGACAAACTATTTGCTGAATGACTAAGAATTCTGACTGCAGATTTCTAGGCTTCATCCCTGGAAATTCTGACCCTGCATTTCTTAATCATCCACAGGTGACTGATGATGACTCCACCAGACACCTAGGCCTGTCTCCTCAGAGAGGACTTCAAAGTTGTCCCTGCCCGCTCTTACTCAGGACCCCTTCCACCTCAGTGCACAGAGGCCTCTGAAGTGACCCTGAGACTTGGAAGAAATGAGAAGTGAGTCTCCTCTGAGAAACACTAGGGAAGCTAACTCGAGATGATTAATCTTTAGTGAAGACAATATCATGAGAAAATTGTCAGTTTACGAGAATGACTGGCCCACAACCAGAAGCATCCTATGCCTGAATTTGGTGAGGGTGGGTTAAGTACACACAATGCTTTTTTTTTTTTTCTTTGAGATGGAGTCTCGCTCTGTTGCCCAGGTTGGAGTGCAGTGGCACGATCTCAGCTCACTGTAAACTCTGCCTCCCAGGTTCAAGTGATTCTCCTACCTCAGCCTCCTGAGTAGCTGGTTTTACAGAAGTGTGCCACCATACCCAGCTAATTTGTGTAATTTTAGTAAAGACGGGGTTTCACCATGTTGGCCAGGCTGGTCTTGAACTCCTAACCTCAAGTGGTCTGCCCGCCTTGGCCTCCCAAAGTGCTGGGATTACAGGCCATGAACCACCACACCCGGCCATAAGTATATACAATTCTTAATTCATTATGCTACCAGAAGTGAAAACATTAATTAACTCCATAGACTGAAGAAATTTAAAAATTTAACTTCATCTAAGATTAAGTCTTCCAAAAGCTTATATGCAACAGCGGCACTAATTTGATGCACTCCTCCCCCTTTCTTTTGTTTACTCTGGTGCAGGTGCTAAGAACCAGAGAAATAACAAATGCAAACAATGCAATGGAAAAGGAATCCTCAGTCTCATAAGAGAGTTTAAAATAGCACTTGTCCCAAGGATCTCACGCTTTCCTGCATGCAAACACTGTTCTGGAATGCTACATCAAATTGATCTGATTCAGTACACTAAGGATTTGAGTTGCATAAAGTCTGGGATACAGCACCATATAAAATTACCAAGGAAGTTTCTACAACTTTTAATGCTTTATATTACTGAGCAAGGAAGGGTTCAGATTCTAAAATTCTTATAACTACACTGTAATATGGCAAGAAACAATCTAATCTCCAACTCCCTACAAGCACTCTCCTTCTTCCTTTATAATATGTTTTGCTAAGCTTCACTCATTCCAAAACCTTTACAGAAGAAAAACCAACAGAAAATGTTTTAGTTTATTTTAAATGATTCCTGAGGACTGGTATGGAGGCTCACATTTGTAATCCCAAAGCTTTGCGAGGCTGAGGTAGGAGGATCACTTGAGGCCAGGAGTTTGAGACCAGCCTGGGCAACATAGTAAGACCCTGTCTCTACAAAAAATAAATAAATAAAACTAAGAAAATGATTTGTGTTCCAACTTACCTTTATGACAACAGTTAAATATATCATCGTCTCAGATAAATACAAAAAGAAATCAAATAATGAGGGTATTTTCCTTCAGTTACTCATGTCAGCATGAACTGAAACAGGGGGCCTCTGCCATACATTCTTCATCATATTTAACTCTTTTTGAGTCAGACAAGGACTTAAAAAGCAAGACTCTTCAAAAGCAAGAAGGAGTCAAGTGATTCAAGAAGCACAATAATTAGTCATTACCAAATGATTCTATATCATGGTTTTGGGAGATTCTAAAGAACACATGCCCCATCATCCTGGATATATAAAAATATGCAATCCTCTCTAACTTCCTCTTTGGTTGGCTTCCCAAGAACCCCACCCTACCTGACTGGCTTGTTTTCTGGGCCCACATCTGTAAAGCCCATTTCCTCCAGTTTGCAGCGCCTGTAAAGCTCATAGTGCCTGGTATGGGTCTGCTCTCGCAGGTCCTCCATATTTGTACAAATGAGCATTTCCCGCAGCTTTACAAAGTCACAGTGGTTTTCATTTTCCACTAGCCAAAAAAAAATAAGAAAAGAACAACACTGGATTTTAATTCCTGGCACACAACTAAGTGTTTGCTGAATGAACAAATAAATGAAAACATGTGAAACAACAAATAGCAAATGATCAGTTTGATTAACAGCTACGATTATTTTATACATGTAACCAAGGAAGAAACTCTTGCAGTATAAATACTGTATCATAGGCAATGTGAATTAACAGACCAGATTTACTTTAAATTTAGTAGCCAATGAATCACCAGGAAATACCAAAAAAGACACAACTTATTGTTAACCAAGTGTTCTAGTTATTTCACACTAATATTTTGTTAGCAGTTTACAAACTATCCTGAAGACATTTCACATAATGTTTAAAGAGTATGTAATATTAGTTCACTAAAACTTCAAAGTAGTAAATTCTGCAAACTCAAGAATACTATCCTTCCCTGCTATAATTATCAAATTCTTTTTATAGAACACATTTATGATCCTGTGTTAGACACTATTCAAAATTAGTGAACACACTTACATGATCCTTCTTCTATGTTTACGGTGACCAGAGGACTACAAATAAATATATTTTATTGTGACCAATACTCTTAAGTATAATTATTACTTTTACATTTTTTATAAAATTAAAAATGTTATATTTTCTCAATTTTTTCATTCATTACAAAATTTATCAATTAAGAAAAAAAATCAGCATTTGGAAATCCATACTAGTAAGGGTAATCTATTCACCATTAATTAGCACTATAAGTAAATGAACCATATAATACTATTTACTTACTCATTATAATGTCAGCTAAATAATCTAAATGTCAAGTAGATTTAACTTTTTAAGTTGGCTGACTGGCTTATTCTGGAAATAGCCGGCAATACTTTGATCAGTAAAAATATATAAATTTATAAGATGGTTGACTGTTCTTATACTTAAGTGGTAATTAGTGATGTTTTATGTCTGAACACTACTTTCCACATTCACATTTTGGTCAGAGTGCCCCACTGGTGTTTCCCACCTACTAACAGGGTACCGTGGGGGCGGGGGTAATGTGTGTGTGGCATAATGAGAAGTGGGAGGCTCTACACGGCCTCCAGACTTTGGCTAAAATAGTACACAGCCAATTCCTCTGACAACCAATCACATCCAAACTAAGCATCACCCCAAAGAAGGCATGACAGGTAGCTTTGAGATTACTAGATAGATACATATTTCTAGTCATCCTTTGTCTCATTTACCTTGTACAACACCCCAAGGGTACTGGCGAGCTTTGACCATCTTGTTTCCGACTTTTACCTCATCCATACTTCCCACAACAGCAAACGGCAACTGTCCCTGAAAAAGAATATCGAGCACATCTTCTCATACCACTGTGATAACTGACTAGATAAAATAAATTTTATGTGAGAGAGAAGAGAATAATTAAATAACAAACCTATTAAAATCGAATGGTCAGCTATGCCTCAGATTTTAAAACCTGCCAGTGAATATGTGCTAACTGTTCTACAAGAGTCATCTTTGGGCCCCATAAAGAAAAGTATTTACATGTAAGGCATTATGCTATTGGGAATACACACAAACAAAAAAAATTTATTTATTTATTTTTATTTTTTTGAGACAGAGTCTTACTCTGTCGCCCAAGCTGAAGTGCAGTGACACGATCTCATCTCACTGCAGCCTCCGCCTCCTGGGTTCCAGTGATTCTCCTACCTCAGCCTCCCGAGTAGCTGGGATTACAGTTGCCCACCACAACATCCAGCTAATTTTTGCATTTTTAGTAGAGACGGCGTTTCACCATGTTGGCCAGGCTTGTCTCGAACTCCTGACCTCAGGTGATCCACCTGTCTTGGGATTATAGGTGTGAGCCCTATAATCCCAAAGTGCTGGGATTATAGGTGTGAGCCACCACACCTGGCCGAAAAAGAATTTTCCTCTAAAAGACAAAGATAATGTTGAGGAAATTACACATACACACACCCACAGTATACAAAATGTATATGTAACTATACAATAGTGTATTCCTATTGTTTGTGTGTGTGTGTACAGTATGTGGGTGTATAGATATGGTACTAATATAAAGTAGTACACAAAGTCCCAAATTAATGTCAATATAGTAAATGTCCTAGAAATTGAGAGGAGTGAGAGATCACTAGGAGCAGGAAGACACAAGCTAACCCACATCAAGAAGAACAAGATTTAGATGGACAAGCAAAGTGGGAAGAAATGGCTTAGAAAAGGAAAAGATTCTGAACAAAATGCAATAGCTAGGTTCAGGGGCAGGGAGTAGACTGGTCTGTCTGAAGTTGAGGATTAATACAGGGGAAAAGTCTAATGTAAAAATTATTAATTACTATGTTTAATATTTTAAAATTGACATATTTAGTTTCTTAATGGTGGCTTTCTGAATATTCTAGTTGAGCACAAGAAATAAAATTAGATGTAAAGACAATTTAACATATAGGAATTAAGATCACCTCATTTACATTAGTCAGTTTTTTTTTACAGATTTAGTTTAGGTACACTAATATAAAAGTGGTATGAAAAATCAGAAAAGGAAAATAGAAGAAATGGAATGAACAATTATTGAAAGTCACTGTTAGGCGCTTAACAAAGGTGACATCATTTATCCCTCACAACAACCCTTAAGGTGGGCAGTATTAACCTAACTTTGTAGATATGTTAAGTCTCAGGGAGGTTAGTAACTCCAATGGACATATGGCCAACCAAGCCTGTCAGATTTCAAAACCCATGATCCTACAAAACACAACCAGGTGTTTTAAAAATGTGTTAGCTTCAAGAAAGTAAAATTAAGAACTTAGTCACCTTCCATTGTACTAAACTAAAAGTTATATGAATGTAACTTGACACTATGAGAGAGAAGGAGCATAAATACTAGTTTTAAGAGACCTCCTTAAAGATTTTAAGATTTTACAGCATGCAAAGGGAGGCTGTAAAGTCTTCTCATGTTTATAAAGACAGGGTAGGAAGGTGTCATCTTTCTAAGGCAATTACATATGGCTGCACAAAAGGTATATCCCAGTCTCACAAATCTATCACTTTATTTTGGTGAAAGCAGAGTGAAAGAAAAATATGCTTAAAAATAAATTCTCCTTACACCTTTTCCAACTTAAAAAACTAAACATTTTCTCATACTGGACTTTTTGAAAATTCACCTTGTTTGAAGTCTTTTTGGAAGACACAAGTGAAAGTGTATTAGCAGCAATATTACTCACAAATTACAGTTTTATTTTCACATGGAAAACAGAATTAACATTCAATCAGGAGCTCACATTCATTGCAGCGTTGACCTTAGCAATAGTGTCATCATCCGTTGGGAACTGGTATATCTGGACGCCATTGCTGACCAATTCACTCATGAGCTTGATCTTAAACTTCTGTAATTCAGTTTTAGAAACCGTATCTGCTTTGGCAATCACTGGTATAATGTTTACCTATTAAGAATAAAGAAAAACAAAATCTTACTGAGGATTTTTTTTTTTAATCCTGCAGCTGTTTTTTCACTCAAAACTGTTCATTCTGACAATGAATTTCCCTAAACCTAGATCGGGGGGCTGGCAAACTACGGTCCATCTCGCTGTTGATCTTGATACATAAAGATTTACAGGAACACTGCCATGCCCATTTGCTTGTGTACTGTCTACAGTTGCGTTCACACTACAACAGCAGAGATGAGTTGCTGCTGCCATAAACCACAGGGCCTGTGACGCCCAGTGTATTCTCAGCCTGGCCCTTTGCAGAAAAGGCATGCCAACCCTGACCCAGATGGCCATTCTCCTGTATATATACACCCCTTATACACTCATTCCTACAGATGCCAGCCACACAATCTTTTTTTTTTTTTTTTTTGAGATGGAGTCTCGCTGTAACCCAGGCTGGAGTGCAATGGTGCAATCTCAACTCACTGCAACCACTGCCTTCTGGGTTCAAGCGATTCTCTTCCCTCAACCTCCCAAGTAGCTGGGATTACAGGCACCTCAATCAATGCTTTCAGAAAGCAGAACTCTTGTAAGATTAATCTTTCATTTGAATTTAGGTTTAGAAATCTCACATTTTCTTCTCTCTCAAAATCTTGCAATTTCATCATACACTTAAAAAGTAAAATGTGATAAAAGGTAAACTGAATTGCCTCAATTCACTAAGAATTTTTATTTTTTAATAATCTAAGCACTAAGTAACCAGGGTGATTGATCCCTCAGCAAAACTAAAAGACAGGTGAAGCTTCTCTTTGTGCCTCGTTTCAGGACTGACTCCATGCCTACCTGTGCCCCACTGTCACAGACTTACTTAGACAGCAGAGGAAGGAAACTGTATGTACTACTATCTTAAAAGTGTTCATGATGCAAAGGAATAACTTTCTCAGTATTATTTGAAGTCCTATCACTGACAGAGGGCAAGAGATTTGGGGTTGTGAAGACCGAATAACTTGTAAATCTAGTTCTATAAGATTAATATCCCCACAAAAGACTGATAGCTCCACAAATTTGTGACTGGTGGTTCTTAAGTTTTTTAGTTTGTTTTTCATCAAAAACCTCAGGCTAATCAGTCATATGTATCAAGACAGTAAAACCTCAATGTAATTTTCAGATTAAAAGTAAAAAATTGACTGGGCGTGGTGGCTCACGCCTGTAATCCCAGCACTTTGAAAGGCTGAGGCAGGTGGGTCACCTGAGGTCGGGAGTTCGAGACCAGCCTGACCAAAATGGAGAAACCCCATCTCCACTAAAAATACAAAATAATTAGGTGGGCATGGTGGCACATGCCTGTAATCCCAGCTACTCGGTAGGCTGCGGCAGAAGAATCGCTTGAACCCAGGAGGCAGAGGTTGCAGTGAGCCGAGATCGCGTCATTGCATTCCACACTTCAGCCTGGGCAACAAGAGCAAAACTCTTGTTAAAAAAAAAAAAAAAAAAGGAAAAAATTATAATTCCTATTCTAAATTTTTTTATCTTCTCAAATTTCACATTGATGCCAAGTATATATCTGAATTTATCAGCCTTCCATATGCTCCCAAGGAGAGAAATTTTTTCTGTCTATGAAATTGATGGCAGAAAACTTTCCAGCAATCCTAAGTAAACAACTTTCCTGTTAAATTAGTCAAAGTACATAAACATTTTGGTGCCAAGTCCTTAGTTTCAATATTATATACTTAGGTATTCAACAAATTATGCCAAGTTAATAACTTATAATTGCTTGCACAATAAACTGCAGTAGACTGAATACTAAACATCAATGTTTACATGACTATTAGAGGGAGGGAAAGTAACAGATATTGCCCAAAGAGGGTCGCTTGTCACCAATGGCGTAAGAGAAGATAACTTTCCATGTCAAGCAGTCGAATGTTCTGCTTTTTAGTAACAGAAAACAACTATCTGGAGGTGGCCTGGGGAGTGGCAAGATGAGGTCAGCAAGGACACCACCTCTCATCTTTATGTAGTGCCCTTGTGTAAGTGAAAATTTCCCTACACCTGCCAACTGCCCCTACAAAAAAAAAACCTGTGTATTGCTATTTAAAATGGGCCAAATCAAGTAATTTCAGCATATCCTAGTTTTTCTTTTAAACTTAAAACAAAGCTTAGGGGTTAACTTCCTGTCTAGTTTGTACAATAGAAAGCTAAAGGCAGGATTTTGATAAGGCAGTCCCAATTTTAGAATTTGTCTCTCATCAACTGAATAAGGCAGAAGTGAGTAGTGACCATCTTTAAATGAGTGCATGATACCCATGACCTTTACCGTTACCATAAAATATTTCATTTTGGTTTGAATGAAATAAGGTATTGGTCAAAAGGTAATATTGTAATGCTCATTAATGTCTTTACAGTTGCCCCCCTCATCATCTGTGGGTTCTGCATCCACAGATTCAACCAACTGAGGATCAAAAATATTAGGGGAAAAATTTTTTTAATGACAATACAACAAGAAAAATAATACAAATTTTAAAATACAATATAACAACTATTGACATAGCATTTACATTGTATCAGGTTTTTTTTTTTTTCCAAGACGGAGTCTAGCTCTGTTGCCCAGGCTGGAGTGCAGTGGCGTGATGTTGGCTCACTGCAACCTCCGCCTCCCAAGTTCAAGCAATTCTGCCTCAGCCTCCCGAGTAGCTGGGATTACAGGTGCCTGCCACCATGCCCAGCTAATTTTTTTGTATTTTTAGTAGAGATGGGGTTTCACTGTGTTGGCCAGGCTGGTCTTGAACTCCTGACCTCGTGATCCACCTGCCTTGGCCTCTGAAAGTGCTGGGATTACAAGCATGGGCCACCACACCCGGCCTGTATTAGGTATTATAATGTGTAATCTAGAGATTATTTAAAGTATATGCAAGGATACAAGTAGGTTATATACAGTCATGTGTGGCTTAACCATGGCGACATGGTTTGGATTTGTGTCTTCACCCAAATCTCATGTAAAATTGTAATCCCCAGTGTTGGAGGGGTCTGGTGAGAGGTGACTGGATCATGGGGACAGAGTTGTCCCTTGCTGTTCTTGTGGTAGTGAGTTCTCACGAGATCTGGTTGTTTAAAAGTGTGTAGCACCTCCCCCTGCACTCTCCTCCTCCTTCTCAGGTCATATAAGACATGCCTGCTTCCCCTTCGCCTTCCGCCATGGTTTTAAATTTCCTGAAATCTCCCCAGCCAGGCTTCTTGTACAGCCTAAGGAACTGTAAGTCAATTAAACCTCTTTTCTTCATAAATTACCCAGTCTCAGATAGTTCTTTATAGCAATGCGAGAACGGACTAATAAACATGGTGATAGAAATGCGATAGAAATATGATCTTAGGTGATTTTGATGTTGCGTGAACATCACAGAGTATACTCACACAAACCTGGATGTTATAGCCTATGACACACCTAGGCTGTATGGTATGGCTCATTGTTTCTAGACTATAAGCCTGTACAGCATGTAACTATACTGGATACTGTAGACAACCATAATACAATGGTAAGTGTGTGTATGTAGGCAACTATAATACAATGCTAAGTATGTGTATATCTAAACATATCTAAACACAGAAACATATAATACAGTACAGTAAAAATAAGGTATAATCTTATGGGACCACCATTCTATATTTGGTCCCTTGCTGACTAAAATGTAGTTTTGCACTGCAAGACTGTCCTACACTATTTTATATAAGGAATTTCAGCATCCTCAGGGTATCGAAACCAATCCCCCTTGGATACTGAGGGATGACTAGGAAGCATCTAGAACTAGTTGTTATAAGAGTTTGCAGGTTGAACTGCTGGTTCAAGGTGGACTGCCTCTGAACAAGTGCTCATTAGCTCTTCCATTTATTCCTGAAAATCCACTAAGGGACTACATCAATATAAATTGCTCCTGGCTAACACTTCTTAAAGACTTTTGATGACTCAAAGGTGGTTGGGTTGGCCAGTTACCTCAAATACCAATATGTAAATATCATCAATAAACTGTGCCTGTTAATTTTTAAATAAGTTTTAAATAACACAACAGTAACAGAGGTGCTTCATATATGCCAGGCATTGTACTAAATGCTTCGTAATATTCATCTCAGCTAATCTTCCCAAAAGTCTTAGAGTGAGCTCTCTCTAGCTCCCCACCTCTTTTTTTTTGTTTTTTGAGATGGAGTCTCGCTCTGTCGCCTAGGCTGGAGTGCAGTGGTGTGATCTTGGCTCACTGCAAGCTCTGCCTCCTGGGTTCATGCCATTCTCCTGCCTCAGTCTCCCGAGTAGCCGGGACTACTGGCGCATGCCACGACGCCCGGCTGAATTTTTTTTGTATTTTTAGTAGAGACGGGGTTTCACCGTGTTAGCCAGGATGGTCTCGATCTCCTGACCTTGTGACTTGCCCGCCTCGGCCTCCCAAACCGCTGGGGTTACAGGCACGAGCCACCGTACCTGGCCTCTAGCCCTATTTTATATATGAAAAATTGAATCCAAGTTTGTCCAGGGCCACATAGCTGCTAAGTGGCGGGGCTGAAGCAGAATCCAGGCAGTTCAGCATGACAGCCATGTCCTAACCCCTCTTGACTGCCTGTTTTATACCCGGACAGGTAGACTTCAGCTAACTTTTAAAACAACTTTTTTTTTTTTTTTTTTTTTTTTTGAGACGGAGTCTCGCTCTGTCGCCCAGGCTGGAGTGCAGTGGTGCAATCTCGGATTACCACAACCTCCGCCTCCTGGGTTCAAGCAATTCTCCTGCCTCAGCCTCCTGAGTAGCTGGGGCTACAGGCATGTGCCATCATGCCTGGCTAATTTTTGTATTTTTAGTAGAGACAAGGTTTCACTATGTTGGCCAGGCTGGTCTCAAACTCCTGACCTTGTGATCCGCCTGCCTTGGCCTCCCAAAGTGCTGGGATTACAGGCATGAGCAACCATGTCCAGCCCAACAACCTTCTTATGTAAAATAAGAGGCAGGTATTTTTACAGGGTAGTTTACACTTTTATCATAAAAAATAAAGAATATATTTAAATCACCAAATTTGGAAAAGATTAGATAATATATACTTACACAGTATACTAAAGCAAACTTCTATGGCAGATAGGCTCTTACTGGGTATGCCTATTTGCTAAACCCTCTATTTACATGGATCAATTTAATTAATTTTCATATCTGCCTCTTGAGGTAGTTCTTCTCCCTAGTTTTTATTTAAAAGTGGAGGACACTGAAAATCACTTAAGTCCACTGAGGCTCAGAGGGCTAAAGAAACTTGCAAGATCAGACAGCTAATAAATGACAGAGCCAATATTTAGAGCCGTCCTCCACTGACACCAGCTTCTACAAATCTTTATACAAATTACCTCATGTTGCTCCTCTCTAGCTAAGACAAAACTGCACACTCTTGTTTTTATGTTCCTTTAACAAATATGAATTTCCATATAATCAGACTCAACTATGAAAACAACTGGCTAAATGGTTAGAACATCTGATCACATGTGATCAGGTGAACAGACTGTCATATAAGCTACATCAATTTTTGCTAAAACCAGGGGACCAAGCAACTAGTCAAAAGTAAATCGACCGATGTGCCAAAGCTTCACTAGGCAGGCCTTCAGGCTTTCCATACAGGTTTCTGCAGAGAAAGAAGCAGCATCCAGAACAACCTTGGATTTTTAATTCAACTTATACAGTTAGTAACCAGGATCATGAAAGCTTCATTTCGCATACCATTTGAGATTATGGAAAATTCTAACGTTTCTTTAATGTAAGATTACTGTCTTTAGCCATTTTTTAAACAAATATAAAAATCTGAAGTGAGTTAGTTTATGAATTTTTCTATAGCTCCCTAAATTTATATATAGCTCCTTGGCTTGGAAATTCAAAAATAGGTTTTCTCAGTATGGTCCAAATTAAAATGTATTTTACGACAATATCTAATGCAACATTAGACCTTAATCCTTGTTAATGAAGTTCTTCTCACTTAATAGTGGCATAAAGTAAAATTAGTATCAACTAAATTCTGCATTAAAAATGCAGAGAATACCCATGTTCTGGCATGCAATTTAATCACTACAAAGGAAACTAAAATTTTATTGCAATATTCCTTCTTTGCATCTCATCTTCCAAATTGAATTTCTCTGAAAAAATAAGCTAGATGGAAATATAAAATGTTTTAAAGATTTCCAGGCGCTGGGCATGGTGGCTCATGCCTGTAGTTCTAGCACTTCAAGAGACCAAGGAAGGAAAATCACTTAAGTCCAGGAGTTTGAGACCAACTGGGCAACATACCAAGACATCCAACTCCACAAAAAAAAAAAAATTAAAAAGTTAGCTGGGTGTGGTAGTACATGCCTATAGTCCCAGCTACCTGGGAAGCTGAGGCAGGAGGATCGTTTGAGCCCACGGGTTTGAGGCTGCAGTAAGCCACGATCTCACAACTACCTCCAGCCTGGGTGACAGAGTGACTTTATCTCTAAAAAAAAAAAAAAAAAAAAAAATTTAAAAAAGATGCACAGGATAAAAGTTACAATATATATCCATATTGTAAAAATATTTTAACAGTTAAAAATAAATATTAAAGTATGGTAAGTTGATTCCTTTCCTCAACCCACCTTGCTGTCAAGGTTCTTCATGGTTAAGAGATCAAGTGTCTTCAGAGAGTGGCCTGTCGGTGAAATGAAGTAGAGACACACATGGATGCGAGAATCATGGTAGGTAAAGAGAGAACGCTTAATCTTCAGTTCTTCTTGGAGATAGGCCTCAAACTGAGCATCTATGTAGTCAACTATTGGTTGGTAGCTGAAAAATTATTTAAATGTTTAATACAACATTATTTGTGCTACCTTAAGATATCTGTGCAACTCTTAGAAGTTTGAGGTCTATATTTTCACTAATTAATAAACAGTTAATATCTATGCTGAACAGATTAACTTTAGTGATAAAAAAATGTGCAGAACATGCGCAAAAGCTATACAAATGCTTCTCAACTTACAATGGGGTTATATCCTGATAAATCCATCACATAAGTTGAAAATATTAGCTGAAATGCATTTCATATCCCAATAAACCTATCATAAAGTTGAGAAATCCTAAGTCAAACTATCCTAAATTCAGTATCATTTGTACTTCCGAAACCATCAGGGCAATCTGTGCTTGAAATGGTATTGAATTTACACTGATTCATTCTCATAGTCATTCACATGCTGGGTCCCTTTCTGACAAAGCTTCCCACACTTGCCAGACTGCTCGAAGGGGCTGGCAGCAGTCTAATTTGTAATTACTGGTACCTGGCTTATTATTTAACTAACTGAGAAAATGCATAGGCATCAATAACTCAAAAGACATTTAAGTCAAAGTCCATGACTCTTTGCCTCTTAGATTTATAAGGCACAAAAAGCCTAAGTAAAGAAGAAAGGCATACATCAGTATCTAACTAGTAATGGTGGCACGTTTTTATTTTTATTTAATTATAAACAAAGGAAAGGCCAATTACATCCTCTACTCAGGTAACTCCTCCCTGGAAATGCAGTCTTCCTTCTGGCTATCTCAGGTTATTCAGCCTTCAAGATGCAAATCAAATCACAGTGCATGTGCAGAGCAGTGTGCTAATGCTGTTCCAAGAATGGTGTGTGAGCATTCCATTCAGTTCTGATATGATAAACCACTGCCTTTGCAATTCACTTTTCTACTCTTAACTATTCTCATTAAACAAATCTGGGTTTCCAAGTGAAAATAACAGCAAACAGTTCCCATGTCAAATTCCCTGGAAACCTTTGTAATTATCTTTCTAGCCCTATAATGAACCAGTACCTTGAGCAGCTGAGGTACTTAATAAATGTGTACAAAATTAAATTCTTCTATAAAGTTGCCCGACCTTTTAGTCCTTGAGGATCATCACCTCTTTTAAAATTATAGAATACACATTGTTCTCCCTATGCAAATGGTAAACAATGTGAGGACTGAGACAGTATCTTATACATCTGTATTTTCCACCAGAACTAGCATAGGCCAGGCTCAGTGGCTCACATCTGTAATCCTAGTTGTTTGGGAGACCAAGGCAGGAGGATCACTTGAGGCCAGGAGTTCAAGAACAGCCTGGACAACAACACAGCGAGACCCCCATCTCTACTAAAAAACTTTAAAAATCAGCCAGGCATTGTGAGGTGCCTATAGTCCTAGCTACTTGAGAGGCTAAGGCAGGCAGATCCTTTAAGCCCAGAAATTCAAAGCTGCAGTGAGCTGTGATTGTGCCACTGCACACCAGCCTAGGTGACAACGCAAGATTGTTTTAAATGAATTAAATATATATATATATAGACAGGGTCTCGTTGTGTTGCCCGGGCTGGTCTTGAACTCCTGGCCTTAAGCAATCATCCTGCCTTGGCCTCCCAAAGCGCTGGGATGACAGGCGTGAGCCACCACACCCGGCCTCAAAAAATGATATTTTTTTTAATAAGTAAATAAATAAAAGAAATAGCATAAAACCTTGAACATTACAAGAATTCAATTCATCATCAAAGTGATTATTATAACAACAGTTAAGTGATCCTTTGGAAAGTGGTCTAAATGTGACCCAATAGGATTTACTTTCCAAAAAAATAAAATGGGAAAAATTAATCTGTTAAGTATATATTTCACATAAAAATTCCAAAGAAGCTTTTATTAATGACCTGAAATAGGTCAGTAAGAGGACCTATTATATGACCTAAATAACCATAAATGTACCTCTATCTGAATGTTTTGTCTTATGCTATTCAAGCATGAAAACCGTAAAGATTTTCTGCTAAATAAATAATATGCCATTCTTTCATACTCTGGACAAAAAGATAAAAAATATGAATCAGAGCGATTAAGAGTAAAAGACACAGAAGATATAATGAGAAGATCTAACATATATTTCATCAAAGTTTTCAAAGGAAAAAAACAGAAAAGAGGGCAGAAGCAATATTTACAGAAGAAATGTCTGAGATTTTTTAAAAAGAACTGACGGACACACTATTCAGAGTCAAGAACTCAAACATATCACAAGCAGGGTAAATTAGAAATAATAAAAACCCAGGTACAGCATAGCAAAACTGGATAACAATAAAAACAAAGATCTTAAAAGCATTAGAGGAAAAAAAGGAGAGGACCCTTAAGGGAGACTTCTTAATAGCAAAGATAGAAGCCAGGAGAGAGTGGAATGATATTTCCAATGGAAGAAAGAAAATAACTGGCAACCCAGAATTGTACATCCAACTAAAATTTCAAGTATGTGAGCGACACAGAAATTTTTGGTTAATAGATGGTAATAAACATATACTGGCCATATAATAATACCTCGTGTAGTTAAAAAATAGAGAACTCGGCCGGGCATGGTGGCTCACTGTAATTCCAGCACTTTGGGAGGTCAAGGCTGGAGGATCACCTGAGGTCAGGAGTTCGAGACCAGCCTGGCCAACATGGTGAAACCCTGTCTCTGCAAAAACACAAAAATTAGCTGGGCATGATGGCAGGTGCCTGTATCCCAGGTACTCAGGAGGCTGAGGCAGGAGAACTGCTGGAGTGCAGGAGGTGGAGGTTGCAGTGAGCCGAGATCGCGCCATTGCATTCTAGCCTCAGTGACAGAGTGAGACTCCACCTCAAAATTTAAAAAAAAAAAAAAGAAAAAGAAAGAGAGAACTCGGTCGGATAGTGGCTCACGCCTGCAATCCCAGCACTTTGGGAGGCCAAGGTGAGAAGATCGCTTGAGGCCAGGAGTTTGAAATCAGCCTGGCCAACATGGCAAAATCCCATCTCCACTAAAAATACAAAAATTAGCCAGGTGGGGTGGTGTGTGACTGCAGTACCAGCTACACAGGAGGCTGAGGCTTAAGAATCACTTGAACCCAGGAGGGGGAGGTTACAGTGAGCCGAGATTGCACCACTGCACTTAAGCCTGGGTGACGAAGTGAGACTTTGTCTCAAAAAAAAAAAAAAAAAAAAAAGAGTTAATATATAATAGCAATCAGGAGAAGCGGTTAAATGAAATTTAACTGTTCTAAATTTCATTTCATTGTCTATTTGTATTATCAATGAGAAGTATAAACACTCATCTTCAACTTTAAGTGAAAGATTATGTGTGATAATGTGTAAGAGAACCACTATAAGCATAGAAATCAGGCAAGAAAGGAAAAATAAATATAGAACTGGCAGGACAAACAGGAAACACAAAAAAGATGGTAGATTTAAACCTAAATATGTCGGTAATTACATTAATTTTGAAGGAATTACACGATCAAATAAAGGGTAACCATTGTCAGATTGTGTTTTAAAAGGACAACAATATGCTCAATAAGAAACATGTCTAAAGCACAAGGGCACAGAAAGGTTGAAAGTAAAGGGACTGAAAAACTACACCAAACATACATAGGAAAGCTGCAGACAATACTGACATGGAAGCATTACAAGAGAAAAAAGGTCACTACGTAATAATAAAAGTGTCAATGCTTCAGGATAAAATAAAAATGGAGATTAGAAATCTACTGAAATTGTTGGCCAGGCATGGCAGGCTCATGCCTGTAATCCCAGCACTTTGGGAGGCCGAGGAGGGTGGAATCACCTGAGGTCAGGAGTTCGAGGCCAGTCTGGCCAACAGGGCGAAACCCCATCTCTACTAAAAATACAAAAATTAGCTCGGAGTGCTGGTGGGCACCTGTAATCCCAGCTACTCGGGAGGCTGAGGCCAGGGAATCGCTTGAACCTGGGAGGCGGTGGTTACAGTGAACCGAGATTGTGCCACTGCACTCTAGCCTGGCCAACAAAGTGAGATTCCACCTCAAAAAAGAAAAAAAAAAAGAAATTTACTGAAATTGAAAATACTATGTATCAAACTTGTGGAATGTAGCCTAAGCCACGCTTACAGGGTAGTTTATAATACTAAATGCATAAGGCTGAAAATCAATGAGAAATTGGAACAAAACTCCAAAAGTACAGACGTAAGAGCAGAAAGTAATGAAACAGGAAAAAAGAAAAGCATAAAACTGAAAGGATCAATACAGCCAAAATTTGGTATTTGAAAAGATTAAATAAATTGACAACACTTTGTCAAGACTAATCAATCAGAAAAAGAAAAGCAGCACAAACAACTATTATCAGGAAAGACAGAATATCATTACAGATGATGAAGACAATAAAAAGATATTAAGAGTACATTATCAATATATTTAAACCAGTAATTTGAAACTTTAGATGAAATGGACAGATTCCTGGAAAATTATAACTTACAAAACTGTCTCTCAACAAAGTAAAACCAACTCTGAATTGTCCTATAATCATTTTTTAAAAATTAAACTCAAAATCTTCTTAGAAAACCCCAGGCACTGATTTTTTTTATTGGTTAAGTTCCATCAAATATTCCAGGGAAAAATAACTCTGATCTTGTAACTCCAGGCCCTCCTTTTTTTTTTTTTTTGAGATGGAGTTTCGCTCTTGTTGACCAGGCTTGAGTGTAATGGCCCAATCTTGGCTCACTGCAAACTCTGCCTCCTGGGTTCAAGTGGTTCTCCTGCCTCAGCCTCCTGAGTAGCTGGGATTACAGGCGCCTGCCACCACGCCTGGCTAATTTTTGTATTTTGGTAGAGACGGGGTTTCACCATGCTGGTCAGGCTGGTCTCAAACTCCTGACCTCAGGTGATCCACCCACCTTGGCCTCCCAAAGTGCTGGGATTACAGGCATGAGCCACCACGCCCAGCCAGGCCCTGATTTTCATTGGTTAGTTCTACCAAACATTCCAGGGAAAAATAACTCTAATCTTATGCAAATTTTTCCAGAAAATAGAGAATGAAAACTCCTTAAACTCCTTTTAGAAGGCTAACACAATCTTGATTTAAAATAAATAAATAAATAAAAGGCCAGGCGCAGTGGCTCATGCCTGTAATCCCAGCACTTTGGGAAGCTAAGGCGTGTGGATCACCTGAGGTCAGGAGTTTGAGACCAGCCTGGCCTACATGGTGAAACCCTGTCTCTACTAAAAATACAAAAATTAGCTGGGCGTGGTGGCAGGCGCCTGTAATCCCAGCTACTCGGGAGGCTGAGGCAGGAGAATCGTCTGAACCTGAGAGATGGAGGTTGCAATGAGCCTAGATCGCACCACTGCACTCCAGCCTGGGCGACAAGAGTGAAGTTCCATCTTAAAAAAAGAGTATAAGACAAGAATACAGGCTAAAAAAACTTCACTGATGAACACAGATGCAAAAAAAAACTAAAAGAAAAATATAGCATAATATAAAAAGAACACTATATTATGATCTCAGAATGGTATCTAAAATTATAAGGTTAATTTGCCAATAAAAAAATCAGTTACTCTAACTCACCTTACTAAAGATTAAATGAAAGAAGTCACAATTTCTCCATAAAATGCAAAAAAAAAAAAAAAATCTGGTGAAAGCATATATTAATGATTCTTTAAAAAAAGAACTTTTACTAATAATATAAAGGAATTTCTTTATTTTATCTAAAACAAAACCCAAAACCAACCAAATAAACAAAAAAACCACAACAAAGCAAGCATGGTACATGGTAAAAAATAAAGCTTTCTCTTTGGGATTAGGATGATGAGGGGATGGTGCCCACTACCATCACTGACTATCCTACAAAATACTGCAGGTCCTACCCAGTACAGTCCAGCATTAACAATGAAAGAAAGAAAAATAAAGCCTGTCTTCAGTCATGATAGAGGAACTGGGACTGGATTTATCTTCTCACCTTAAATAACTAGAAACCTGAACAAAATAAATGAAAAAAAGGTTTTAAAACACTGGGAAACAGGCAGTATAAAACTGTGACCACTGAAAAAGGAAATAAATGCCCTCTTTTATGAGCCCTACCATGTCCCAGCTTCCTGACTGGGGACAAGTGTCCCGGGCAGAGCGCAAAGACAGCACAGCGCCTGGCCATTCACTGAGTTGAGGAAACCCAGACAGGAGTTCAAGGAGGCAAAAGCAACATCTGTAGGTTGGAACAGAAGAGAAGAAAGCTGCACAGGCAGGAAGCACTGCACATCTGGAGAGGGCCCCCAAGTCCCTGGCTAAAGAATAATATGCATATGCAGGACAGCAAAATACCCATGACTACGGCCATTTCCTATATTAGAGCTATGCTAGTGGTTACAACATGCTATATGCTTCTGAAAATTCATTTTGAATGTACACTTAAAATCAGTAAAGTTAGGCCGGGAGAGGTGGCTCACGCCTGTAATCCCAGCACTTTGGGAGGCTGAGGTGGGCAGATCACCTGAGGTCAGGAGTTCAACACCAGCCTGACCAACATGGTGAAACCCCGTCTCTACTTTTGCAAAAATTAGCCGGGTGTCATAGCGGGCACCTGTAATCCCAGCTGTTTGGGAGGCTGAGGCTTGAGAATCACCTGAACCCAGGAGGCGGAGGTTGCAGTGAGCCGAGATTGCGCCACTGCACTCCTGCCTAGGCGACAGAGTGAGACCCTGTCTCAAAAAAAAAAACAAAAAAAATCAGTAAAGTTTATTCTATGTACAGTATATATTAATAAAGCTTATTTAAAAAGAACTAAAGAAAGGTCTGGGAAAAAAAAAAAACCTATTTCAGAGCAGTGGCTCCTCTGGGGGAAGAAATGGGACTGAACACACGGGAATGGCTAAAGTGCATTCCAACTGATCTGTACCATTTGGTATTTTCACAGAATCGTATTTATATACTGCTTCATTAATTGATAGAATACAAACAATCCAACAAATAAGTTAATGAGAAAAAACAAGTTATAAAATAGGCAAAAGATGAAAGCATTCCCCTTGAGAACTGAAACAAGATATGCCTGAGCTCACCATTCTTATTTCACACAGTACTTGAAAGTCCTGGCCAGAGAAGTCAGGCAAGAGACAGAAATAAAAGGCATCCAAATAGGAAAAGAAAAAGTCAAATTATCTCTCTGCAGACAATATAATTTCATACCTAGACAACTCTAAAGACTCCGCCAAATGGCTCCTGAACTGATATACAACTTCAGTGAAGTTTCAAGATGCAAAACCAATGTACAAAAATCAGCAGCATTTCTGTATATCAATAATGGTCAAGCTGAGAGCCGTATCAAGAACACAATGCCATGTACAACAGACACACACACACACACACACACACACACACACACACACTCACTCTCACGCAAAAACCTAGGAATATATCTAACCAAGGAGGTGAAAGGTATCTGCAAAGAGAACTACAAAACACTGCTGAAAGAAATCACAGATGACACCGACAAACTGAAAAAATGCTCATGGAATCAATATAGTTGGAAGAATCAATATAGTTAAAACGGCCATACTACCCAAAGCAATCTACAGACTCAACGCTATTGCTGTTTTTTTGTTTTGTTTTTGAGAAGGTATCACTCTGTCCACCCAGGCTGGAAGGGCAGTGGCATGATCACGGCTCACTGCAGCTTCGACTTCCCAGGCTCAAGTGATAGTCCCACTTCAGCCTCCCGAGTAGCTGGCAGTATAGGTGCCCACCAACATGCCTGGTTAATTTTTTAAAATTTTTTGTAGAGACGAGGTCCCACCATGTTGCCCAGGCTAGTCTCAAGACTCCTGAGCAAGCGATCCTCTCTCCTTGACCTCCCAGAGTGCTAGGATTACAGGCGTAAGGCACCACAACTGGCCTCAATGCTATTTCTATCAAACTACCAATGTCATTTTTCACAGAATTAGAAAAAACTATTCTAAAATTCATAAAGAAACAAAAAAGAGACTGAATAGCCAAAGCAATACTAAGCAAAAGAACAAAGCCTGAGGAATCACATTACCTGACTTCAAACTATACTATAAGGCTACAGTAACCAAGACAGCATGGTTGTGGTATAAAAACAGACAAATAGACCAATGGAATAGAACAGAGAACCTAGAAATAAAGCCGCACACCTACAGGCATCTGATCTTCAACAAAGCTGACAAAAATAAGCAATGGGGAAAGGACTCTCTATTCAATAAATGGTGCTAGGATAACTGGCTAGCCATATGCAGAAGAATGAAACTGGACCCCTATGTTTTACCATAAACAAAAATTAACTCAAGATGGATTAAAGACTGAAATGTAAGACCTCAAATAAAAGAATCCTGGAAGAAAACCTAGAAAGCACCATGCTGCACATTGGCCTTGGAAAAGAATTTACGATTAAGTCCTGAAAAGCAAATGCAACAAAAACAAAAATTGCCAATTAAACTAAAGAGCTTCTACATAGCAAAACAAACCATCATCAGAGTAAACAGACAACCTACAGAATGGGAGAAAATTTTTACAAACTATGCATCCAACAATAGTCTAGCAGCCAGAATCTGTAAGAAACTAACAACTAAACAAGGAAAAAACAACCCCATTAAAAAGTGGCCAAAAGACATGGACATACAAGCAGCCAACAAACATGACAAAACGCTCAACATAACTCATCATTAGAGAAATGCAAATCAAAACCACAATGAGATACCATCTCACAACAGTCAGAATGGCTATTATTAAAAAGTCAAAACACAACAGATACTGGCGGGGCTGTAGAGAAAAGGAAATGCTTGTACCCTGCTGGTGGGAATGTAAATTAATGCAGCCACTGTGGAAAGCAGTTTGGAGATTTCTCAAAGAACTTAAACCAGAACTACCATTCGACCCAGCTATTCCAACTTGGAATATATCCAAAAGAAAATACCTCATTCTACCAAAAAGACACATGTACTCATATGTTTCATCATAGCTCTATTCACAATAGCAAAGACATGGAATCAACCTAGCTGCCCATCAACGTGGACTGGATAAAACAAGTGTGGTACATACCTACCATGGACTACTACACAGCCATAAAAAAGAACAAAATCAAGTCTTTTGTACCAACATGGATGAAGCTGGAGGCCGTTATCCTAAGCAAATTAACTCAGGAACAAAAAACCAAATACCATATGTTCTCACTTATAAGTAAGTGGGATCTAAACATTGGGTACACATGGATATAAAGATGGCAACAACAGACACTGGGACTACTAGAGTGGGAAGGAAGATACCCGGTAAAGGCTGAAAAACTAACTATTGGTACTATGCTCACTACCTGGGTAATTGGATCACTTGTACCCCAAACCTCAGCATCACACAATATACCCATGTAATAAACCTGCAAATGTACCCCAAATCTAAACGAAAAATTGAAATTATTTTTTAAAAGGAAAAAAATTACTTACAAAAATGGAAATAAGACTGGGCGCAGTTGCTCACGCCTGTAATCCTAGCACTTCGGGAGGCCGAGGTGGGTAGATCACCTGAGGTCAGGAGGTCGAGACCAGCCTGGCCAACAAGGTGAAACCCGTCTCTACTAAAAACACAAAAAAAATTAGGTGTGGTGGCAGGTGCCTGTAATCCTAGCTACTCGGGAGGCTGAGGCAGGATAACCGCTTGAACTGGGGAGGTGGAGGTTGCAGTGAGTCGAAATCATGCCACTGCACTCCAGACTGGGTGACAGAGCGAGACTCTGTCTCAAAAAAAAAAAAAAAAAAAAAAATTGAAACACATTTCAAAAAGGAAAACGAACAAAAAGTTATTGCTTTACCAATCCTTTTCCCCCTTTCATAGTTTAAATTTGATAGAGCATAGAATCTCTACTCAATCTTTATACGACCTTAGGAGAAATATTAAAACAAATAGAGACACAAGGTAAAATATAAATTAAAATTTCACTATCAAAACTTTCCTGCAATGATTAATAATGTAACTGGCTAATTTGATTATAATTTTACAAAAAATTCAAGCATCATGTATTTGGCCATTGTATATATTGTTCTTATATGTCTTGTATTTTTTTTCTTCAAGGAGATAAGCCCTGCCTGAAAATTAGTATAATTAATATACACTGAATTTGCATGTCAGGAAATAATTAAAGCTACTTTTGCTGAAATGCACATTTTAATAAGGTGATTCAAATTATTCTAAAGAAATTAGACAAATGGCTAGAAAAATGTCAATGTGCTAATAAGAACAAAATATTGTTTAATTATTTTATTTTTAAAACAATGTGTGGAAGGAAAGGTATGGATTACCATAGGAGAAAATCAAATCATAGTTCATGGGGCTATAAGGCGAATGTCTTGAAATAAGAAAAACTTGTTTTATTACAAGAAGAAAACACATACCTCTCTTCTTTATTTATTTGGTCACCAAATCCCACTGTATTCACAATGGTCAATTTCAATTGAACATTACTTTCCTGGAGTTCATATGTCTGAGCTTTAAGTTTAACATTTGGGCAAAAATGTGAGGATTCATAGTCTTCAAAATTAGTATTAAACAATGTGTCAATCAGTGTTGATTTTCCAATTCCAGTTTCCCCTGAAACACACAAAGGTACATCTTTATGGTTGCATGAATGGCTGAAAAGAAATACAACTGTAAATGCCTAGAGTGGTTTCAAAGATCCCAAATATTTCAAAGGCCAGGGTGCGCATGAAAGAAATACACACTACGGCTGGTCCCCCAAGTCATTAGCAGAGCATAGAGTAAGTGTGCTAAGCTACTCAGGACTCTGACAACAACACTGAGATGTTTATATAACAAGCCAAAAGCTTAAAGCTAAGAAAAACAAAACTAACAGAATCTAAACAACTAAAGAGAATCCCTGGGATCATGATTTCAAATTGATAACATGAGCATTGTTCTGCCCATGACAAGAATGAAGTGAGCACAAGGAATATGAAGGAACAACTTAGAGGAAGAGTAGGTGGCACGTACCCACACAGAGAATATTAAAGCAGAAACCTTGCTGAATGGATCTGTTCACCAGCTGATCAGGCAAACTCTCAAAACCAACATGGCCAGACATAGTCAACGAACGAATGTTTTCTCTTTTCTGAAGGAAAATAAAAACAAAAACAACAGCAATAAAAAAAACAACTTTGACTTAAATAGGATGTAGGCACACTTGAAGGACAAATATATCAAATAAATGAAAATTTTTATAATCATTATACCTCACCTAAGATACAAGCGATTAAGTAAATTTTCAGGAAAAGAAACCTGTGTCCAGATCCTCAAAACATACATTTCTTATCCCCTTCATACAACGAGAGTCTAGCACTATGTATAACATTAAAACATTCGATTTCCAAAATAGGAAAATATCCAACTATGGCATATTCACTTACAAAATAAAAAGTTAAAGTCCATTTGTTTATGATAAAAACTTAGAAAATTCTTACATTAAAATGTCAAGTGAAAAAAAAGCACAAAACAAAAGTACAGATACAGGTTCAGCTCCTGGTAATGGCAGAGTAACTTAGGTCAAACTTACCTGCCTACTGGTAACAATTACAAGCAACCCTTTTAAGTCACTAGAGTGCAACCAAAGGCAGATAGACACTGGACAGAATAAGACTTGAGGGAAGGAAACTTATCAGGTGAGATGAGTTTATCTAGCTTTTTCCCTGAAGGCACTCCCTAGTCATTATGGCAAAAGGAAGATAGAGCTCAGGAGGGAAGTTATAGTCTTAATGGGTTAAGATGTCCATTGGAGATTGGGGCAGGCAGATTGGTTGGGAATTCAGGGAGAAAATTCCAGAAAGAAGGGAGTCCAAAATCTACAAACACACTCCACTCAAATCCATGGCTGATGGCCAAACTGCACACATACAGAGGGAATACAAAGATCCCAGAAGGGGGAAAATGGGAATTGGGAGGAGCTATGCAGAGTTTTCAAGTGCCATCTTGGAGAGATGGACAGAGCTTAAATTTTAAGCCTGTAAGTTAAAGAGTCTCCTGTAAACACCCTAGGCCTTCTACTGAAACCCTAGATGGGCCACATTTTAGGAGTAAGGTCCATAACTCAGCAATCAGAAAGCACAGCTGAAGCAGACCTGCCTTAACAAAGCCTGTAACAAGGCTCAACATGATCAATGTGATCAGTCAGCAATTTAATTGCCTGTTAGAACAAAGTTCAAGACTCTGCAGAAGAAGAAAACAGAATCTAGCATCTCTACAGTATCTACTATACAATAAAAAAATTATGACAGGAAAAAAACAGAAAAATGTGATTCACAGTCAAGAAAGAAAGTCAACAGAAAGAGAGCCACAATGAACCAGATGTTTAATTAGCAGGTAAGAACTTTAAATAATGATAACAAATATGCTAAAGAATCTACAGGAAAAAGATGGATATAATGGGTGGCATGACGGGGAATTACAGAAAGATATGAAAGAGCTCGCAACGACAAAAAGCAGCAGACAGAATTTCTAGAATGTAAAAATGCAACATCTGAAGTAAAAAATATATTTAGTACTAACAGCAGATCAAATAATGGAAGACAGATTTGTTCAATAGTTATTATCCAAGCTAAAAATCTCACAGAAAGAAAAAAGATAAAACTATGACAGTCTTAAAAACTTGTGTGAGAGTATCAAATGATCTAACATACCAGTAATTGGAATACAAGGAGAAAAGTTAGAGAAAGAGAGAAGGTGAAAGTGGGGGGTAGGAGGGAGGGAAAAAAATATCTAAATAATAGTGACTGAAAACTTTCTAATTTTCTAAACTTGAACTCAGAGATACAAGAATTTCAGCAAACTACAAACAGGAAATATCCAAAGGAACTCACATCTAGGGACATCACAGCAAACTGCTAAAAAACAAGGATAATGAAAACTTTAGGCCTGGTGTGGTGGCTCACGCCTGTAATCCCAGCACTTTGGGAGGCCGAGGCGGGTGGATAACAAGGTCAGGAGATTGAGACCATCCTGGCTAACACGGTGAAACCCTGTGTCTACTAAAAATACAAAAAATTAGCCAGGTGTGGTGGCACGCACCTGTAGTCCCAGCTACTCAGGAGGCTGAGGCAGGAGAATCGCTTGAACCTGGGAGGTGGAGGTTGCAGTGAGCTGAGATCGCACCACTGCACTCCAGCCTGGGTGACAGAGCAAGACTCCATCTCCAAAAAAAAAAACAAAAACAAACACACACAAAAATTACCCGGGCGTGGTGGCACCTATAATCCCAGCTGCTCAGGAGGCTGAGGTGGGAGGATCACTTAAACTCAGAAGGCGGACATTGCAGTGAGCTACAGATGTTGCTTAAGAAACAATGCAAACCAGAAGACAAAACAATGACCCCTATAAAATGCCCCCCGCCAAAAAAAAAAGACATCGTAGAATTCTACAGCCAATGAAAACATCCTTCAAAAATGAAGGCAAAATGAAGACAACTTCAGATAAACAAAATCTGAGAAAATCCACTGCCAGTTGGCCCACAGTATAAAAAATGATCAAAGTTCTTCAAGAGAAAGGAAAATGACAACAGATCTACAAAAAGGAATGAAGATCATCAGAAAGGTAAATATGTGGGTAAATGTAAGAGAGGTTTTTTTTAACTTCTTGAAAATACAAATGTTTAAAGCAGTAACAAAAACAATGTGTTACAGGTTACATGCACAAGTAAAATGTATAAGAAACACAAAATACAGGAGGACTGAAGGAATATTGTTATAAGGTTTCTACAGTATACATAAAGTGTTATATATACAAATTTTTTTTTAAGATGGAGTTTTGCTCTTTCGCCCAGGCTGGAGTGAAGTGGTATGATCTTGGCTCACTGCAACCTCCGCCCCCCAGGTTCAAGGGATTATCCTGCCTCAGCCTCACGAGTAGCTGGGATAATAGGCGCCCACCACGCCTGGCTAATTTTTGTATTTTTAATAGAGATGGGGTTTCACCGTGTTGGCCAGGCTGGTCTCAAACTCCTGACCTCAGGTGATCCACTTGCCTCAGCTTCTCAAAGTGCTAGGATTACAGGCGTGAGCCACCATGCCAGGCTAAAATATTATATTATTTGAAGGTTGGGTGTGGTAAGTTAAAGCCTAGGTCAATTACTATTAAAAAAAAAAAAAAAAAAGCGAAAGAGGTATAGCTAATAAGCCAAAAGCAGAAATGAAATTGAGTCATAAAAATTCTCTATTAATCCAAAAGAAGGTAGGAAAGAAGAAAATGAAAGGACAATGGCACATATAGAAAATTAGTTATCAAGAAAATGTAAAATGTCCACCTCCCGAGTTTAAGTGATTCTTCCACCTCAGCCTCTGGAGTAGTTGGGATTATAGGCGCCACCACGCCTGGGTAATTTTTGTGGTTTTTTTGTTTGTTTGTTTGTTGTTGTTGGTTTGTTTTGTTTTTTGTTTTTCTTTTTTGAGATGGAGTCTCACTCTGTCACCCAGGCTGGAGTGCAGTCGTGCGACCTTGGCACACCGCAACCTCCACCTCCCAGGTTCAAGTGGTCAGGTCAGGTGCGGTGGCTCATGCCTATAATCTCAGCACTTTAGGAGGCCAAGGCAGGCAGGTTACTTGAGGCCAGGAGTTTGAAACCAACCTGGCCAGCATGACAAAACCCCATCTCTACCAGAAATACAAAAATAGCTGGGCATGGTGGTGCATGCCTGTAGTCCCAGCTACTCCGGAGGCTACAGCATGAGAACCGCTTGAACCTGAGGCGGAAGTTGCAGTGAGCCAAGATCCTGCCACTGTGCTCCAGCCTGGAAGACAGAGCAAGACTCTGTCTCAAAAAAATTAATAAAAATAAAAATAAATAAAAAGTAACATTGAATATCCAATAAAACAGCTAAAATTAAAAGGCTGAACATGTCAAGTGTTGGAGATAATGAAGAAATGGAATGCTGATAAATTTGCTAGTCTGCAAAATGGTACAGTTGCTTTGGAAACTAGCTTGGCAGTTTCCTATGAAGTTAAACACATATTATTATATAGCCAAAAAAAACCCGCTTGGAGGTATCCAAAATAATGAAAACATATGTCCACCCAAGAACTTATGCATCAATGTTCACAGCAGTTTTATTCCCAATGGTCAAAAACTGGAAAGATTCCAAATATCAAACAAGTGGTGAATAGATAAACAAACTGTAGTATACTAAACTACTGATACGTGTCACAACATGGATGACTAGCTAGGTATCCCAATAGTGATTTATTTACTGAGGTCAGAGTTTTTAAAAATATGCATTATGTGCATTTTTCACATAATCATATATATATATACACACACATATATACACACATATATATGTGTGTGTATATATATACACACACATATATATGTATATATATACACACATATATATGTATGTATATATATACACACATACAGATGTAAATATCTCGAAGGGTAATGACAGACTATTGAGAGTGGTTACCAGTCAGCAGTAGACTTACAGGTTGGGGTGAGAAGAAATCGCTTTTTATTGTATATGGTTGGCAGAATTCTCAGATGGTCGCTAACACCGATGCCCCTGGTGCACACAAACTTTCTCCCAGTTATTAAATCAAACGCTAACCTAGGTGTCTCTGAGAAGAGATTTTACAGAGTGATTAAGGTCCCAAACCAGTCAGTCTTCGGAAGGGAGACTATCCTGGTTGGGCCTGACCTAATGAGGTAAATCCTTTTTTTTTTTCCTTTTTTCTTTTGAGACAGAGTTTTTGCTCTGTTGCCCAGGCTAGAGTGCAATGATGTGGTCTCAGCTCACTGCAACCTCTGCCTCCTGGGTTCAAATGATTCTCCTGCCTCAGCCTCTCGAGCAGCTAGGATTATAGGTGCTTGCCACCACAGCTGACTAATTTTTGTATTTTTAGTAGAGACAAGGTTTCACGTCGGTCAGGCTGGTCTCGAACTCTTGACCTCAGGTGATCCACTCGTCTGGGCCTCCCAAAGTGCTAGGATTACAGGTGTGAGCCATTATGCCCAGCCATGAGGTAAATCCTTAACAGGGCCTGGGCACTTCCTGGCCAAAGACATGAAGCATGAAGAGAACTCCACCTGCCAGTTCTCCCTTGCTGGCTTTCAGAATGGAGTGGTCTCTAGGAGCTGACAACAACCCCCAGCCAGCAGGGAACTGAATTCTGCCAACAACCAGAAAGAGTATGGAAGGAAAGCCTCCAGATAAGAACCCAGCAGCTGACCCCTTGAGTATGAAACCCAGAGCAGAGAAGGAAGATGGGCCACGTCTGGCCTTTGACCTATAGAACTGAGAGCTAACAAACAGATGCCGTTTTAAGCCGCTAAATTTGTGACGATTTGTTATGCAGCAACAGAAAACTAGTACACTATATTCTCTTTTGTGCCATTTGAATCATTTTTAGTCATGTAAGCATGTTATCTTCATATTTTTTTAAAGAGCACTGAAGAAGCACTAGGCTTCTTCCTCGTGAAAGTGTTCAAGATGGTAAGAACTTCATAACTTGTTAAAGTTGTTATCTGATAGGCATATGCTTATTACATAAAAGTTGAACTAAATGGCCTCTAGGATCCCTTCTAGTTTAGTTCTACAATGACAGGATTTTAATGTCACTGGAAAAAAGCATTTCAAAAATGAGGGTGTGGTCCCCATGATGTAACACAAAAGAGGGGCCAGGGAAAAAGAAACCAAGCAACAGCCACTGGATGGACTAGTCACTAAAGATTACTAGTGACTCTGACAGTAATCTCTGGAGGATTAAACATCATTCAAAAAGTCTGTGAGGAAGATGGAATAGACTGTTAGTACCATTGATATATGGAGAAAGAGGGAAAAACAAGAGACTACAGTTATTGGAGCACAGAACTAAAGGAAATTATTTAATCTTACTGAATTACTGGCCAGGTGTGGTGGCTCACGTCTGTAATCCAAGTGCTTTGGGAGGCGGAGGCAGATGGATCACTTGAGGCCAGGAGTTCAAGACCAGCCTGGCCAACACGAGCAAAACCCCGTCTCTAGTAACAATACAAAAATTGGCCGAGTGTGGTGGCACATGCCTATAATCATAGCTATTTGGGGGGCTGAGGCATGAGAATTGCTTGAACCTGGGAGGTGTAGGTTGAGTGAGCCGAGATTGCACCACTGCACTCCAGCCTGGGCAACAGAGTGAGCAAGACCCTGTCTCAAAAACAAACAAAATAAAAAACAACTTACTGAATTACCTATGTTTGTATTTGTAATTTTCTTTCTAGTTACTCACCTCTTTCACCAGATTTACTTCCTATTTTTAAATACAAATTTCAATATGAATTACCAAACCCCTCCCCACAGACCCTTAGAAGCATAAGGTGTAATCTTGCATCAGGGAGGCAGCTGGCAGGACCACCCAAGGGCTCCCTAAACTCTGCCATTCACAGGAGTTCTATGCACCCACCACATTCTGCAGTGTGCTCAAAAAACAAATAACGGCCGGGCGTGGTGGCTCACGCCTGTAATCCTAGCACTTTGGGAGGCTGAGGGAGGCAAATCACTTGAGGCCAGGAGTTCGAGACCAGCCTGGGCAACCTGGCAAAACCCCGTCTCTACTAAAAATACAAAAATTAGCCAGGTGTGGTGGCACACACCTGTAATCCCAGCTACTTGGAAGGCTGAGGCATGAGAATTGCTTGAACCCGGGAGGCAGAGGTTGCAGTAAGCTGAGATTGCACCATCGCATTCCAGCCTGGGCGACAGAGCAAAGCTCTGTCTCAAAAAACAAAAACAAACAACGAATGATAAAAAGAAATAGGGCTGGGCGCAGTGGCCTGTAATCCTAGCACTTTGGGAGGCTGAGGTGGGCAGATCACTTGAGGTCAGGAGTTCAAAACTAGCCTACCAACATGGTGAAACCCCATCTCTACTAAAATACAAAAAAGTTAGCCGGACGTGGTGGTGGTCACCTGTGATCCCAGCTACTCGGGAGGCTGAGACAAGAGAATCGCTTGAACCCGGGAGGCAGAGGTTGCAGTGAGCCGAGATCATGCCACTCCACTCCAGCCTGGGCGACAGAGCAAGACTCTGTCTAAAAAAAAAAAAGGAAACGAAAAAAGAAACAGAAAAAAAAATTTCCTTAATGTCAGAATATTGTGGATACTCAATTAAGAATATTGTGGATACTCAATTATTCAATCCATCATCGACTTTTCACTTGAATCAACAGAAAAATTAATTCACGTTGGAGGTAAGTACAAACAGAAGTCTCTATCACAAGAGTCTATAAGCACTCCAAGTAGTTATTTTAAAATCATAGAAGCATTTAGAGTACAATATGGTATCTATTTAAAAGACATACTCACTATCTGTTCATCATCTGATCCTTGTGAAGACATACAAGTTGTTTTCGTTGCCATGTGAGACTGAAAGAGCTAAAAAAGGAATACAAAGGCTTAAAAGGAAACAGAAACATTACTCCCCAAACCCCATTATCTGAATAATATATTTACATGAATAAGGTGTTATAATAATGTTGTTATCACCAAGTTTTGATGTGTAGTCTACATTATTGAATCGTGTTTGAAATTGTGGCTTTCTTGCTGGATAGGTATCTACATAAGTAAATTACATATAATATTCAACATATACAGTAATATACTTGCACACAAAAAAATTTTATGAAATTAGTAAACTTCCATTTACAAGTAGAGAGAGAAAGAACTTTTTTTTTTTTTTGAGACGGCATCTTGCTCTGTCACCCAGACTGGAGTGCAATGGCATGATCTCGGCTCACTGCAACCTCCGTCTCCCAGGTTTAAGTGATTCTCCTGCCTCAGCCTCCTGAGTAGCTGGGATTACATGTGCACGCCACCATGCCTGGCTAATTTTTGTATTTTTAGCAGAGACGGGGTTTCACCATGTTGGTCAGGCTGGTCTCGAACTTCTGACCTCGTGATTGGCCTGCCTCGGCCTCCCAGAGTGCTAGGATTACAGGCATGAGCCACCACGCCTGGCCTTTTCATTTTTAAAGATACTCTAAGAGCCAAGAAGTCCCTCAAAATCAGGTATGTTCCACTGCAGCGTGTCAGAGGAAATACAAATGTCAAGAATGCTACAATTGTGGTGTGGTGGGGAAAGCAGGGATTTTATAATTTGAACAAGTACCTTAGTCACTAAAATAATCATTTATAGAACTCATATTACACGTCCATATCACTATGCTAGCTCATTAAGTTTATTTTCTTATTTAATCCTTACAATACATCTGAGCTATACATATTAACATTCCCACAGCCTAGATGAAAAAATTCAGATTCTGAAAGGTTGAGTAATTTACCCAAAATCATACAAGCCAGTAGTGTATAGACACAGGTCTGATTTGACTGCCAAACTGGTGTTCCTTCTACTGCCTCAAGTTGTAAACCAAATGGATATTCACTGTTCGCAACAGTAGAGAATGAGGGAAGAGAGGTACAAGAAAAACTGTACTAATTCCAAGGTACTGCTATCCTACTTCTGAATACAGCACAAGATAATGAGGAAATGTCACATTATTTAAAAAACAATATTAATATGAATGTGGTAAAAAAAAAATTGCAAATGGTGTCAATGAGAATACAGTGCACAATTACTCCCTTCCCACTCTTGATTCTCTAATAGCTCAGCGCTCTTCCCGAGAGGCACCAGACCCTTACGCATCCTTCCAGAGAGAGGCTGTGCATGTCTAAGCAGGCCTCCTTTGTTTATATAAATGGTAGCTGTCTACTGCTCTGCACTGTGGTTTTTTTTTGCTGAATCTCTCCTGGAGACTGTTTCGCAGTAGTATTTAGATCTACCTCATTCTTTCTACAGCACAGTGTTCTCCTCTGTATACTACAGTGTGGTGTATACATATCGACGCTCTTCATTGAGACTGTCCTCTCCTCTGCAATTACAATGAACCATGCTGCAACAAACGGCATTGCAATGAAAGAGAGAACCTGGGTGCTCCCACCACCTCACCGTGATCCTCTGTGCGGGCGCGTGCACGCATGCGCATGCACACACGCACATGCACACACACACACATACACAGTGAATAAATCTTACAGAGACAAAATAGTGTACATCGTGACTAAATTTCATATATGCTAACAACAATCTTTTGCTGGTACATTTTGATAAAATAGGCTGACCTTGTGACTGAACACTCCGAATAACAATGTGTTTTTTTTTTTTGAGACAGAGTCTCACTCCGTCACCCAGGCTGGAGTGCAGGGGTGCAATCTCAGCTATTGCAACCTCTGCCTCCTGGATTCAAGCGATCCTCCTGCCTCAGCCTCCCGAGCAGCTGGGATTACCGGCAAGCACCACCACGCCTGGCTTATGTTTGTATTTTTAGTAGAGATGGGGTTTTGCCACGTTGGCCGGGGTGGTCTCAAACTCCTGAACTCAAGCGATCCTACCGCCTTGGCCTCCCAAAGTGCTGGGATTACAGGCCTGAGCCCCCACGCCCAGCCAACAGTGTTTTCAAATCCTAAGTTTTTCCAACACAAAATGACACTTGTCAGTTGGAAGATGCTCCTATTTAAAAGCACGCAAAAGCTCAGTGAGGGACACAACGGTTCTGATTGTGTTTTTACAATCTAAAAGGCAAAAAGTATGTAAATGATACAAAGCACATCAGAGACTAGCCTGATTTTAATACCTGGCTTCAGGCTTTAGCTTTTAACTACACATATACTTCACTTACACCCTGCCATTCTGAAAGGCCCCCCAGTCCCAGTCATCATGTGGTACCTAAGCAGTATCACGTCCCTCTAGTCTGTAGGACAGAAACAAAGTGAGAGCCCCTGGAAACAAACAGTGGTGGTTACAGAAATTTGGAGAAATTAGAGATCACTGAAGGCAGGAGTCAAAGAAGAAAATGACTTTGAAGTGAGTCAGGAAAGAGGTATAAATCTAGATGAGAAATTTAAGGTAGAAAAAAAATCCCTAAACACCAGAAGGCAGAATTTCGTACTTGGAGAAAGTACAGTAAGTGTAAGAATTTGAAGGAAAAAACGAACAGATTAGAGACAATACCTGAGTGGCAGACTGAGTAAACCAGAAATGTCCATTTAGAGTCTGACTTTCTGCTAAAGGCTAAGTGCCACAGATAATATCTGGCTAGGGGCCCTGGTCAGAGCTCTGCATTAGACACAATGAGGAGGAGGGTAGAACATTCCATGCTTGTCGTTAATTCCGGACCTAACATACTACCTGCTTGCCTCTCAGCATCTGTGTCTACTATAAGTGATGCACAACACATATAATTCACTGAGGCTATATTATTTTGACTTGTCAAGTATAGAACTTTAAGTTTAATATTTATTTTATTTTAGAGAAAAGATCTCCCACTATTGCTTAAGCTAGAGTGCAGTGGTGCGATCACAGCTCGCTGCAGCCTCAACCTCCTGGGCTCAGGCGATCCTCCCACCTCAGTTTCCGAAACAGCTGGGCCTACAGGCATGCACCACCACACCCGGCTGAAAATCAAACTTTAAAAATTACTGGTAAAAAAGTGGTTTTTAGTTTTTAATATAATGATAGCATATCATGAGTTTTGGTGAAATGTTGCTTAGTGTTGATAAGTAAAATTTGCTTAGAAAAAAATTAGAGGCTTTAGGCCAGGCATGGTGTGGCTCACGCCTGTAATTCCAGCAGTTTGGGAGGCCGAGGTGGGTGGATCATGAGGTCAGGAGATCAAGACCATCCTGGCTAACACAGTGAAACCCCGTCTCTACTAAAAATACAAAAAATTAGCCGAGCGTGCTGGCAGGCACCTGTAGTCCCAGCTACTCGGGAGGCTGAGGCAGGAGAATGGCGTGAACCCAGGAGGCAGAGCTTGCAGTGAGCAGAGATCGCGCCGCTGCACTCCAGCCTGGCAGACAGCGAGACTCCATCTCAAAAAAAGAAAAAAAAAAAGAAAAAAATTAGAGGCTTTATACTCATTTGCCATTAAACTTAAATAAAATATAGGTTAAATTTCTGTCATTTATGTAAGTTCATATCAAATATCTGCTTTTGTTTATTCATTTACTGTGTTTCTGAACATTGGCCAAAAAGCCTACTTAAAATCTCAGTGGATAAATGTTTTGATTAGTAAGTTTAAATGAGTCACATTAAAGTAATATGAATAATTATTTCAAATATTTTCCACTAGTACTACTTGGTCAGTTAAATTTCCAAAACAAGTTTAATACTGGAAAAGATTTTCTTAATTTTTTTAAAATTTATTAATTTAGTTATTTTTAAAACAGGTTCTGGCTCTGTCACCCAAGCTGGAGTGCAGTGGCATGATCTCGACTGACAGCCGAGATCCTCCACCTCCCAAGCTCAAGCTATCCTCCTGCCTCAGCCTCCTAAGTAGATGGGACCACTGGCACATCCCAGCACACTTGGCTAATTTTTTTGTAGAGACGAGATCTCACTCTGTTGCCCAGGCTGGTCTCGAACTCCTGAGCTGAAGCAACTTGTCTGCCTCAGCCTCCCAAAGTGATAGGATTATAGGCATGAGCCACCGTGCCTGGCTGGAAAAGGTTTTTAATAAATTAGCAGGAAAAGTAATAATAGGACAAGAGTTGGCTGAATCCCTCTAATGGCAAACAGAGCTCTGTGTAGGGCTAAGAAACACTAAATTAGAAAAAAATTAAAAATCTGCAAGAATTCTGGCCTGCTCTATTGTTGACCACCCACTTAGTATGTGTAAACCACTCAGCTAGGCTCCGCAGTCTCAACAGTAGTAAGACATGGTCCTGGACCTTGTGACTCTGTCTCAGAGAAACATGAATGCACAATAGGTGACCACAATCTCGTTTCAACGCACAAGGGGGTAAGGAGACTAACCATCTCAAACCACCTTTGACTACACAGTCAATTTGCTTTTCCTGTAGCTTCTATTTTAAAGATACATATATATCACACACACACAAAACCATATATAAATCTACACACCTACTTTCCAAAAGGAAAAATCCCATACAGTAACTTAACTCCTAGCAAGGTCTACCATATACTTTTTAAAAAGTTGTATTATCTATGAATCCTAGAAAGAAGTGCCAGACGTGGGATAGCTGGAGGAAAGTCTGGTGCTGCACCTTTTTTAAAATCTCAGTTTGTGGGATACAGGCAATGTGACAGACACACAATTCATCCTAGGGCCCTTGGGAAATATGGCCTTTTCCTGTCCACCAATTACAGATAAACTTCTGATGCTTCTTTTCCAACAGGCCCCTAGGTAACAATTTTCCTTACCCTGCTGGGAAACATTTCTGAAAATGCCTTACAGCCACCCCTTAAGCAGACCAATGAGCCTCAGGAAACAGAATCCTGACTTAGCTTTATGTTTTTTTGTTTTGTTTTGTTTTTTTTGAGATGGAGTCTTGCTCTCGTTGCCCAGGCTGGAGTGCAATGGCGTGATCTCAGCTCACTGGAACCTCTGCCTTCTGGGTTCAAGCGATTTGTCTGCCTCAGCCTCCCAAGTAGAGTAGCTAGGATTACAGGCATGCACCACCACACCTGGCTAACTTTTGTATTTTTATTAGAGACAGGGTTTCTCCACGTTGGTTAGGCTAGTCTCGAACTCCCAACCTCAGGTGATCCGCCCACCTCAGCCTCCCAAAGTGCTGGGATTATAGGCGTGAGCCACTGCGCCCGGCCCTATAATCACTTGACTTTAACTTCACTTTTCCAAAATTTTTATTATTATAAAGTTAGTCCAAAATATAGAACCAAAGTTTTTAAACTGTCCCTTGGGATTCTATGAGGTCTTTTTTGGCATTCTTTAGGATAATGTGAGCGAGAGCGAGAGAGAACAAAAAGCAAAAAGTGGCCTAAATAATTATCATCGGGAGGCCGGGCGTGGTGGCTCATGCCTGTAATCTCAGCACTTTGGGAGGCTGAGGCAGGTAGATCACTTGAGGTCAGGAGGTCAACACCAGCCTGGCCAACATGGTGAAACCCCATCTCTACTAAAAATACAAAAATTAGCCAGGCATGGCAGTGCATGCCTGTAATCCCAGCTACTCAGGAGGCTAGGTTCAATTAATTTGCTCATTTGTTCCATTTACCAGGAGGCAGGAGAACTGCTTGAACCAGGGAGGCGGAGGTTGCAGTGAGCCCAGATCACACCACTGCACTCCAGCCTGGGTGACAGAGTGAGACTAGGTCTCAAAAAAAAATAAAAATAAAAAAAAAATTATTATCTGGGCCTATTTTATGAGTTTCAGGAGGGTGGGGTATTTGGCTTGAAACAATACTTTGAAAGATTCCACAGACTCATTATTTAAAATCATTTTATAACATCTTCAGGTTAAGGGAAAATTCAAGTTAAAATAAAGTTACAGGTTAACAGTGATCTAAAATTTTCTTAAAACAAGTAGTAACATTCAGTTATTCAAGCTAATGCAGACCACACTGCTAGAAGTGGATGCTTATTACAACCCAGAAAAAAAAGAACTCAAGTGGAGGCCGGGCGCGGTGGCTCACACCTGTAACCCCAGCACTCTGGGAGGCCAAGACCGGTGGATCACTTGAGGTCAGGAGTTTGAGACCAGCCTGGCCAACATGGTGAAACCCTCTCTCTACTAAAAATACAAAAATTAGCCAGGCGTGGTGGTGTGTGCCTGTAATCCCAGTTACTTGGGAGGCTGAGGCAGAAGAACTGCTTGAACTCAGGAGGCGGAGGTTGCAGTGAGCCGAGATTGTGCCACTGCACTCCAGCCTGGGCAAAAGAGCAAGACTCAGTCTCCAAAAAAAAAAAAAAAAAAAGAACTCAAGTGAAATTACCAAGAGTGAGCAAGATAAGGCAGCAGCAAGTTGGCCTCCAGTGTGCATGGCCTGTTTGCATATCCTCCGGAGGGTGTCAGTACAGCAAGGCTTAGGGTTGTCCAATCCCAGCAAAATAGCACCTCCATTATACCATCAAACTCCAACAAATACATCAAAAGTTAAAGGATAACTGCAAATTCTACTTTTTAGTCTCAAAAGATCATCAAGATGGGGAAATTCTTGATAGCAGTTCATATAAAAGAGTTAAGAGTCTCAAGCTTAACAAAAGCTTGCACCATAACAATGACAGTTTAAAATACAAATGCAATCTTATTTTAAAATTACTCCTCCTAATTAGAAATTTATTATAGAAAAAATATCATTTCTAATTTGTGCTGTTTCAGTAACACTGCAATGAATGTTCCAATTTGTGCTATTTTACTAACACTACAACGAACTTCCTCTCATGGCAGCCAAACAGGTGCGCCATTCTGATTCTCCCTTCAAGCAATACCTAGTCCTGTGGCCTACAAAGATTGCAGCTTGCTGACCGTCTCCACCTGTAGAGCCTTTGGAATCTGCTGCAGTATAGACCCAAGACCACTTTCTCCCTAGGCAGCTGGTAGTTGAAGACTGGGCACAGTAGGGATGTCAGGGCTGCCTGGCCCAGACTTTGTCAGATCCACACGGTTCTGCAGCTCTCACTGCTCAATTGGGCTTCCTCCCTTCTTTCCTTGCACGGCTATTAAGATCTGGATCAGGGCCTGAAGGCTTTCTCCCCAGCACCCACATGTCCTGCTTTCTTCCCTCTTCAACTTTCACAGGCAATACTACCCCTGCCCCTCATCTCCAAGAAATCTCCTACACTGCTAGCTCCTCCTACATGTCTGCTTGCAGAATTCCACCCAACTCACCTGTATAACCATCAATTATTCTGTGCATCTGACAATATCTTCATGATAAATTCCTAGAATATAATTCCTGTTCCAAGCATACTGCCAAACTGCCCCTCAAAAAGACTGGACCTACCTGCTTATATTTCTAATATTAGCAATGAGTTGAAAAAAAAAAAAAACCACAAACTGTTTTTCCTCTGCTCTCACACAACACAGGATAATTTTGTGACCAAATGTGGGAAGTTTTTTCCCACCCACCCACCAAGCAATCAGTTTTGTAGTAGACACTAGCTGGGTGCCCTCTAATTTAATTCTGACTTCTCTACTTGGCAATAGAGTGAGATCCCACAGACTGAGGGCTAGTCCCCAAGACTCTGCCCCATTCCCACTCCACCTCTGCTCATCGCCAGCCCCAGGTTATTTTCCAATGCTTCTAACAAATGGCTAGAAATCAGGGTCCCCACAACCCCCATCTCGGGTTCAATTAATTTGTTCATTTGCTCCATTTACCAGTTTATTACAAAGAATATTTTAAAAGATACAAATAAACAGCCAGATAAAGAGATACAAAGCTCAACATGTGGAAGAGTCCCAAGCCCAGGGGCTTCTGTCCCCATGGAGGAGGGTATGCCACCCTCCCAACACATGGATGTGTGTAAGCCTCCATGTGTTTGGCCATCTGCAAGCTCTCTGAACCCAGTCCTTCTTGGTTCTTAAGGAGCCTCCATTATACAGGCATGGTTGATTAACCACTGGTCACTGGTATCAATTAACTTTCAGCCCCTCTCCCTTTCCTAGAGACTGGGGGATGAAACTGAAAGTCCCAACCCTCTAATCTTGCCTTGTTCTTTCTGGTGACCAGCCCCATCCTTAAGCTACCTAGGGGCTGCCAGCCACCAGTCATCTCATTAGCATACAAAAGACATCACTTTGGAAGTTTTAAGGATTTCAGCAGTTGTATGTCAGGGGTCAAAGACCAAATACATATTTCACAATAAACACAAGTGTATAAAAGGGTCCATTTCATTATATATTCATCAGTACAGGGTATTAACAATTTTTAAATTTCTGTCAATTTGACAGGCAAAACTAACATCTTAATTTAACTTCTAGTATTTTAAACATTTTTCAGCTTACTGGCCATTTCTCCTATATTTCCATAAATCACCAATTCATGTTTTCCCACTTGCCTATCAGGGTACTCCTTCTTTGTTTCTCTTATTAGTAAGAGCTGCTGAGTATAACTCTTTGCTTGTCATGTGTATCATAAATATCTTTTCCTGATTTATTACTGACCCTTCCAGTTTTCATAAAGACTAAACTATAAATCTTTTTCTTTACGGCTTCTTCCTTAAATATAAAGCTCAAAATATCTTTCTACACCCTGAAGTTAAAAAAAAAAAAAGCAACTAAATCTTCCTTTATGATGTCTTACAGATTAAGTTTTCTAATACTCTACAAGTTACTTTCTAGCACTGTATGAGTCAAGGAAATATGACTTTTTCCCAATGTTGTTAGCCTACCGCAGCATAAGAGGATTAAGGGACAGCAAAGTATATTCAGTCCGTCATATGGAAATGCGCTTCCCGAGGGAAAAACCAGGACCCATGAATAGACTAGTGAGGCAGATTTTGACACAAGGAAGGGAAATGACTGAAGGATTCAAGTTGTCTAACAGAGAAATGAGCTGCCTAGGAAGCACTGAGCTCAGACCCTGGAAGGGTTCCAACAGCGGCACAGTAACCCCTATCAATACTACAGAGCTGATTTCCGTACTAAGTGGGTAACAAAGGTAACAATTTTCTAAGATCCCTTTCAACTCAGATTTTATGACTATAACTTGGAACAAGCAATGAGAGAAAGTTTGTGATGTGAAGAATGAAAACAACTTACAGAAACTGCATGAACAGAAAGGGAGATTAAGGACAATAAAATTAAGATTAAGACAATAAAATTGCATCTTATTGATGTGAAAAGACCCTGTGGAACTAAATCTCAAGGCTTATTTAAATAAAAAGTAAGCCGGGCACGGTGGCTCACGCCTGTAATGCCAGCACCTTGGGAGGCCAAGGCGGGTGGATCACCTGAGGTCAGGAGTTTGACACCACCCTGACCAAAATGGTGAAACCCCATCTCTACTAAAAGTACAAAATTAGCTGAGTGTGGTGGCGCATGCCTATAATCCCAGCTACTCGGGAGGGTGAGGCAGGAGAATCGCTTGAACCTGGGAGGCAGAGGTTGCAGTGAGCCGAGATCGCACCATTGCACTCCAGCCTGGGCAACAAAAGCAAAACTCCATCTCAAATTAAAAAAAAAAAAAAAAAAGGATTACTAGATGGCTCGAATTCCTTCAAAAGAGAGCATGTTCCATGCAGGCTAGGTGACAGAAAAGCCAATGAAATTTGAGAAGTCATTTATTTAGCCCAGGAAAAGCAAATGAGAGAGGAGCTGAAGAAAAGGGGAAGGAAGAGAAATAGATACCCATTAAAAGGACTTAAAGCCTGAACAACATAGGCAGACCCTGTCTCAAAAAAAAAAAAAAAAAAAATTAGCCAGGCACAGTGGTGTGTACCTGTGGAAACTGATACTTGGAAGACTGAGGCAGGAGGATCATCTGAGCCTGGGAGGTCAAGGCTGCAGTAAGCTGTGACTGCACCACTGTACTCCAGCCTGGGCAACAGAGCAAGGCCCTGTCTCAAAAACAAAACAAAAAAAACAAAACAAAAAAGCATTAAAAGGACCTAAAGTTGACAGGAACATCTGGGAAAAAAGAATACTTAGGAATCAGTGTGAAGTCTATCAATGCTTATTGTTTTTCACTTACTCCACAAATGTACATAATGTTATTATTATCATTATTAATATTATTATTTTTTTTTTTGAGACAGTCTCACTGTGTCACCCAGGCTGGAGTGCAGTGGCGCAATCTCGGCTCACTGCAAGCCCCACCTCCTGGGTTCACGCCATTCTCCTGCCTCAGCCTCCCCAGCAGCTGGGACTACAGGCACACACCGCCACGCCTGGCTAATTTTTTTCTGTGTATTTTTAGTAGAGATGGGGTTTCACCCTGTTAGCCAAGATGGTCTCAATCTCCTGACCTCGTGATCCGCCTGCCTCAGCCTCCCAAAGAGCTGGGATTACAGGCGTGCACCACCGCGCCCGGCCTCATAATATTATTTTTAAAGCCTTACATTTTAAGGACAGAATAACAGACCCCAGGTATTGTGGATCGAAGCTGTATAAATCAATATCCTTGCAATTTAAATCTTAGTACAATTGGGAGACATACATACAACTAAAAATCTGGAAAAGACACTCAGGGTATAATGAAATCTACATAGTCAGAGAAAGCACTGGCAAGAAAAGGCTTGAGCAGAGACTTGATGAAGAAACAGGAAATTTCCTAGCAAATAAAGACAAGACAGGTTGGGCGTGGTGGGTCCTGAGGTCAGCAGTTCGATACCAGCCTGGCCAATATGGTGAAACCGTCTCTAATTAAAATTTTAAGCCGGGCACGGTGGCTCACACCTGTAATCCCAGCACTTTGGGAGGCCGAGGCGGGCGGATCACGAGGTCAGGAGATCGAGACCATCCTGGCTAACACGGTGAAACCCCATCTCTACTAAAAATACAAAAAAATTAGCCGGGCATAGTGGCAGATGCCTGTAGTCCCAGCTACTCGGGAGGCTGAGGCAGGAGAATGGTGTGAACCTGGGAGGTGGAGATTGCAGTGAGCCGAGATCATGCCACTGCACTCCAGCCTGGGCGACAGAGCGAGACTCTGCCTCAAAAAAAAAAAAAAAAAAGAATTAAAAAAAAAATTAGCCAGGTGTGGTGGTGTGTGCCTGTAATCCCAGCAACTTGGGAGGCTGAGACAGGAGAATTGCTTGAACCTAGGAGGCAGAGGTTGCAGTGGTTGAGACTGCGCCACTGCACTCCAGCCTGGGTGACAGAGCGGGACCCCATAGAAAGAAAGAAAGAAAAAGAAAGAAAGGAAAGAAGGGAAGGGAAGGGGAGGGGCGGGGCGGGGAGAAAAGAAAGAAAGAAAAAAGAAAGAAAGAAAAGAAAAGAGGCCGGGCGTGGTGGCTGAGGCCTGTAATCCTAGCACTTTGGGAGGCCGAGGCGGGTGGGATCACGAGGTCAGGAGATCGAGACCATCCTGGCTAACATGGTGAAACCCTGTCTCCAGTAAAAATACAAAAAATTAGCCAGGCATGGTGGCGGGTGCCTGTAGTCCCAGGTACTCAAGAGGCTGAGGCAGGAGAATGGCATGAACCGGGGAGGCGGAGCTTACAGTGAGCCAAGATTGAGCCACTCCAGCCTGGGTGACAGAACGAGACTCTGGGGAGGGGAGGGGAGGGACAACACAGTAGTGGAATCTGCGTGTGCCAAGGGTACAAATATAACTGGTATGGTTGGAAAATCACAGTGAGCTCATCACTGAAGCCCAAGGAGGCTTACATGTAAATGCAAGGACAGCAGAAAAGGTGAGGCTGCAAGAAGCTGACTTCATGATTCTGAGTCCAAGTGACTCAAACTAAGGTCACTGGAGAGACGTCACTGTGAAGCAGGAAAGAGAATAGGAGAGGAATCAGCACAGGTTTGATGCAACTTTGGAACTACTGAGTTTAAGGTTCCTATGAGCACCTTGGATCCCTCAAAGAACTTTTATGTAAAATTTTACATTATCAAAAACAAATATACGTGGCCCAGTGGTAATTCTCACTTCTCTTGAAGTTTCCATTGATTCCTTGAGACTTGAATTGTTCTACACTGATAAGAGCATTAAAGATTCAGCTTAATTCATCAAGCCAGTCAGGCTTAGTTTTTGGGCTGAATATAATTATACCATATTACTAGTATGATCAGGCAGATCACCTGAGGTCAGGAGTTTGAGACCAGCCTGCCCAACATGGTGAAACTCTGTCTCTACTAAAAATACAAAAATTAGCCAGGCATGGTGGCAGGTGCCCGTAATCCCAGCTACTCAGGAGGCTGAGGCAGGAGAATCGTTTGAACCCGGGAAATGGAGGTTGCAGTGAGCTGAGATCGTACCACTGCACTCTACTCTGAGCGACAAGAGTGAAACTCCATTTCAAAAAATAATAATAAATAAATAAATAAATTGTACTTGAATAACAAAGTTAATTCATAAAAGTATAACATAATTTTCTGACTAAAAGGTAGGTAAATGGGAAAGTGTAGCTAAAAAAGCTAATCAGAATACCTGAGGATAAGCTAAATAATATCTGTATAATTTTTGTAATCAACAAAAAAGAAAATATATAGCAAAATATGCAAATACAAAACAAAATTATTTTCTCCAACTGTTCAAATTATAATGCTGTATTAGGTTCTTTAGTCCTCAGAGTTACATGGAAACTGTAAATTATAATTCTTTTCTATACAACAGAATTTCTGTTACTATGTGACAAGCAGCCTATCTTCTACCAAAACAGAGAGCCCCCAGAAATTCTCTCAATGATCCATGTCACAAAGAAGAAGAGTTAGCATGACATCAGTATAAATGTATGTTAAGAAGGCTGTTAGAATTAACTGTATAGTAGCAACAGATGCAAAATGCTGCATCATTAAGAACTGCCAAAGCCTGGAATGAGGTCTGGGGCAAGGAGGTACAAAGACAACATGGAGGAAACAAAAGACATTTTGTGCAAGGATGTGTGAAAGTTGCATCTCATCCAAAAAACTAGAGATAACAGTACTCAGCTCATGGGCTGGGAGAATAAAATGTGGTAACACAGGCCGGGTGCCGTGGCTCATGCCTGTAATCCCAGCACTTTGGGAGACCAAGGAGGGAGGATTACAAAGTCAAGAGATTGAGACCACCCTGGCCAACATGGTGAAACCCCGCTTCTACTAGAACTACAAAAATTAGCTGGGTGTGGTGGCACATGCCTGTAATCCCAGCTACTCCGGAGGCTGAGGCAGGAGAATCGTTTGAACCCGGGAGGCAGAGGTTGCAGTGAGCCAACACTGCACCACTGCATTCCAGTCTGGCGACAAAGCAAGACTCTGTCTCAAAAAACAAAAAATAAAAAATAAAATGTGATAACACAAGGGAAGTACTTGCCATGGTGAATGCACTTCAGCATCTGGTAGCATTCAATTACCATAGTGGACATAGTTATAGCCATAAAGGACAAGTCCACAGAAAAATATATCTTGACTACTTTATTACCTGCAAAGATCTTCAGAGATTACTAGGCCACTAAAAGTTGAAAATAATAGCTAAAAAGTTCCCTTTTATTAAAAAAAAAATTGCACTAAAAATTTTAAGCTTTTTTTTTTTTTTTTTTTTTTTTTGAGATGGAGTCTCACTCTGTCACTCAGGCTGGAGTGCAGTGGTGCAATGTCGGCTCACTGCAACCTCCGTCTCGCAGGTTCAAGCGATTCTCCTGCCTTAGCCTCCCGAGTAGCTGGGACTACAGGCACGCACCACTAGGCACAGGGTTTTACCATGTTGACCAGGCTGGTCTCAAACTCCTGACCGGAGGTGACCCACCCACCTCAGCCTCCCAAAGTGCTGGGATTACAGGCATGAGCCACCACGCCCAGCAAAGCTATTTCTTTCATGAATAGTGAAGAATTGAAAGGCTTCTCATGTTATTTTAAGTTTCAGCATATAAACAGTGTCAGACAGTGAATATTCTTCCTGTCTAAAATGTCTAGCCTGCTCTTCTCCGCTAATCCATGGCCATCGCTTCGTTTACTATTTAGCTCAATATTGAGCTTTTTGTAAAAAGCTTTCATTCTACTTATTTAAAGGTAGTATAAATCATAATCACACAAATAATTTGTATTTTCCAAAAATTCATATTAGTAAGCTGCTTGGAGTAAGACTACAGTCTCCATAGAAACAATATTACAAACAGCTAAGGTCCTGAGTAAGTTCTTGAATGCCTCATTTAACTTATAATGTACAGAGTATTTAGTCTTAGACTGTTTTCAAATCTAGTAGCAGACTCAGAAGAAAAAACATATGTTGCCCTATTGCTAGGATGGCTAACCATGGATCATGCATTCTCAATGGGGGCAGTACCTGTATTATCTCTCCCCCTAAAGAGAGCAGAAATCGGTTCTTGGGAGGACAAAAATAAATAAATAAACAAATGGTCTGTGGCCCTCACCAAAGCTCAACCTTATCTGAAAAATGTATATTCTTTAGTACTGGATTCCTCCCATTAGGGAGAACTTAATTACCTGGGCTAATTTAATAAAAATTAAATCTGTTATTAATTACATTTTATTTAAATGTAATTTTTCTCCTGAGGGGGTAATAATGAAAAAATGTTGAGAAACACTGTTCTAGATAAACCTTGAAAAAGGCAAAGTTTAGTCTTTCCTCCCCTGACTTCTCACCCAACCTGCCCTAAATCAAAACTACCTACCTGTGTTCACCCCTAGGGAAACTCTGACTTCCTTGATTCCCAGGATCTCCCTAGGCATTAGGAAAGTCACCCACTGACTAACTTGTCTGGAGGTATCTATACTTTTATAAGACGACAAAAGGACTTTCTATAAAGTAGATTTCATGCAGTGCAAATGGGAAAAAAAACTGAAGATTATGCTGGAGATGGGGAAAAGTTCAATGTCTGTTTCTGAAGCCGTGACTCATTCAGATTGAGCAGAACTAGCTACTAATTTGTCAGTGAGAACATTTCTCATCTATACACATAGAATTAAACTTAGTCAACTATCCTCTTAAAGGTCTTTTATAACAAAAGCAGCTTTTTATTTTAATTTTCAAAAATCATTTGAGTAATTCTGGACTAATTTAGAGCTCAAGGCAATGTTCCTGCCAAATAGTATATATGCAGCTAAGGAAAAATGTCACCATGCACAGCTTCTATTTGTCCATGAGAGACTGGGATACAGTTTTCTCATGGACACTCACAGAACATTCAAGGTATCCATCAATATACTCCCTACCTAATATTTCACAATTTGTGAACTCTTTCTATGTAACACGCACTCTAAGACAATAGGACTTTCTTGCTATCCCCATAAATACAGACCACACAGAGGGCAGGATAAACTTGATCTGATTCTTAAGGGAGGAAGGTAAAGGAAATCAGAGAATAGCCACATTTCTACCTTATCTTTGGTAAGTTCCTTGGTCATATGATCTTAGGCTGAAACTAGTGAGGAGGGGCTGGGGAGCCCATCCTACCTGGCACAGACCAGGGAGCCTGACCAGGTAGCCTATTTACTAAAAGTAATACCAACAAAGTATAAGTGCTATATCCCAAGCTATTAAATCATATTTGTTTTAAGGTATTTAACATTAGAATTTAAAATATTTTACTTTCGTCATTATGACTATGAGATACATGATTCCTCCTCCAAAATCCTTAAATCAGTAGTAGATACAAATCCTAAAAAAAAATTAAATTTTCTAAATAAAGCATTATCTAAATCAACCTTCCAGATATTATCAGAAGAAAGTGTAAGAATTAAAGTTCTCATTACAAAAGCTTTGCGCATCAGGCATTTTATACTAGGAATGCTCAAAATCTAAAGCAGAGATAAATCACATTAATATGGTTGAAAGCAAGGGTCCTGTATGTATTCTTGAAGAGAGGGACTCTATCCTGCAGTAGATTATAAAAATTTAAGAGCATCCTTCTCCTTCTTTCCCACAGACCAAAATATATCAATCAATCAATCAATTAATCCAAACATAACCTGGCACTATGTTATAATGAAAATCGGTCTGGGACTATCTGAAAAGTATGACACTATCAGTGTTTCAGCCTAGGGAAAGTGGGGCTTCATTAGAACATAAGTGTAGATGAACAAACAGCTCCTGGCTGCCTGCAAGCATTTATAATTTATTCATTTAACATTCAGCAAGAATAAAATTGTCCAAGATAACATACTTTCCATATAAAAAAATAATGCCTGTCCTCAAAGATATATGAGTATGGCTATGGAGGATACAAAGAATAATACAGGTTGCTCTTCCAGAAAACAGATCATTTAATTAAGGACGAAAAAAATGCAGAGTTTACTTGATGCAAAAGGTTAACAATACAAAAACATAAATTAGGAGGTACTGCAAGGTAGCATATGACCAAATACCAAATGAGAAGCAGCCTGGCTGCCAGGGGCTGGGGTTCTCTGGGAAAGCTTCAGAGGAAGCAGCATGGGAACTGAGTCTTTTCACTGCCGAGATCGCGCCACTGCACTCTAGCCTGGGTGACAGAGCAAGACTCCGCCTCAAAAAAAAAAAAAAAAAAAGATCAAGAAAGAATTAAGAATCACAACTTCAAGACAGAAAGTAAAACAAATGAGAAGCCTCTTAGATACGAAAATTATCCTCACTGAAGAAAAACTGAGAAGGAATGAGAAAAAAAGTTCAGAAGCATTGTAGCTAAAACAGGAAATGACAAATGCGGACAGGAATTGCAAAGATTTGGTCACCACTTAAAAGGTAAGGATAACTGAAGAAGTGGAAAATTATGGCTGTGTTTCTCGGGAGATGAAAAGGCAGTCAGTGGACTGTACTCAACACTATTTCAAGATCCACTATCTCAGTCAACAATAACTAATTATACAGCCAGGATCTCCTGAATCATAAAATGATGCAATTCCTAATAAGGAGCATGGTGGAGATAATGGCAGGGACAATATGACACAGAGCAGATCTCACAATCACTAGCTGTGATTCCTTAAGCGAGACACTAAACTTCCCTGAGGTGTTTTTTTTTTTTTAGACAGAGTCTCACTCTGTCGCCAGGCTGGAGTGCAGTGGCGCGATCTCAGCTTACTGCAACCTCCACCTCTCAGGTTCAAGTGATCCTCCTGCCTCAGCCTCCCAAGTAGTTGGGACTACAGGCGCATGCCACCAAGCCCAGCTAATTTCCTGTATTTTTAGCAGAGATGGGGTTTTACGGTGTTGGCCAGGATGGTCTCAATCTCTTGACCTCATGATCCATCCATCTGGGCCTCCCAAAGTGCTGGGATTACAGGTGTGAGCCACTGCGCCCAGCCACTTCCCTGAATTTTAATATCCTCTTCTATTAAAAAAAAGGTCTGGGCCGGGCATGGTGGCTCACGCCTGTAATCCCAACACTTCGGGAGACTGAGACGGGTGGATCACCTGAGGTTGGGAGTTCAAGACCAGCTTGACCAACATGGAGAAACCCTGTGTCTACTAAAAATACAAAAAATTAGCCGGGCGTGGTGGCACATGCCTGTAATCCCAACTACTCAGGAGGCTGGGGTAGGAGAATCGCTTGAACCAGGGAGGTGGAGGCTGCGGTGAGCTGAGATCATGCTATTGAACTCCAGCCTGGGTGACAAAGCGACATTCCGTCTTCAAAAAAAAAGAGAGAAATGAAGAGAAATACTATGTACATGAGTTAGAAGACTCAACATAGTAAAGCTATCAATTCTCCCTAAATCGATATAAACATTTAATGTAATTCCTCTCG